>NC_000006.12:70186139-70489170 GCF_000001405.40 Homo sapiens | reverse complement strand
CAGTAAAGTTAGTCTTAGAAATTACATATTCTACCTCTGATTTTTAAAAATTAGAAAATAAGGTTTTGAGAGTTGTGACACATTTTTCTAATGTTTACATAGAAGAACCTAACTGCATAAATGGGTATGTTTGCATTATAGCTACTGAGAGCTACTTCAATGCAAACAGTATCTTAAAGAATGTTTAAAAGCATAATTTAACTCTAAAATCTTAGAACTGAAAATAATTTTGAAATCACTTAGATTTTTAAGGGAGTTTAAAATCCTATTTTAATTATTTTTTCTTTTTAAAGTGACATATATAACAGACCCTTGAGCAACATAGGTTTGATCTACGCAGGTGCACTTATACACAAGTATTTTTCAATAAATATTTTGGAAAGAATATGAAACTTGCAAACTATGTAGCCTAGAAATATTGAAAAAATTAAGAAAGATGAATATGTCATGATTGCATAAAAACATGTAGATACTAGTCTTTTTATGTATTAATCAACTGTTTATGTTATCTGTAAGGCTTTCAGTGAATAGTAGGCCATTAGTTGGTAAGTACTAGAGGAGTCAAAAGTTACAGGTATATTTTTAACTGTACAGGGGTCAGTGCCCCAGTTCTGGTGTTATTCAAGGGTATACTGTATATCCATTTATACAGTTTTATAGAAATGTATAAATGTGATGATTATCATATATTTCTGGGGGGGGGGGCTTGGCTCTTATTACTAATCCAAGGTTACAGTCTAGAGCATATCCTTCCATATTTTTCAAATATACATATACACATATGAGTTTTGGAGTCACTGTTTTATAAAAATAGGATTGTATTTTGCACAATTTTTTGCATCTTGCTTTTTTTCTCTCAGCATTACCCCACAGTATTCTGGTACCTAGCACTAAAGCATTTTTTAAGATGACTACACAGTATTCCTTGATGTGGGTGCATCATGATATATTCTGTATTCCACTCTTTGCCCAAATAATGGGCATTGATCTTTGTTTATACTGTTTTGCCACTAAGAACAATACTGCAATAAACATGCTTGTACCTGTATCTTTACATACTACCTAGTATGCTATTTCTATGATACAGGTGAACAGAAGTGGGGATGCTAGGTCAAAGGGTACATGTATCTAACATTTATTTTCTAAATCTATCCATTCATTCAACAAATATTTATAACACAGCTCAGACAACGGCAATACAATGTTAGGTTTAAGGATAAAAGATATCTCAACAAAAGTGTTAACTAACTTCATTATGTTTTAGTTTTGAAAATTAAGTATTTTTCTACTCAACCAAGATCTGGCCCATTTTTAAAAAATAGATCTTATTACATTAAACTGCATTCTGTAAAATTATTTAGAATGCTCACATGTAAACTGATAGGCTGGCAATAAAATAGTTTAAATTAGAAGTATATTTTAATTGCTAAAAAATGCTAAAATGTCATAAATGGCCACAGTTTCATACTATGAATTCTTTAATTTTACAGTAACTTTATATGAGAATATAATACTATGTTCCAGAAAGAATGACAATAAATTTTCAACTCTTCTTTTTCCTTCCTGACAAGAAAATCAGTTTCCCTTAACAGTCTTAGTGAAAATTAACACAACTCAAATATTTCTGAGTTAGTTTTCACCTGAGAAATGTTGAGATAGATTTTGGCTTTTTAACTTCCTTCATTTCATACCTCTGAAAATTGGGAAATAAATACTTATTTTATTTCACTTTTTGATTCCTACAGCTTTTCATAATTTTTTAAAAAATTGTGATGGTTTACTGAACGCAAAGTGAAAACTTTTAATATACTCATAGATAATAAATTATGGCTATTCAAGAAAAGTCTAACATATATATGAAAATGTATAATAAAATAATGAGATCAGAACATTTCCTTTACCATGCATAACATATCCAGAGAGTGGTGATTTGATGTTATTTTGCTTTTTAAATGTAGAATAACAAAAAATAAATGCAAATTGACTAAAACAAACAAACAAACATACAACACAACCCAGATCCTGATAGGATATTTCTCTTCTCTATTTCTTTTTTTAAAGCTTTTTTTTTTTTTTTTTTTTTTTTTGAGATGGGAGTCCGACTCTCTTGCCCAGGCTGGAGTGCAGTGGCACGATCTTGGCTCACTGCAACCTTCACCTTCTGGGTTCAAGCAATTCTCCTGCCTCAGCCTCCCATCTCTTCTCTATTTCTGCAGTGCAGAAAACTAGGTTTAGTTTTTTTTGAGGCAGAGTTTCACTTTTGTTGCCTAGGCTGGAGTGCAATGGCACGATCTCGGCTCACTGCAATCTCCACTGCCCAGGTTTAAGCAATTCCCCTGCCTCAGCCTCCGAGTAGCTGGGATTACAGACATGCGCCACCACATCCGGCTAATTTTGTATTTTTAGTAGAGACGTGGTTTCATTATGTTGGTCAGGCTAGTCTCCAACTTCTGACCTCAGGTGATCTGCCCACCTTGGCCTCCCAAAGTGCTGGGATTACAGGCGTGAGTCACCGCACCCGGCCTGGTTTAGTTTTAAAATCACATTTCATTATCACTAGGCCTAGCCAAAGATAAAATAACTGAGCAAATTTAAGGCGATGTCATTAAACCAACAAATTGTAGTAATAATCATGGTTTTGAAAAAGTGCTCTTCATAGAAACTTTAAAAAACATATGAAAAAAGCCAGTGAGTTTTGCATTTACCATTTCCAGATTTAAGTAAAAACTTCAATATTACAAATTAATTAGGAAATTAACCAAAATTTATCTACAAACCAAATTGATTTTAAAGGTAAGTTCTTCAGAATGGTGGAAACATACCACATTATTAAATATACATTTATGAAATCTGATGCTAATTTAAAGCAAAATTTCATACTTTTTAATTAAAAGGGATCATTTACTTAAGCTATTTGTAAACGTACCTAGATGGTTGTCTTTCTGTGTTCGTAGCTGTTTTCTTCTGAGAAGACGCTCATATAGGAGCTGCATGTTGGCCTTGGCTAGTCATAAGGATTGCACACAGCACTAGTTACTATACTCCTTTCACAACAAAACTTACTAGAATTTTCCAACTTGTTAATAATAGACTTAGTGTTGATCTGATAGTGCAGTTAGTTAATTAGCTTATCAAAATTACAAATGATGTACATTCAAGTATATATTTCTTTGGTTTTTTAATTTAAATGTATGTGCCACTCAACATTTCATAATCCAATATGTCTTAATTAATTAGACTCAGAATTTTAGGTTGGCAGGGATCTCAGAGTTAACTCCCTGCTGTTACAAGTGTAGATATTGGGGTTCATATAGGCTATGTGACTTGCCCAAACCTAATTCCAGAACTCCTGACTCTCATGTTCAGTAAGAGCTCCCTGCACCAAACCAATATTTAATTATATGTCATCAGAAAATGTACATCATTCATCTGGGAGAAAAGAGAAAGGCAAAAAAGCCGAAAGGAACTCAAGGCGTTATTTTAAAAGAGGGAACATATTTTAGAAAAGTTTTCAAAGCATAGTCAAGTTTAAGAAGTTTAAATATATGCTTATTTGAAAACTCAATGAAAGTGGTAAGTAATAGAAGGAAATATTCTTTAATCAAGAACTACTCTGTATCCACTTATTAAAACTGGTGAATATAGTGGTGTTTGGTCAATAGTACATTATAGAAATATATTAGTGTTCACAATTTTATTTTGCTAGAATAAAAATAAAAGACATTGATAGTTTAGAATATGTAACAAATACTTTTATTTTTAAGTTAATAGTATTTTTAGATGTTTTCTTACAGGATGCATTCAAGAATAAACTAAAATTCACAATAAAGAGAAAGGAAAATAAAAACCGTAAAGTTTAAGAACACCACAATATATTACCAATATTTACTGAAGATGAATCTTGATTTTAAAAATCCCTAGGAAACTGTTAAGCTTTATGTTGATGCCTATACTTTTTCAAGTAACAATGAAAACTGTATTGTGCTATTTCATTCATTCATTCGAGAAATATATTTTAAGTAAGTCTATGTGTAAGGTACTAGTAATTTTATTTCTATCATATACTTATTTAAAACTGAAGTCTGGGTTTGCTTTAGAATTTTATTTTCTGATAAAATATTTTAAGCAAATAATTTGGAATAAAGTTGACATTCATTCTGTAATTAACTTCTGAAATTAAATATAAGGGCACTTTTATTACGATACTTTCTATATTACATCTATAAGCCCAAAGTAATATACATGACATAAAAGCCATCCTCACCAGAGAAAAAGTTGAAAATCTTATGAATACATGATCATGCTGAAGCTAGACTAATTAATAATAATTGCTAACACTGTCTAACCCCAACACCCAGACTGTGGACTGGTACTTGTCTGTGGCCTGTTAGGAACTGGACTGCACAGCAGGAGGTGAGCAGCAGGCGAGCAAGCACTGCTTCCTGAGCTCTGCCTCCTGTGGGATCAGCAGCGGCATTAGATTCTCATAGGAGCGTGAACACTATTGCGAACTGTGCGTGTGAGGGATCTAGGTTGCATGCTCCTTATGAGAATCTAACTAATGCCTCATGATCTGAGGTGGAATAGTTTCATCCCAAAACAATCACTTCCCCCAATCCGTGGAAAAATTGTCTTCCAAGAAACTGGTCCCTGGTGCCAAAAAAGTTGGGGACTGCTGGTCTAAGCTATTTGAAATAAATATTTGCCTTTAAAAGGAGAAATGTTTTTATTTAATTACTAATTATAAATTTTACCAATAAACATACTACCTTTTAGAGAGGATTTTTTTCTAAGTTAAAATGTGGTTCATATGTTTTTCTTTGTAAATATTACATGTTAAATCTACTTTAATATTACATGCAGATGGATATCTTCCTTATACAGGTAATTTATAAGCCCATCTCATATATTGAAGCCCCATTTTGCTGGGTGAATTTCTCCTTCCCATCCCAATGCTGAGCTGATTTCTTAATACTGTTGCTGTGAGAGGAGAGGGAACAGGAGAAGTCAAAGTTCTTTAAAGGCAGGGACCTATTCTTTCCTCAGCACCTAGCACAGTAACTGACACAGGAGGTGCTCATTAAAAGCCCAAGGGAAGTACACTGTTAAGAAGTATTGTTCCTAGAGATCCTTTACACCCTTTTTCTTTTGGATAATCTCACCTTTGCTTCCTGACACATGTACCACATCTGATTCCCTTCAATCTTCTTACCATGTGAATGGAAACCACTTTGTGTTTGTAGGCTCAAAGTAAGTAAGTGACAGAAATGGTTCCAAATGTGCACTCTTGAACATAAGATAATGCCTCCTTGAAACTACTGTAGTATTCCACATCAAAGCTATTAACACATGTTTTTGGGTTTTTTTGTAGAAATGACATTACACATGGATTTTAAGCTTTACATCACTACTTTTCATCACACTGTTTTTCAGGCACATGATACTGTCCTTCATTAATATGTTAGTATAATAGTTTTGTGGTCTGGTCATTAAAACTAACTAAAATTTGTTTTTGATTTCCAAACCACCAATAAAGATATTTGAAACATAACTTTCCATTAATTGAGGATAAGTGATAGCCTAAATTAGCTCTATTCTGTAAATGATTCATTTTCAAAAGAAGATTTTTAAAAATTTACATTTGAGGTAGTGGCCTTCTATAGAATTTTCCTAAGGGAAACAGGAATTCTAAGAACATAAAGTAGCAAGGAAAATAGAGACTGTTTCAGAGAATAATGATCAGAAGATTGTCTTTTCCACACTACCATTTTTGTTTTGAGAATGAATACATGGTCAAAAAAGAATAAACACATTTTCCTATTGCTTGTGTATCTATGAAACCATTAGGATTACTGAATCAAGAATTCTAAACAGTCAATTTAGTGATATCTATGTCTAGTCAAGAAGTGTGAGTTGAACTGACTGAATAGTGGACTTAATTAATTAATTAAATGCACTTGAGTAGTTGCTGATAGTGGCACAATAGCCAGCATTTTCTCACAGCTGAATTTAAGTGGGGTAGAAATTCTTACACTTTCTTGCAATTCCTCTGTAATCCGACACAAGTTTTTAAGTAGTCTGATTAGTCTCAAACCCAAGAACTATGTTCTGGAACAGTGACTACTTTAGGGAGTGGACTAATATTGTTAAAAGACTGAAATCCTTGAGGAACAAAGGAATAAAGTAAGAATACAGATTCAATAAATTTTAAAAGGCAATTTATGATTTATTAAAAAACTTATAAAACAATATATTCTAAAGAAATTAAAATATATTTTTATAAGCTATTAGCCAATATTTGAAAATAAAAGCTAATAAAACTGACATAAAAAGTCTGAATAAGAACTTATTTTGCCAATCCCAATAATTTATCTTCTGTGAAATAATGTATGTAAAAGCATTTTGCAAGCTACAAATGGCATACAAAATCAAGGCAATATGATTTTTTATTATGCACTACAAATATATACAGGTATTACTTTTGAATGAAACCTGAAGTTTGATTTTTTAAAACAATTTCAATGATTTTTAAAATGTTAAAATACTAAGTAATGTTATTATTCCCTAAAACAATATAAAAGGAATTTGAGATCTGAGATAACTATTATAAAATCAAATGTAAACAAAAATGCCCTAAGTACCTACAATCTGATTAGACTGTAAAATATTTGGAAGTATGGCTTTAATTTACCTTCCTATGATTCTGCAGATAATTACATTTGCTTTCTAACATGTTTTTGGGTTATATTTTAAGAGGAACAGATTACTGACATGTTTTTTTTAAAAGACTCATTTCACATTTAGCACCAAGAAGTTATTTTTTAGTATTCTGAAAAACACTTTTAAATTGCAAAAAGTGATTATCAAGGTAGAAAAAGATGGAATTGATAGAGAAGTGAAGCACACAAACACTGTAGTTTTAGTATAGAAAAACTATGGCAAAGCTGATAGCTAGCAATATAAGACTGAAGAGAATGATTTGAACTGTAGAATAAGTCTCGCTACTTTTAACATACCCAGTTCTAGTTTCTGACAAGAAGGAATCTCTTCTGTTACTGTAATGAAGTAGCTGTGCAATCCCTTGAAGGCTAGCAGCAAAGTGGCACAAAGTGTATAATGAAAACGATACGCATGATGTAGGAAGGAGTCTGCAATGATGAAGCTACAACCCTAAACAAAAAACAGATGTAGGATACAGAGTGTCAGTAATACAAAATGTTACATGTGAAACTTGGAAAAATAAAGAAAAAATACTTAACCATCTGTCAACTAAATTTATTCTAATACATATAAAAAATGTGGTAATATTTGAGAGTTGTTTATACAATAAATTTAAACATGAAATGTGGCCCTAGTAATTTCTGTTACAGTGGGTTTTTATAACAAGTAGATTAAATTATTATTTTTGATAGCATGGTATTTATATAACATTTAGACTGAAGGACAGACATTCAGCTTTTATAGTATGTCCCCTTTTCTTTTATAATAATAGCTGTACTTGTACCACTCTTTTTTTTTTTTTAATTTTCTTTTTTTTAGATATAGGGTCTCAGTTTGTCACCCAGGCTGGAGTGAAGTGACATGATTGCAGCTCACTGCAGCCTCAACCTTCTGTGCTCAAGCGATTCACCTGCCTCAGGCTCCCTAGCAGTTGGGACTACAGACATGTGCCACCATTATTTTTTGTAGAGGTGGGGTCTTGCTATGTTGCTCAGGCTGGTATCAAACTCTTGGCCTCAAGCAATCCTCCAGGCTAAGCCTTCCAAAGTGTTGGGATTACAGGCGTGAGCCACAACACCTGGCCTGCGCTACTCTACGCTGGGTCTCAGCTCTGTCAATTGTTCTTTAAAGGCTCCTTTGGAATGATTCTACCAGTTGTTGGACCAAGGGGTGACAGTAACAAGTTAAAGGGCACAGGCTGTCACAGATGTCTATCCACTAAATCTGGTAACATTTTGAAGTATCATGTTAGTTTTCATAATAGACAATTAGAACCAAACAATTTTTAAGATCATATTTAATTAGATCTATAAGTTGCTGAGCTGAAATAATTTAAAAAAGAAATATAACATTCACAGATAAAATTGTTAAAAACACTTCTTTTAAAATAAGGAGAAGATTTATAAACATATTCAGTTCTTACATCTGGTGATAACTGTTTTGTGTAGTTAATACCAAAGACCACACTTTCAAGAGTAGGAATCACGGAATCTTTGTTTTGTGCTGGTGCATTTCTATTTAACCAAGTTGTCTTCACAGGGCGAGGAAAGCTGGAGGAAGAAGTATTACATTATTATTGTCATACGAGTCTATTTGAATGTAAGTTAAATATTTACAAAGGAAAATCTTACAGGAATAGAACAGCAAGGGTTTTGCAAGTTTATAAGTTCAAAAGTACTCCTAAAGTAATTTTAAAAAATAATTTGAATAATCATGAAAAAATAAAATGAATGTTAAAAAATTAGGGCTAGATGTTTGACATTGCTTGCTATAATTAGACTTCTGGAAGTCTCAAAGAACATCAAAGATAAAACATGGTGGGATTTAGAGTAGCTAAACAACAAATGAAAGCCAAGCTTGAATTTGGAAATCCTGATGTCAGAACTGGTTACCAAATTTACAGTGTTAACACTTAATGAAATATGAATGCTATTCCCAGAAATAAAGAGCTCCCATGTAAATGTAGAAAAAGAAAAATTACTAAATCTACCTGATGCCTCTATTTCTCAAAAATAAATTTATTTCCCTTAATTCTCTTTACTAAAAGGCTATAAGCTCTATTAAAATAATTTTTATTATTCAAGTCCCTAGCAGCTAGAACTACAGTCATGTGCCACCATGCTTGGCTAATTTTTATTTTTTGTAGAGGTGAGGTCTTGCTATGTTGCTTAGGCTAGTCTCAAACTCCTGGCCTCAAGCAATCCTCCAGCCTCCAGCTTCAAGGCACCATCAATTACATACTATATGAATTACTTCTGTTAGTATTAACATTTATATTCCATAGAGGAAGAAGCATATTTCTGTTAAACTGTTGAAAAATCATACACAATTATATTTGAGATAAAGTAGGCCAAAGCATTTGAACTGTTCGATAGTTTGGCAAAAGGGAAAAGACAGAAAAGAAAAATAATGTTGCCATAAGCAGAGTGCAGGTTTTGCTTGCAAAATCCATTTGCTTTGCAAAAGTAAAATGTCTATATCCCAGCAAAGAAGGGAGTCTCAAATAAGTGGTAAATTCCACTTCATACAATGTGTTTTTCAGAGTTGTCATAAAAGTTGTACTTAAAAAATTCAAATATAAGAAACAGTTCAAATAAAAAGCAAGCAAAGAAAGAAATCCTAAGCCACTTACTTTAAGTAACTGATATAACGTCTATAGATTGCATTGACCATAAAAATTGTTTTAAATAAAAATGAAAATTTAAAAGATAATGTTATAAATTAAAAATTTTTCAATGATTGGAGGATAAAAAAACCCACCAATAATAAAACTTCAGGAAAAACCTGTTGAAGAATATAGAGTAGGAAATGTTACCCTTAGACATGACCCCTTTATCAACACACCACCAGCAAAAAGCTTCCCCTTCCCCTTTCCTTGCTTTCCTTTTCCAACCTTTCATTTATAGGTAGAGAAAGGCTGGTAAAGATGCTGCTGCTTTTACAGCGAAGTTCTAGCAGCAACAGTGTTAGATATAAGGGCCCATGGCAGCTAGATAAAGAACAGCAACCTCAGCTGTTACAGGCATATTGTTTTCTTTTCTAGTCACTAACCAGAGCCAACAGTTAATCCTCCTGGCTTCTGATTCTGAGCCAAAAATTTCTTCTTCCAGTAAATGGTCTCTAGGAGATGAGCTGCCCCTTTCTCCTATTAGTCTGTGGCAAAAATTGCTGCGTTGCAAGAGGAAGCACGTATTTAACTCACTACGATGGTGATGTGAATATCTACTCTGTTTAATTAGGGCCTTAAAAACTAACATTAATAACCTGAGCTAACCTCCTATGAATTGTTTGTGCATTTTGCAGGAAAGAAACACAGCTAGTTTTATGAAGATAATCTTGGTAAATCTTAAAAAGAAATAGTTAAAACAATTTAATTAGGGGTTCTTCTTAAAACTACAAAAAGAAGAGATTTAGAAAACTAGAGTAATACATTTTATAAACAGATAAACATTTAGCATTAAAACCAAACACAAAATCATATAAAAGCAATACTGTATATTATTTAAAAGTTATATTTCAAAAAACACACTTTGTTAGAAAAGTTTCATTCACACATTCTATTTCAGAAAATCTTCCAAAAAAATTTTAAGTTTATAATAAAATTATGTATGTAATAAAAAAACACCTTCCTGCTTATAAAAGCTATAATAACTTAGCACGACCTCTCAAAGGCCTAGGAGGTAAGAAAAAGACAGCAAAACTACCAGTTACAGATCTTTCTATAGAATAAAGAAGGCAAAACAAGTCATCAGGAGAAATATATGTCTTCCTGGCCTGGTGCTCTAAAAGGAACTAGGTCAAGGTGATCTACATGTAAGAGATGAGAGAGCAACAGAATGAAAGATGTTTTCAATTAGTTTTTAAAACAATGTAAAGATATGCCATAGGAGGTTATTACCTGTGGTCAATATGTTAAATTGTGTTGGGCTTCCATAAATTCTGAGGGTAATTTTGCAAAATGATTTACTTAGTTTTCTGATAAATCAGTTTACCATCATATCCCTTAAGCATCATCCCAATATCATTTGTCAGAATCAGATGTACATCAGAAATTGTAGATAGTTTAGAAATCAAATAAAATTGGAGACTTTCATATAATTTACTGATTTGAAGCATCCATCTGCTGCCCATACTACAAGGATGATGTTGTAAAAACTGAAGACCTTGCATTGTATTTTTACTTTAATGAAAGAAATCTGTCTACCCATGGAAGTGAACAGAAAAAAATAATTATCTCAATGCATTTATTATGATCCAGAATATTATATACCTTTGAACTAATGGTACATGATATAGTTTTAAAAGGTTGAGTAAAAATTCATAAAATTGGTTAATGACTTGGAAAGCAAGTATCACTGTATGATGTACAGTTAAGAAGATAAAATTAGCCTATCTGGATAAGAGGCAAAGAAAAAATAAGAAAAAATTCACATACTTTTCCAGAGTAATTATAGTTTAACATTGCACAAAACATAGGTACAGAATAAACAATGTTGTGTGGTTATTTCCAGATGGTATTTTTTCTTTGTTAACTTATTTGGGATTGACAAAGATGGCTTCATATTTCTGTAATAAAAAAGTTATCAAGCCAATGTTTCCCATACTCTTGAATTTTATTATAAATTTTAAAAGTCATTATTTCAGTTATCTTTAGCAAAGTACACGTTTTCACTATAAAAATAAAAAAATGCTACATTAATAAGGCTCTCATGTTGAATTGTAATCCTCAATGTTGGAATGGGGCCTGGTGGGAGGTGATTAGATCAGGGGGACAGATTTCTCACGAATGGTTTAGTACCATTCCTCTTGATACTGTCCTCATGATAGTGAGTGAGTTCTCATGAGATCTAGTTATTTAAAAGTGTGTAGCAACTCCTCCTGACTCTTTTGCTCCTGCTCTGGCCATGTGAGATGCCTGCTCCCCCTTTGATTTCTGCCATGATTATAAGTTTCCTGAGGCCTCCCCAGAAGTTAAGCAGATGCCAGCATCATGCTTCCTGTACAGCCTGAAGAACCATGACCCAATTAAACCTCTTTTATTTATAAATTGACCAGTCTCAGGTATTTCTTTATTGCAGTGTAAGAATGGCTTAATACAAAAATATTAGTCAAATTTACCTTATTAGTGGCTGGTGTAGTGCAACCAATGATGCATGAACTGTAACAGACACAACAGAAAGGTGGAAGTAATCAAACATAACATTAACATGATGATGAAGGCCTCTATGGGGGCTAAAGTGCAGCTTCAATGTTCGGCTACTTATTAGTTGCAAGGCATTCAGATCATCTGCCCTGTAAAAAGGAACACTTAGCATGTAAGTATGAAACATTTAGTAAACGCCAATATATTATAAAGTAGTTGAAACTATAAAAACTATTTACTTAATTACTTTTTAAAAATTTCGAATAAGAGTAATTTTTAAAGCATCAAAGTTGCATTAGAAGCAATATGAAACATACCAATTGAGAAAATAATCAGATCCCACCTATTATTGTTTTCTATCAGTCCATGATATGAACTATTTTTTCACTAATATCCCTATAAAATGAATCCTTTTTGATACTTCAGGAATTAATCTCATCTTAAAATTTTACCCCATAGAGAATACTGTTTATTACAAGGCTGCAGTACAACATAGGTCAAATACTATTATAATAAATCCCAAAGGATATTTCAAATTACTTTTACTCTACAAAATTTTATTAAGTGCTACTCAAAAATAAGCAGGCCATTGCTTATTTTAAAAAGTAAAACATATCTTATTGTAGATATTTAGTATATCATTAGATTTATACACACTAAAAATGTGAAACAATGCCATGAAAATTATATCCAATTATACTTAAAAAAATTCCATCCATCCATTTTAACAATCTACAGGTAATGAACTACCTACTCATTTCAGCTTATTCCACTTAAATAATTCTGACTTGGTGAAAAAAAAAAGACTTTACAAAATTCTTTGTAATGAACAAGTATTACAGAGGAACAGTAGCTACCATATAGTGAAGAGGACATCTAAAGTAGGCCTTTCAGTAATGTGACTTTTTAGTTACTTATCCCACATGCAGTCTGAATTTATATATCATTTTTGAGAATTATTGCTAAAACTACATTTGAGATGGGGGAAAAAACCCTGCATAAATACAATTGTTAAGTGAATCTCTGATTCTTGTTTTAAATGAACACAAGCAAAATTTGTTCCTAAAACATATGACTGCATGTCCAGGTATGTGGGTAAGTTGGAGGTAGCCAATCCTAAAACTTCCTCAAGGGCTCTGGAAATTAATGAACTAGAACAACTGTCAAGTGCACATCGTCAGTCTTGATAACTCTCAGAATATCAACAAAGTCCTACCTAAAGAAAGCATAACTGATGCCATCAAGAAAGATTAGCCAGTGATACAGTGGAAAAGAGCTCATTTACATTTAAATGCCTCACGGTAGTGGTATTACATTAACAGTGCAATTTCTAGGAGCTAGGAAAAATTGTTCCATATTTCTTTAACTTGTCTGGTTTTGTTATCTGGAGCTCATGGATTCGGCATGGGCACAATAGAGCTGGCCTAATCATTCTCATGAAGTTTCCCCAGAAAACACAAGTAGTTCAAGACAAGATAGGGATAGGATGAATTTTAAGAGGAAAATGGGCAATCTAATAATAACAAATAACAGTCATAAGTGCCTAAAGGTTTTTTAATTGATTAGCTACTTACGAATAATCTCCATCTGTGAAGTGTAGATCCAAGGATAATAGAAAATTCATTTCCTCAAGGGTTTCTTCAATCTGAAAAGAAATTACACTATGAGATACTTTTTGAAATTTTATAGAAAGTTAGAAATAACATCTTGAGGCATTACAAAAAATATTTACATAAATAAATATGAAGAGATGTTTACCTTTCTTTCATCCAATAGCATTTTTACTTTGAAGATCATAACATCATTTAAAACAACCTCTTCATTTTTGTACAAAATTTGAAATGTTTTACTGCAAATTAGAGAATCATGAACTGAGGCTGGAAAGGCTAAAGTCATACCTAAAACAGATAAGATATGTAATTGACAGATAAAAGTAAAATATAACACAAGCAAATTAACACTTGTACTTTAAAATACTGTATGTTTGATTATATTACTATAGTGTCATTATCAATTTATACTGCAGTATTGGAACATTTCTGAAAGTTTACTTATTTCTATGATTAGAAAATAAATAAGTACATTATGAGCATTGTAAAATTACTGCATGACATCTTAATCTGAAAGGTAAATGAGGAAATATCGAAGCAGAAATTTTAGAGTGAACAACTGATCTGTATACCACATTTAGGAAAGCAATTTAGTTTTCCATAGCTGAATAGTAAAGAATTTGGTTGGCCTTTGTACTGGTTGCTAGGAGTTCAGCTCTAAACACTTGGAATAAAGAATTTGGCTGGCCTTTGTCTCCAGTTTCTGAGAAGTAGCCTCTAAATCCTTGGTGGCCCCTAGTTTATGCTAAAGAGATGACTCAGGATGGGGGCTGGCCACATCACTAAGACCAGCCATGTGATTAGAGAGTTGCGCTTTGAGCCTAGTGATATAACCTCAATATCCAGAGAGGGGAGAATAGCTAAAGACTGAGCGACATGGGCGATGATTCAGTCAGTCATGCTTACATAAGGAAACATCAATAAAAATTCTGAACATTGAAGTTTGAGTGAGCTTCCCTGGTTGGTAATACTCCGCATATCATCACATACTGGATGTTCGAGAGGAGGAAAGTTAATGCGTCCTTACTTAATGGGGAGAAAACAACGGAAGCTTCACATCTGGGACCCTCTCAGATCATCCCTATACAGATTCTGATTTGAATCCTTTTGCTGTAATAAAGCTGTAATAATAAGTACAGCACTATGCTGAGTTTGGTGAGTTGTTCTACTGAATTATCAAACATGAGGGAATAATGGGAACCCCCAGATTTGTAGCCAGCTCTTCACAGCTGTGGGTAGCTTGCAGACCACTAAACTCATGGCTGACGTGAGGGGAGTCTTGTGGAGGACTATGTCCTTACCATTTGAAGTTTGGTTTTTATCTCTGGGTCATTGATGTCACTCCAACAGCCTACCTGCTGTTATGATCTTATTACCCTGTGCTCCAGAAATAACAATTGAAACTAGAGAAAAAAAAGAAAAAGAAAAAGAAAAAGAAACTAGAGATCAAGGTGGGTTTGGAGCTCAAAATGGGATATAAGACTCCAACTGGAGTCATGAGGATGTCAACATAAGCTGGTGGATGTCAGTCAAAGGCAGGGAGCCTCTGCAGGCCAGGGAGCACAGGGTCCAAACGCCCATATGAAATCCACATGGGGTGGTGGCCTGATGTCAAAGCCTGTGTGGAGTGAGGAGGGCAGCCAAGAGTAAAGTGTCAGAACCTGAGCAGGATGAGGAGGCAATCTAAGTGCAGCGGTGACTTTGAGTAAGGTATTGGGAGCCCAAGCAGGATGAACAGGGCAACCACAAGGGAAGGCACCTCAGGCTGGGGGGTTGGAACACAAGTTAGATGGAGAGAGCGTCTTTACAGAGGAGCAGCCTGGTACAGGGTGTGTAGGAATCTGAAAGGGATAAAAAGACTTCATATGGGGGTGGGAGTCAAGAAGGCGGTGGGCAGCAGCAGCAGCTTGACACACTACTGGAATCCAAGTGAAGTGAGGAAAAGGAACTCCTGGCACAAGGCCTTACTGAGGTCAAGTGGGGTAAGGAGGAGGTCCACATAAGGGAGTGACCTTGCATAAGGTGAAGCCCAACTAGTTCAAGGAGACCATCTGTGTGGGAGAAGAAGCAGTGACAGGAGATTGGCACATATAAGGGACTGATCAAATAAGGAAATATATTAAAGGATAAGGGGAGCCAGTTTCCTTACCTATCAGGGAAAGGATGTACACATATGGAAAGGAGACACAAATACAGAATGAATCCCATGGTACTGGATTGAAACTGAGAGTACTGATATGAACTTATGGTTTTCATCAGATATTTAGATAAAGACATGTAAATTTGCATATGTATGTGTAAGTGTATGGTGTATATAATGTACTTACTATCTTTGTCCACTCAAATGGCCTGGGAGTAGCACAACCACAAATGTTAGTCTTTAGTACTATCCTCCACTAAAAGGATCCACAGCTTTGTAGAAATGGTTGGTTCCAAAGCTGGCGCACAGACAAATCTGGACCATCTTTTTTATACCAGAAAGTAAGGAAGTGATTAGAGAATGTGGGGACACAACAAAAGGGCATAGAAGCTAGCTGGAAGAGAATGCCCCGGCCATATCTGGGACAAAGTGAACATCAAAATAAATTATGACAGTAATAGATTAACATCCATTGAGTAAACAGAAATCTGTAAGTCCATACTGATATAAATAAATAAGTGAATGAAAAAATCTGAAGTTTAAGAAACAAGAGACATTAATTGCAAAGTGAAAAAGAGTAATGTTACAGCGGAGAAGCTGGGAAGAGAGCACCTTAATTAAGAGATCCAAGTTAACATTATTAGGAATTGGACAAATAGAAACCACGTATCACCTAATAGGATGTAACAAGAAGAACAAGCATCACTTCTGAGATATTCCTGTCAAAAACACATAAAATGAATCTAATCATGACGAAATTGTAAACCCATGCAAACTGAAGAACACTCTAAAAAATAACAGGTTTGTAGTCTCCACAAAAGTGTCAGGGTGATCAAAGTCAAGAAGAGACTGAGGAACTGTTCTAGGATGAAGGAGACTAAAGAGACATAACAATTAATTACAATATATGATTTGGAACTGGATCATTTTGCTATAAAGGACTTTACTGGAACAACCAGCAAAACCTGAATGGGGCTATGGATAAGACGACAGTAACGTGTCAGTGTTAGCTTCTTGATTTTGATGGATGTATTGGGGTTATGCAGGAGAATATTCTTTAGAAAAAAATAATGCACTAAAATATTTGGGATGATGGAGCAATCATATTGGCAAATTACTCTTACATGGTTCAGGAAAAAAAGTTCTTTATAATGTACTTGCAACTTTTCTTTAAGTTTGAGATGCTTCGGGAAACATATACTTAAAGGGAAACCAAGCAGACCAGAAACTCAACTTCTGAGTATGTTGAAGAGCTGAGAAGGGAAAGAAATTCTCCTCAATGAAAGTAAATTTTGTTGAGAGCACCCAGGTAACGTGAGGTGAGAATCCACTGCCTGAAGAAACAAAGGTTTCTCTATTGCTCTTCCCTGAAGATGCTGCATCTCTCTCAATACTTCCATATAACTTCTACCACTGGGTCTGGAGCTTCTTTGTTGCTTACTGATGCTTTGAGACACTCTTTGTCTCTCCTCCCTAAAACCACTTATACCACTGGCTTTGAATCTCCTGTGATCAGACAGCACAGTACCACTCACTATCCTGCTCATTTTTGTACTCTATAAACCCTGGGAAGCCTTCATTTCTTGAAGGCTTTATTTCCTAATTTAAGATCACTTTTTCAAAAACTAGTCTAGCCATAACTGTTGGTGAACTCAATAGCTATGTAGGTAAACCTAATCTTTGATCTCCTGGGTTCCTTTTCTCCTCTTTTTAAGCGTTCTTGCTCTCTAACCCTCCTCAGCTCCTCACTCCTGTGATCATTCTCCAGACTTTTATATTACCAATGACTGCAATCCATCTGTAATTTGAATTTCTTTTTTTAAATTTGCAACTTTTAAGTTCAAGGGTACATGTGCAGGATGTGCAGGTTTGTTACACTGGCAAATGTGTGCATGGTGGTTTGCTGCACAGATCATCCCATCCCACAGTTATCAGGCCCAGCATCCACTAGGTATTCTTCCTGATTGATCCTCTCCCTCCTCCCACCCCCTATCCTCCAACAGGCCCCAGGGTGTGTCATTCCCCCGGATGTATTCATGTGTTCTCATTATTTAGCTCCCACTCATAAGTGAGAACATGTGTAATGTTTGTTGTAATGTGAATTTCAATCAACCTCTCCTCCCATACTTCCACCTGTCTTTCTGGTTCATACCCTCTAAGACCACAAATTCAATAATCCTTTGACCACATTTAGGAGTAGATTCCATGAACCCTACTCCTTTTCATTATCCCCTTACTTTCTCTTAATTCCTTTTTTCCTTACCCATCTTAAATCCTATGATCCATCATTATAATACACTCTTGCATATAATCTATTAAGGATATATGTTACCCTTGCTTTGTCATATTGACCTGGATAAATCCCAACTCCAGCTCTCTGCCCAATCCACACTTGTACCCACAAACTGAATGTGCCTGGAGAAAAACAAACAGCTATCTTGACTGGCTATACTTTAAATTCATGACCGTTAATTTCAAGTGGGTCTTTAGTGCTGCCTAGCAATCATACCGTATTTTCCAAATCCATTTTATCCCCATATTCTTAGATGACTATTTCATAAATTATTTTCTCTCCTCAAACCTAGCCTTCAGTCTCACTGATAAATTTGTTTCTTATTTCATGAGAAAATAAAAATAATCAGAAGTTCTATAAGCTCTACTATAGGATCTACCTGCAGATGCACCTAGACAAACTCCCTATTTCTCTGCTCCCTTTTCAGGCAAAACTCAAAAGTCTTTGCTATTTAGTGTGTTTGATTCATCTCCCATTCTCTCTTCAGCTCACTGTGTGATAGCCAGCCTCTAAAATGGCCTCCAATGATTCTCTTCCTGGTATTCACACTATTGCACAATCTCCTAGAAAGGACCAGGGTTGATCTATGTGATAGAAGTGATAGTAGGGACTGGGTGCAGTGGCTCACGCCTGTAATTCCAACACTTTGGGAGGCTGAGGCGGGCAGATCACTTGAGGTCAGGAGTTTGAAACCAGCCTGGCCAACATGGCGAAATCCTGTCTCTAGTAAAAATACAAAAATTAGGTGGGTGTGGTGGCGGCCACCTGTAATCCCAGCTACTTAGGAGGCTGAGGCAGGAGAACTGCTTGAACCTGGGAGGCGGAGGTTGCAGAGTGAGCCGAGATTGTGCCACTGCACTCCAGCTTGGGCAACAGGGTGAAACTCCATCTCCAAAAAAAAAGAAGTAATAGTAGGATTTGTGTGAATACAGCAGAAGTAAATGACTATAACCTAATGAGAGATCCTGAGTCAGAGGCATGCAGCTAAATTTCTGACACACAGAAACTGTGAGATAATGTTTGCTGTTTTAAACTAAGTTGTGGGATAAATTTTTACACAGCAATAATTCATACTCCAATCAGACTTTAGCCCATATAACTGTTCTTATCAAAACCACTAATGATTTCTCCTTTGCCAAATCCAAAGGTCAACTCTCAAACCTCATCTTACTTGACTTATAATCAGTATCTAACATAGATACTATGATCCATCATATAATATGCATTCTCTCATTCTTGTTCTTTTGTTGTTGTTTTTTTTTCTACTTTTTTTTGAGACAGAGTCTTACTCTGTGCCCAGGCTATAGTGCAGTGGCACTTATCTTGGCTCAGTGCAGTCTTGACCTCCAGGGCTCAAGCGATCCTCTCACCTCAGCCAAGCTAATTTATTTTTTATTTTTTGTAGAGATGAGGTCTCATTATGTTGCCCATCCTCTCATTCTTGATACACTTCTTAAATGTAGCTTTCTGGACATCACACTCTCCTAGTTCTACTCCTACCTCATGGGCCACCCCTTTTTCGTCTCTTTTTTTTGCAGGGGGTGGGGGTGCTGTTCTTTTCTCATCAAGAAGCAGCATAGTGCAGTGGTTAGGAACATAGATTGTGAAGCCAGACTGGCTAGGTTTTAGTCCTGGTTCTGCCACTTACTAGATCTGTGAACTTTATTCTTTCTTCTTTTCTATGCCTCACAACCAATTCTTCAGTAAACCCACTGGTTCTACCAACAATACTAAAAATGATCTGACAGAAAAAAGAAGGCTGCCTTTAGGAATGCTCTAAAGGAATTCTCATGCCAGATAAGAAGTTGTATACAAAATCAGTAATTCTAAATTGCTGTGAATGATTTCAGTGAAAGTTGCCTATATCCTCAACTGACATCAATATTTTAAGC
The DNA here is from genome assembly GCF_000001405.40 of Homo sapiens. Lineage (NCBI taxonomy): Eukaryota > Metazoa > Chordata > Mammalia > Primates > Hominidae > Homo > Homo sapiens. The sequence continues at coordinate 70,469,372 of NC_000006.12, read as the reverse complement.
TTTAAAAAAGAAATACCAGTGACTTACATATAATAAACTTCATCTTAATTTTATTCTCAAACCAGAAGCAACAGGCAACAGATGTGCAACTTCCTAGTCATTCATTCACTCATCCGATCAACAAATATTTACTGAATACTTATTATGTATCAGGTATTCTCTAGGTGTTTGGGATACACAGTTAAATGAAAGAGATAAAAATCTCCGACCTCATAGAGCTTACATCCTAACGGAGTGGTGTGATAGAGAATAAATATAGTAAGTAAATGATAGAATACATTTGAAAGTTACAAGCATTAAGTGCTATGGAGAAAAATAAAGAAAGGAAAAGAGGGATAAGAAAGATAGTAATTTTAAACAGAAAAGCCAGGCAATGCTTTCTTGAGAAGGGAACCTATCAGCAAAGAAGAAAACTGATTCCTGTGTTCTTTCCCCTACTACAGGCCACTAGGTCGCTGTCCCCTCCTTCACCCTAGCAGAAGTCTGGAAGTTTATTCTCTGAAGAGAATAGAAGTCCTCTGAACTAAAAATCACCTGGCAAAACTGAGAGAGCATGAATATACGAGCATAGGCATATTGAATACTAAGTGCAGAGATCAGAATTGTTCTCTACTGGGCTCCTAGAAGGCTGTCAGCTAGATTCTTACTCTCTAGGAAGGAGACAGACAAGAGTCTTCTATGTCATTTCAAGAACTGTAAAATCTTAGATTTTACCAAACTTGCAACCTAACAAGCTAGTCTGCCACAGTTTCATATATGTTGGCAGAAGACACAAGACTCTTGGGTCAAAGACAAAAGGTTTGATTATGCACAGCATAGCAAGCAGCATGAGCTTCCTGTTCATGTTAGTTTCCCTTGTATTCACTCTTCCAAGTCCCATGGGAGTGACATGGAGGCAGGCCAGGTGGATACCATGTATGTGGTGGGTTTTTGGTCACAATTGAGGAACCCTAAGCTTAGGAAACCTCTATCTTTTATAAGGGTAGCTATAAGAAAACCTATGTAACTTTTGCACTGTCCATTATATTGGAAAGTAGATAAATGTACTGTATGTTCTAGACAGAGACACTGTCTATAACTTCCAAAGCTGTTCATTGCACACATATCCTTAAAAAGATGGTCTTTTTAAACAGAAGGCTTTCAGTGTCTCTGCTCATAAAATGTTTCTCTCTTCTCAGAAACATGAGAAACCATAGAGAAGAATTCTCAGTGATATATACAGTATAATCTCAGATTCTTCACAGTTCTTGACATGGGGAATCTAATGAATTCAATGAAAAATAACTATCAATACTGACTTCAAAGATTCCTTAGACAAATGGCTCACCATCGCCCTAAAATGAGGCTCAGACAAGTCCCCTGCAGGCTCTCAGAATTTCCCATCAGCCTTCCTTTCACTCATGTTTAGACAACTGAGGCCTATCAAATATCAGAAGGACACTTTTAACATGTTTAAGTTAGAGACTAAAACAAAGAGAAAAAAAGTAACATACGAAAAATTTTTTTAAAAAAGAAGAATATTGTTCTTAGAGAAGATATTACATTCATGAAACAGGAAAACATTGTTATAGCAAAGGAACACTCAGACAAAAGAGCACTTGGATTTTAAAATGAAGAGAGAAGCGATGAGAGAGAGGGAAGGAGAGAAGAAAAGGAGAAAAGAAGGAGAAAGGGAGTGGGAGAGAGAATAAGAGAGTAAAAGATAGAAAGCACAAAAGCAAATAGCTCAAAAAAGGGTTAAAAATAAAGGTGAAGAAATATCATAGTAGAGCCAAGAAGAGAACGGGAAAAAGGAGAAGAAAAAACTAAAACTTAAGAAAGCCAGTAAAGATGATCCACCTTATAAACAAAAGAAGTTCCAAAAAGAAAGAACAAAGAAAACAGATGGGAGATAATTGTTAACAAATTAAGAAATTTCTCAGAACTGAAGTACTCAAAGACCCAAGGTACAGCATTATGTGCCATCAGAACCCCAGTTACCAAGAGGATATTCTACCAGATTTTTGAAAGGGGAAAAAGGTCACATAGAAGATTAAAAATCAGTCATTTTTTTTTTTGGAGAAAAAAATAAGATTAGTAATCAGAATGGCTTTGGAACTCTTAACAGCAATGCTGCAAACCAAAAGATAATGGAGTAATATTTTCAAGATTCCAAAGAAAAAAGGTTTCCAACCTAGAATTCTATACTTAGCTGAACTTCCAAATAACTGTTAAGGGTAGAATGAAAAGACTTTTAGATGCTGAAGGCTTCAAAATATTTATTTCCCATGCCACTTTTCTCAACAAGTTAACTATTTATAGGCTCTACGAAACTGAGAGAATAAACCAAGAAAGAGAAAAAACAGATGTTAGGAAATAAGAGATTCAACATAGAAGAGATGCAAAGGGAATGCCTAGGAAGATGGTGAAGGAAGATCCCAAACAGATCCTCTTCCTTAGCTAATCTACAGTGACCAATGTAGTTCGGATTTGTGTGCCATAAAAGATATGTTAACATCCCTGCTGCTAGGGTACCAACTTTAACCTGAGGACAGATTAAAAGCTTGGCTAAATTTCTTTTCAGTGCTTGGCTTATTTGAAGGTGTACTAATGAAGTTTCTAGCCTAGATCATCTGATGATACTATTTTCACTTCACTGAAGTTTTCTGCTTTGGCCTGCTCCTGAGAGTTGGAGGAGGGCAATGTTAAGTTCAGATGCAAATCAGTCTGTTCCATATGTTAGATATCCAATATTTTATCACATTACAATCTTGCCAGAAGCCCTGAAAGTGGTAAACTCTGTTTTACACAATTCACTCTTGACCTTGCCCACGAACATCTCCAAAGGGAGTCTTAAAACCTTTCAGGTATAAAGAAGCATACCATAACCCAGAGACTCTGTTCAACTTTTCTTCTGGGAGACTTCTTTTAATAATAGCGATATTTATGCTATCTTACACAGCTGGGTTTGTGCTTGCCACTCAATTTTTTTCAAACTCAACCAGATATTTCCTTGGAATATAGTTATACTGACAAAATGCACTCATAATGATAAAACTATAAAGAAAGCAAAAGAATAACACAAACGTCAAGAGGGGTATACAGGAGGATTTTACAGTACTAGTAATGTTCTATTTCTTAAATGAAAGGTTGGGTACCTGGGTGTTCATTTTATTATTTAATAAAATACTGTGTTATGTAATCGTCAAAAAATGTGCAATATATTTCATAATGCAAAGTTACACATTCACTATATAGCTGCTTTGTGCCATGGATTTTCTCAGCTAAGTGGACTGAACAAAAAAACCAACCATTTTCCCTGACCTCACCTAATTCTGTAAATTACATCTACACTAAGTGTACAGAAGACAGAGTGCTATGACATCTTACAATATGGGGGTGAACTTAGGCTGTGAAACCAGGAGAGGCTTTGTTGACAACATAGCATTTGAGTTGAAACACCATGAAAAAGAGTTAGTCAAATGAAGATAAAAGGGAAGAGCCTTTCAGGAGGAAGAAATGGAGATTTCTCGAAGGCAAGGACCTTGTCTCATTTATTTCTTACTTCATGTTAGTATTATGAACATGATCAGCACTTATGGATGTGGAGAAACTGAAACTCTTGTGTACTGTTGGTGAAAACGTGAAACAGTATAGCTGCTGTGCAAAATACTATGGGGGTTCCTCAAAAAATTAAAAATAGAACGACTGGCCACACACAGTGTGTGGCTCACGCCTGTTATCTTAGCACTTTAGGAGGCCGAGGCAGGAGGAACAGTTGAGTCCAGGAGTTCAAGATTAGCCTGGGCAACAAAGTTAGGCTCCATATGTACAAAACATATGTGACTCATGGGGCTGAGGTAGGAGGACTACTTAAGCTCAAGAGGTCGAGGGCAGTGAGCCTTGATTGCACCCCTGCACTCCAGCCTGGATGACAGAACGAGACCCTGTCTCAAAAAATAAAAATAATAAAAATAGAACTACTATATAATCCAGCATCTCACTTCTAGGTATTTATCCAGAAGAACTGATAAAAGAGGGTCAAAGAGATGTTTGCACACTCACATTCATTGAAGCATTATTTATAATAGTCAAGAGGTAGAAAAAACATAAATGTCTATCTACAAATTAATGGATAGTGTGGTATGTACATATTAAAGAATATTATTCAGCCTTAGAAAAGAAAATCCTGTCATAGCTACAACATGGAAAAACCTTAAGGACATTATGCTAAGTGAAATAAGCCAGTCACAGAAAAGCAAATACTGCATGACTCCACTTATATGAGGTATATAAAGCAGTCAAACTCATAGAAACAGAAAGCAGAATGTGGGTTGACAGGGGGTAGGAAAATGGGGAGTTGCTGTTCAATGGTATAGAATTTCAGTTATTCAAGATAACAAAATTTTAGGTCAGGTGTGGTGGCTCATGCCTATAATCCCAGCACTTTGGGAGGCCAAGGCAGGTGGATCACTTGAGGTCAGGAGTTTGTGACCAGCCTGGCCAACATGGTGAAACCCCATCTCTACTGAAAAAAAAAAAAAAAAAAAAAAAAAAAAATTGGCCAGGCGTGGTGGTGCATGCCTATAATCCCAGCTACTTGGGAGTCTGAGATGGGCGAATCGCTTGAACTGGGAAGACGGAGGTTGCAGTGAGCCGAGATCACACCACTGCACCACTTCGGCCTGAGTGACAAAGTGAGACTGTCTCAAAAAAAAAAAAAAAAGAAAAAAAAGAAAGAAAGAAAGAAAGAAATTTAAAAAAATAAATAACTGAAATATTGTTCTGTTATTCCTTTTTACACTTTAATGTTATTATCAAACTGAAGGGTCTGGGAAACAAAAGACCTAAACGTGTATGCTAAGATTACTGTCTTGAATCTGAAACTTTGTTTTCTAATATTTGCTAGATGATAACAACTCCATTAAGTCAGAAACCACATTAATCTTTTTCACTGCTTTAATTTAGGACTGAGCACTTAGGTCTCACACATAGTAGGCAGTCATAAAGTATTTATTTAATAAATGAATGTTCGTCTAACTTCTTAATTTAATATCCTATTTCCTTGTTCAAATGACTTGATTTTTATTTTGCCTATCAGTTATCTGCTAACACAAACATTCAGATCTATAGTTTTAAAGACTTGAGATAATTAGAGGCTTCTAAATGCTTACATTCAATCATGATAATTTATATTTTATTTCTATCACTATCTGCATTTCCGTTTCCTTTGGTTAAAAGTTAGCACTGGTATCTTTCATTTACTTTGTGACCAAGTGACTATTCATTCAACCATAATTTATTAAGTCTCTCAACTACTGGGAAGTAAAAGACATGAACATAAGTAAGAACTCTGCCCACTTTCAGAGCTCCCAGTCTAGTTTGGATAGAAACATTCAAATAAATAATTGCAGTACAATGTGATAATCTCTTAACTGCCTATTTCAGCAGGCCAAAGCAAATAGCAATCTAACACTATCTCTTAAACCAGGTAAAAAGACAATTAAAGGGCAATGATAGAAGCTGTTGAATCTGAGGAAAGCAAAATGGAGGCTTGCCAAATGACTTCCATTTTGTAATCTATGCAGTTTAATTCAAGGACCTAACTTTATGGTGAGTTTTCCATTTATGGCTGTTGAGATTATTCAATTACTGATAACAGTAAAGGATTAGTGACATAATATGAAATGTCTCTAGCTATATGTTTAACTTTTCCTCATTTTTTTTTAAAGCACTGTTCTTTAATGGTGATTGATGTTTGTTTTAGTAGAATCCCATTTCTGAGAAAAAATTATAACAACATAAGCTAAAAGAGGTACATAGAAAATGCTATGGGCCAGGAGTGGTGGCTCATACCTGTAATCCTAGCGCTTTGGGAGGCAGAGGTGAGAAGACTGCTTGAGGCCAAGAGTTTGAGACCAGCCTGGGCAACACAGTTAAGACTCCCGTCTCTACAAATTTTTTTTTTTTTTTTAATTAGGCCAGTGTGGTGGCATGCGCCTGTAGTCCCAGCTACTTTGAGAGGCTGATGTGGGATTATCACTTGAGCCCAGGTGTTCAAGGCTATAGTGAACTATGATCACACCACTGCACTCCAGCCTAGGTGACAGAGCAAGACCCTATCTCAAAAAAAAGAAAAAGGACTATGACAGCAAGGCAAAGGAAACATCTAACTGCTTAGGGGAGTTACCTACGGTTTTAAAAAGGAGGTAATAAGGAGAAGAGAGGAGAGCATGCACAAAATATGAGCAAATAGAACCCATCAAACTTGAGAAACTGAAAGTAGTTCCATTGAATCCACAAGAATGGTGGGAAACAAAATTCGACATGTAGGATAGGATCAAATCATAAAAAATCTTAACACAGCAGAACTATCCCAACATTTCAGTGGCTCTCAAAGGAAGGCCCTGAAAAGCTGGTGGCTGAGCAAAGCTTAAGGAGACAACTAATAGAGGAGAAAGATATGGTTCTGCTAACAGCACTTCAGAATATTTGAAGCTTTATTCCAAGTAGCTAATTAACCACTGCCAAAATAAAGTAACTGGGACAATCTTTCCTTACTTTTATAACTAGCCCTTATTTCCAGCCTTCCTTTCTCCTTGATGTTAACTTTTTGAAACTGCTATCACCTACCTAAAAGCTGGGTAGTAGCATATAGGAAGAAAAATGAAATACATATATACACACACAAAAAATATTATCCAAGACAGAGAAGTGGCCTTAGAAAAAACCTGGTCAAATACCAATAGCTGCATTTTTTTTTTTTTAACCAACCTGGGCTGATTTCTTGTAAGTCTAAATGCTTATCTAGTTGTAAAGCTTCTATCAAAATGGAGAACTTTTTTTTATTAAGACCTTCCCCACACATTATCATTTGAATTTTTGTGAAATTTCCCTTTTTCCCTCCATTTCAGTCTTATTAGTACTAATACTGGCTACTAAATACTGTGTGCTGGGCACTGTGCTTTATGGAAATCATTATTAATCATTTTGGCAACCTTATATTGTAGGGATTAATATATACATTTTACAGACACCAAGGTTCTGATAATCTGCCCAGAAATCAAATGCCACAGCTGTTTGTGCCACAGCCTGTGCTTGGCCGTCAATGTCACACTGATAAACTATTTCAAACATATGTGTTCTCTCATATACACCACAGAACTCCAACACTAGTAAGGAACAGCTATCTCATTGGAGAGAAAAGATGGAAAGGAGCTATAAAAAAAGTTAAACCATATCATTCAACTAACCTGTCTACACATAGAGTGAATTCTTGAAAACTAAGGAAATTACATATAAATGGCTTTTTCTTAGACTGTTTTTCCTTATATCAAGCTGGTTCTGAGATCCTAGAGTCCACCTTATTTCAGCATTTTAACTACTGGGGCAATTTAGGACAGAAAGGGAGGGCAAGACACAGGGAAAAGACATTTACTGAGCATGGTACTAGATCTCTTTACACAATTTTCTAACTTAATTTTTACATACACACTGTGAGAAGGATTATATCTATTACACTGATAAGGAAAGAAAGACTCAAATAAATGGAATAATTTGCTTAAGACCAAATAGCTAGTGAGTGGCAGAACAAGATTTGAAACTAGTTATGCCCAAATTAAAACACATTCCACAGAGGAAGCTAGCTTTATAAGAATAGAAATGCAGTCTCAGGTACCTAGATTTCCATGAGGTATTATATAAATTTAGGGATCTTTCGGGAGTTCTCTTCTTCTCTTCAGTTCTTCCTTCTTGCTCTTGGTCATACTAGTTCATGTTTCCTATCTCATAAATAGTTTTATTGGTTTTCAGAAAAATATGAAATTTTAAAATTATACTTATTAACATGAAATGTTATCCTATGCACTTCATTACTTGCTATATAATAGAAATTATACATAACACAGAAAAATTATGTTTCAGTTCTTTACATAAAATGGTTCATAGCATAATGAGTCAAAACATGACTGTTTTCCATTATTCCTTATATCTCTAGAACTCAATATTTAACATATTGAGGTATATAACATAAAAGGTATACAGCCCTTTACAGTCTAAGTACTTTCAGTTATTTAATGCACAATAACCCTGTGTAGCAGGTAATACACTGCACAGAGGAGAAACTGAAGCTCAAGGAGGTTAAGTGAGTTTTCCCAGGTAGCACAGTAGGAAGACAGACTCCTGATTCCAAGTCACTATTTTGTTAACTACATCAGAGCAGCATCTCTGAATTAACAGTTTCTAAACTACATTAAGATTTATCTATCTATAGGCTTGGCACGGTGGCTTACACCTGTAATCCCAGCACTTTGGGAGGCTGAGGCAGCGGATCACTTGAGGTGAGGAGTTTGAGACCAGCCTGGCCAACCTGATGAAACCCCGTCTTTACTAAAAATACAAAAATCAGTCAGGCGTGGTGGTGCGTGCCTATAATCCCAGCTACTCGGGAGGCTGAGGCAGGAGAATTTCTTGAGTCCAGGAGGCGGAGGTTGCAGTGAGCCGAGATCCCACCATTGTGAGAGTCTACTTAAAAAAAAAAAAAAAAGATAGCTATCTATCTATCTAGGTAAATCTAATAGATATCTAGATAGATAGATAGATAGATCGATAGATAAATCTTCTATCTATCTCTTCTTTTCTTAAATTCTTCCTTCTTGCTCTTGGTCACACTAGTTCATGTTTCCCATCTCATAAATGGTTTTATCGGTTTTCAGAAAAATATTCTTAGCTAGCTATCTAACAGTGATCCACATCAATACCAAAGTAACTAGACCTGCCTTAATTGTCTTACTGGACGCTTATGATCTTCCTTCTTTATGTTGGATAGTCATTTCGATTCTAGAAACCCTTTCCTTCTTGTGTTACCACCAAAGTGCAAATACTTGTTTTCAACCTTTAGAACCAACCAATAGACAAAGGACAAAAGATTTAACTAGTTACAAAACAGGATATGAATGTCAGCAACCTTGATAATTCCAACAGAGTTTGGAAGGTAGAAAGAGAGAAAATTTGAGAAGAAAAAAATGGTGGGACTGTTTATATCCTTATTTCAAAATAAGAAGTCTGTCATGATCACTGAAGTAGAAAATGGAGCTTTAAATATACTGTTTGAAGCTACAGAGACTGGTCAGAAACACATATGAGAATAACAGTATCTCTTTTAAAAGGTTGGGGGAGAGGGAACGAGGAAATGGTGTAAATAAGATAAATAGTCTTTTTATCATAACAGGAAGTCCATTGACAATGTCCCTATGGAGGTAACCATAAGGACTAGAGACACGGGTAAAAGTTGTTACATCTAGAAAACAAGCTATAGTTTTTACTACAAGTCTTTCTGGGCTAATTCATCTTTGTTGTTGTTGTTGAGACGGAGTCTCACACTGTCCCCAGGCTGGAGTGCAGTGATGCGATCTTGGCTCACTGCAACCTCCACCTCCCAGGTTCAAGCGATTCTCTTGCCTCAGCCTCCCAAGTAGCGGGAATTACAGGCACCCGCCACCACGCCTGGCTAATTTTTTTTGCATTTGTCGTAGAGACGGGGTTTCACGATGTTGGTCAGGCTTGTCTCGAACTCCTGACCTCGTAATCTGCCCGCTTCAGCCTCCCAAAGTGCTGTGATTACAGGCATGAGCCTCCGCGCCTGGTGACTAATTGATCTTTTAACCATATGCTGTATATTATTTTGATAAAAAATTTTTTTCCAGAAAAAAAGATGGATGAATATTAAAAAGCAAACTAAACAAAATACATTTAATCTTAATAATACTATCATTACTAGGATGTCATTATTTAAACTTTTTATGAAAACTGCATAACATTTCAAACTGGAGCCAGATTCCTAAAACCAGCAATGACTTCTCTGTTGTAAAAGTCTATGAATGCTTTTCTTACCAATCAATTTTCAACAGTTCTATAAATACTCATTGTCTTTCATGACTGATGTTATTGCAGATGACAGATATTTCCTGACTCGAACCTCTCACTGTCAGCATAATCTTGTGCTGGAAATAATGTAAATGTATGGCAATAAGCTGTATAATACTATCTAATTCCCATCCCACTCAACCTGCTCCACTGTAACTCACAGACAGAAATCATTATTTTAAACTATTTTTCCTAAAAGTTTTCTCAAAATATACAGAAGGTATACGAATTATGGTAAAATTTAGCGCTGGAAGGAAAAGGTATTAAGATGAAAGTACGAATCAAAGTTAAAAGAAAAATAGAGCAGGTAATAAAAAGCATAGAGAAAAATCCAAGCCCTTAAAAGAAAAAATGAATTTTTAAGGAACAGAGGTAAAAAATTAACACAAAGGATAAAAGAAAATCATCCTATATAAAGCTATTTATGTTCAAGGATAAGACTAGGAATCAATATATTTATTTATTAAAAGTCAGTTAAATACATGGGAGCAATTTCTTGAGGCAGAAAAGGATACCTTTCCTTAATAATTTACTAATAGTGAAAAGATACACACTGTAAGAACTCGTTAGTACTACTGAAAAATGAAATTTTGAGGGAAGGATATAGAAGGCAGAAACAATATCTCAAAGATTGTAATAAGTTGGCAGCCTTCTTTGCCTTGTTTTTTCAGACTGCTGGGGAGGAAATGCATCTAGACAGAAGAACATTATTTTGTTTCAAACTAACACTTGTGAGACGCATGTCATAAGTCACCACATCCCATCAATCACTATCCTCTATGATATTCATATTAATTTAACATTTAATAAGATAGAGGCTATTCTGGGGTAAACTGGCATGAAATACTTGATACTTTACCAGATTTACCTTACCACAGGTGCCCAGAGGATGAAACAACATTCAAAAGCTATGGAAAGGTTGTTACCTATACATACAAGGTAATCATGTTGGGAATAGTGTCAGGCAGGAGAAAAACAGCATGTCTCACAATTTGTTCAGAGCCACTTTATTGGAAAGGCTTTGCACATATCTTTGCAAACCACAAACAAGAAAAACAAGTTATCATAAATTAGAGAATTAAAAATAAAATACATTGATATAATATTTGAAATATGAAAGATCTTGAGAAGTCATATTTGTTAGCACATTTCAGACATGACAGGTAAAATTTGCTATTTTGAAAGAGAATGAGAAAAAAGGGTGAAAGAGATTTTATGTATTTCTTTCTTCTTCTGTCCAAAATTTGGTTCTTGTGCTTGCTATTTTGGCTGCTATCATTTAACTAAAAGTATATAATCTTCTAAAAACTTCTAGTATAATGCTATTAAAAAATACACAGATAATATTTTCACATATGTGAGATTTTCACATATTATATAATATGGAAGCCTATCATTTTCAAACTCAGGCTTCCCTTTTATAGACTGGTGTCTGCCACAAACTATTTATTTTTAAAAGATATTTCCTTTAAATATACTAGTAAACTATCAGATCACTACATTTCATAGTCTATTATATGCAACTGATCGTATCAGAACCTAGAAACTTAGTTGGCAGCAGCAATGATTAAATCTAGACATAACTAAGAAAAAAAAATTAAGTACCCAGGAAAAGACTAAGAGAAGGTACTCTATTTGGGCATTTCTGACACAGTTTGTCATGTCAAAATAACATTACTTTGTAAATAACATTAATTATATGTAATATTTCTGCCATACCAATGACCTAGAGATTGAATTATAACTTCTGTTAATTTTTATAGAAGATAAATCCTTTCCAACCAGTATTTAGTTGATGAAGAATAGTGATCAAGGAACTTGGTTCAAATAGGGTTGTCCATAAAATAAATTCATTTTTATCTTTTCTAGAATTTTTTTTCTCTCAAAAGACAAAGAAGGGACTGAGCAGCTATAAAATGTCCACTTTTCTGGTGAGTAAAGGTAAAACTGACAATGTTGAACAAACATACTCATTTGGAAAATAAAATGTCAGATGGAAGACGTTTCTTGTATAAGATGAGGCTAAATACAAATATCACAATATTCACATTGTTAATGCACAGATTAGGTGTAACCTAATAAAGGCGGAATGATTTCGTGCCCTGAAACTACGTACGGAAAGAATCTTGACTGAGTCTGTAGCACCACCCTGTCACTATCAAATATAATAATAAATGAACACTCACTAGATTTGAAAGCTCAGTTGCTGCAGTAAATAGTCACTGACAGAAAATGTATCAGTCATGTATTTAGCTCATAAATTACTAAAGACAAAACACTCAAAAAGCCTTGGAAAAACATCTGTAAGATGTGACATGCTATGAAAACACAGAAAGGACATTTCCTTGTTGCCATAAAGTATATCTGTGTTCTTTAAAACACAGCATCCACTCTGAGTTATCAGGATAAAAAGTGTTCTTAAAGGTCCAGAAGTTGCTGAATGACACACCTGACTTTAGATCACTGCAATGAATAGATTCTGAGGTTCCTGCCCAGAGTCATAATTCTAAACTATTGTTAACCAAGATAATGCCACTACCACGCCTGAAAAGGGTGCTCCTGACTGAACTGTAATACAAGTAGCAGCAAGCACAGTCACTCAAGGGCCACTGGACCAGGAAGAGTAATCAGGGGTTACTGTTAAATCTTTTCACAATTTATTTTTGATGCCCTTCCTTATCCTGAGCTCACAAGTCAATAAGCAGAGGTAGAGAAATATTTCCATAAAGTTAGGGCAAGGTAACTTACTACTAAAAGAGGAAGTCACTTGAGGAGTAAGTTAACATTATGAAGAAAATAGTCTTTAATGAAACACATCAACCAAATTAAATATTGTGACACTTAATTATATCCTTTACACCAACCTAAAAATCTAACCAATAAGATTTTATTTTCAAATGATACTTTTGTCCACTAGTCATTATTCCCAAAGAATAATTCTGACATTCAAAATCTTTCTTGGAATTGATTTGTAATAACCAAGCACAGTTAAAATTTCCAGTCCTCTGAGGTAATTATTTGGAATCTGCGAAAAACAAAGTAGAAACAATTCTCTGTATGATACAGAGAAATGCTAAATGATTAATGATTAACTCAATGATTTAAAATGTTTCATTTGTAAATGTAAAGAACTTCTAAATCTATTGTTTCAGAAAAGGAATAATGAAAGAATGGAGAAATCATGCCTGACATAACAAGGAGATAGTTGGGTTTGATACAAGTAAGACTATATAGTAACTGAAATTAAGAAATCAGCAAATGTTTTCTTCTAGCATACTTCCTTTTGGGTATTTGAATCAATCATTTGCTGAGAATTATACAAGGACAACTTTAGTGGTTAAGAATTAATATTCAGGATGGGCGCAGCCGAGGCGGGTGGACCACAAGGTCAAGAGATCGTGACCATCCTGGCCAACATGGTGAAACCCCATCTCTACTAAAAATACAAAAATTAGCTGGGTGTGGTGATGCACGCCTGTAGTCCCAGCTACTTGGGAGGCTGAGACAAGAGAATTGCTTGAACCCGGCAGGCGGAGGTTGCAGTGAGCCGAGATCGCACCACTGCACTCCAGCCTGGCGATAGGGCAAGACTCCGCTTCAAAAAAAATGAATTAATATTCATAGGTTTGACATTATTTCTCTCGAAACTTTAATAATAAGGAACAAACATATCTTTAAAATTTATTACTTAAAAGTGGTTAGACTATTTAACCTTGTGGAATATATGTCAAGTATCTTGCCATCTTGAAAGATATCTCACCAACTAAAATCTGAGGATTTTCTCAACTGGCAACTTCAGGAGAAAAAACTGAGCTAGAAATCTAGTCTACTAGATTCAAGGATGTTCAAAAGAGTACACCAAATCTGTCATGTCATGTCACCTTGTTTTATTACCTCTATGTTTCGTGAAAGTAGACTTACAAAAGATGATCTATTATGGCAATAATATATACATTGACATGTATGCCAAGCGAAGAATAAATTCTTTTTCATTTTAAGATGAATGAATATACAAAATATATATACATATACACACACATACACATGTATATATACGTGTGTGTGTGTGTGTGTGTGTGTGTGTGTGTATTTGTCATAAGCAACAGACCTCTGTGAGCATTTTAATAGTCTTCAGGAAGATAAACTCTACACTATGTATAATTCATTAAAATTTAACATTAGTCTCAGGATAACGAAATCAATGTGCAAAAATCACAAGCATTCCTATACACCAATAACAGACAGAGAGCCAAATCATGAGTGAACTCCCATTCACAATTGCTTCAAAGAGAATAAAATACCTAGGAATCCAACTTACAAGGGATGTGAAGGACCTCTTCAAGGAGAACTACAAACCACTGCTCAACTAAATAAAAGAGGACACAAACAAATGGAAAACATTCCATGCTCGTGGATAGGAAGAATCAATATTGTGAAAATGGCCATACTGCCCAAGGTAATTTATAGATTCAATGCCATCCCCATCAAGCTAACAATGACTTTCTTCACAGAATTGGAAAAAACTACTTTAAAATTCATATGGAACCAAAAAAGAGCCTGCATTGCCAAGACAATCCTAAGCAAAAAGAACAAAGCTGGAGACGTCATGCTACCTGACTTCAAACTATACTACAAGGCTACAGTAACCAACACAGCATGGTACTGGTACCAAAACAGCATGGCACTGGTACCAAAAGAGAGAGATAGACCAATGGAACAGAACAGAGGCCTCAGAAGTAACACTACACATCTACAACCATCTGATCTCTGACAAACCTGACAAAAACAACAAATAGGGAAAGGATTCCCTATTTAATAAATGGTGCTGGGAAAACTGGCTAGCCATATGTAGAAAGCTGAAACTGGACCCCTTCCTTACACCTTATATGAAAATTAATTCAAGATGGATTAAAGACTTAAACATTATATCTAAAACCATACAAATCCTAGAAGAAAACCTAGGAAATACCATTCAGGACATGGGCATGGGCAAGGACTTCATGACTAAAACACCAAAAGCAATGGCAACAAAAGCCAGAATTGACAAATGGGATCTAACTAAACTAAAGAGCTTCTGCACAGCAAAAGAAACTGCCATCAGAGTGAACAGGCAACCTACAGAATGGGAGAATATTCTTGCAATCTACCCATCTGACAAAGGGCTAATATCCAGAATCTACAAAGAACTTAAACAAATTTACAAGAAAAAAATCAAACAACCCCATCAAAAAGTGGGCAAAGGATATGAACAGACACTTTTCAAAAGAAGACATTTATGCAGTCAACAGACACATGAAAAAATGCTCATCATCACTGGTCATCAGAAAAATGCAAATCAAAACCACAATGAGTCACACCAGTTAGAATGGTGATCATTAAAAAGTCAGGGAACAACAGGTGCTAGAGAGGATGTGGAGAAACAGGAACACTTTTTACACTGTTGGTGGGAGTGTAAATTAGTTCAACCATTATGGAAGACACTGTGGTGATTCCTCAAGGATCTAGAACTAGAAATATCGTTTGACCCAGCGATCTCATTACTGGGTATATACCCAAAGGATTATAAATCATGCTACTAAAGACACATGCACACGTATGTTTATTGCGGCACTATTCACAATAGCAAAGACTTGGAACCAACCCAAATGAACATCAATGATAGACTGGATTAAGAAAATGTGGCACATATACACCATGGAATACTATGCAGCCATAAAAATGGATGAGTTAATGTCCTTTGTAGGGACATGGATGAAGCTGGAAACCATCATTCTCAGCAAACTATTGCAAGGACAGAAAACCAAACACCACATGTTCTCACTCATAGGTGGGAACTGAACAGTGAGAACACTTGGACACAGGGCGGGGAACATCACACACTGGGGCCTGTTGTGGGGTGGGGGGATGGGGGAGGAATAGCATTAGGAGAAACACCTAATGTAAATGATGAATTAATGGGTGCAGCAAACAAACATGGCACATGTATACATATGCAAACAAACCTGCATGTTGTGCACATGTATCCTAGAACTTAAAGTATAATAATAAAAAATAAAAATAAAAAATTTAACATTAACCAACATTTTAGTATCCATAGTATGATAAAAAGAGAATCCTAAACACTTCAAATACCCAACAAGTTTTTTAAAATTTCAAAATGGACTGAATTATGCTCAGCATAGCTCTAGTGTTAGGTGTATTTTATTATTTTTATGGTGCTTTAAAAACTAGTAATTCATATTAGGCTTACATAATAACTCTTTAGAATGTTTCATTAACTGGTTCATTTTCTAACTATATGTAATGAAACAGCATATATTGCATTGGGAAAGCTGAAAAATGACCACTAATTATGTCAGGGCCACCAGTTTTAACTTAACCCCTTTAATGCTGGTGTCTCTCCTTAGAATATGAGTAACTAACAAAGCTGCTGTAACATGTCTATTTCATACCTTCCTACATTGCCTTTTGGCTCTGTTTCATAAATAGAGAACCTAATCCAGAAAAAAAAAATTGGTTTAAAAAATGTCCTCAAAATGCATACCATAAAACTTTATCATAAAACACCTTTATAACCATAAGTCAAATTATATGTTCCCATTTACTGCGTATCTTTTTAGATTGCATCTTATATGATATAATGGATACCAATCCTACATTTGTTTTCATGAAACTTTAATATACATTCTTTGATGTGCTCATTGTATGAAATCTAAGAAGGAGACAGAGTATCTGTAATCAAATCTGTTTCACTGAGTCCCCAAATATATTTCTTACAATGGTTATCATAATGATGTTATACCATTACAGGTATCTTATATCTGTAATGAAAAAACTTTATTAAAAGTTATTGACCATTCAGATTACTTTTTAAATTTGAATGTATTCTTTGGCTTACCTGTTGCATGCAACAAACTAGCTTCTACTCTGTGGGGAATTCTTGATGGAATTTTCATAGAAGCACGAATCTGGTAAAAACTAAAGCAAAATAAACAAGGAAGTTATTTCAAAACATATTTAAAAATATGCAATGCCCCGACTTCCACATTTGTATCCATATTAAAATAATAAAGTTGGCCTAATTATATCAGTCTCCCATAACATTTACTATTGTTGGAAAAAAAAAATCAGGCTTACATATCAAATATAAACATGGCATAAAACCAAAAGAGAAACCCAGTATATATAAAGATAAATGAAAGGAACAGATACAATACATATAATATTTCTTACTTTGTATGTGATAGCAACCTGTGGAAATAGAAAAGCGTCTAAGAACTTCATTGTTTCATTTGGTTCATTTTTGCTTTTATAAAATAAAAAGATAATTACTTATAATGTAATTTTGAGAAAATAGAAGATTATAAATAGTTTTTAAAAACTGGATTCTATAAATGACAAAATGAAGATATCAGTTGGTTTAAAGAATTGTTTTTTTTTTCAAGGTCAGAGCTATTTGTTTATGTACTTTTACTTATTTATTCTAAAAGATTTTTGAAATAGCATACATATATTTAAAAATCCACCAAATATTAGTAATAACTTTAAGAAAAAGATGATTATGAGGTAAAAACTATAATATGACTGTCTTATAACATCATCACACTGCAAATTTGTGTATGTAATGGAGGATACATACACCTATACACACAAAATTACCAAAAGCTCAATCAACATTATAAATTAGGGATAAGTTTAGATATATACTGAGGAGGTGAATATTTAATGTTTGTTTTTCTTCAATAATATCCTAGAGAGCGGTTTCAGATATTAAATTTGCAAATAAGGCAAAGATTAAAAATATAAATATATTAATTACTGTTATTCTAGGAAGGTGTCATCTTGGAAAGGATATAGCATCAGATCGCAAAGAGTAAATGAAAGGTCAGTCAAATTTGGAACATTAAAAGTCACAATATGGCTTTAAAGGGGCATGAGAAAACTCCATAAAGTTAGATGACTTGTTAAGATTAAGATGAGGACTGCTTGAAAACATGAGAAAACTGTGAAAAAAGATCGAAGTGGAATCAGTGGGAACCTTGAAACCAGGGGAAAGCAAAGTTTTCTAGGAACTCTTCAACTTCCCATGTCAAGGGTTTTGACTAAAGATCAAGCAAAATATTGCTATTTTAAAATATACAGGTATACGATATAAAAGCAAATTAATACTAAACAGTGGTACATGCTTCAATTTAAACTTCCTCCGCATAGAGACCATGTCTTATTCATAGCGTACATTCACAATCCTTGGTTTACACACAGTTAAGTGTTCAATATGTGTTTGACAAAATTTGGAGACATTTAAACAAAAGTCTGCATTTATCTGGCATCATTTTTCACAGAAATAGAAAATACAGTACTAAAATTTGTATGGGACCACAAAATACTCTGAATAGTCGAAGCAATCTTGAGCAAAAAGAGGAAAGTGGCCAGACATGGTGGCTCATGGCTGTAATTCTAACACTTTGGGAGGCCAAGGCAGGAGGATCACTTGAGGTCAGGAGTTCAAGACCTGCCTGGCCAACATGGTGAAACCCCATCTCTACTAAAAAGACAAAAAATTAGCCAGGCGTGGTGGCATGTGTCTGTGGTCCCAGCTACTAGGGAGGCTGAGGCATGAGAATTGCTTAAATCCAGGAGGCAGAGTTTGCAGTGAGCTGAGATCATACCACTGCACTAACAGCCTGAGAGACAGAGTGAGACTCTGACTCAAAAAAAAAAAAAAAAAAAAAAAAAAAAAAAAAAAAAAAAAACAACTAAAAGGGTCACACTCCCTG
This sequence comes from Homo sapiens, assembly GCF_000001405.40. Taxonomy (NCBI): domain Eukaryota; kingdom Metazoa; phylum Chordata; class Mammalia; order Primates; family Hominidae; genus Homo; species Homo sapiens. The sequence continues at coordinate 70,450,692 of NC_000006.12, read as the reverse complement.
AGTTCAAAATAATATATTTCCAAGCAATTGTAATCAAAACAGCATGGTACTGGCATAAAAACAAACACAGCAACCAATGCAACAGGACAGAATTCCAGAAATAAACCCACCCATTTATGGTCAGTTGGTTTTTGACAAAGGTGCCAAGAACACACAATGAAGAAAGGACAGTTTCTTCAATAAATGGTGTGGGGAAAACTGGATATCCTCAGGCAGAAGACTGAAATTAGATCCTTATCTCATACCATATACAAAATCAACTCAAATGGATTAAAGATTTATATATAAGACCTGAAACTGTAAAACTACTAGAAGAAAACACAAGAGGAAATCTCCATCACATTGTTCTGAGCTATGATTTCTTGGATATAACCCCAAAAACATAGGCAACAAAAGCAAACATAGACAAATAAGATTACGCCAAATTAAAAAGCTTCTGAAGAGCAAAAGAAACAATTAACAGAGTGAAGAAACAACCCACAGATTTGGAAAAAAAAAGTTTAAATATTTGCAAACCATACATCTGATAAGGAACTAATATCCAAAATACACAAGGAATTCAAACAACTCAACTTCAAGAAAACAAATAACCAAATTAAAAAATGGGCAAAGTGCATGAATAAACATTTCTCAAAAGAAGACATACGAATGGCTAACAGATATGTAAAAAATGCTCAACATCTCCATTTATCAGGGAAATGCAAATCAATACCATAAGAATCACCCACATCCGTTAGAATGGCTATTATCAAAAAGAAAACGGAAAAGATAGTGTCGGTGAGGATGTGGAGAAAAAGGAACCACTGCACACTATTGGTGAGAATGTAAATTAGCACAGCCATTATGGAAAACATTATAGAGGTTCCTCAAAAAACTAAAAATAGAGTTACCATATGATCCAGCAATTCCACTACTGGGTATATATTTAAAGAACTGAAATCAGTATATTAGAAAGATATCTGCCCTCCCATGTTCACTGCAGCATTATTGACAATAGCTAAGATAATGGAAGCAACCTTAGTGTTTATCAATGGATGACTAGATAATGAATAGTAAATCTAGTATATATATATACAACAGAATACTACATATAGCCTTAAAAAATAAGAAAATTCTGTCATTTGCAACAACATGAATGAACCTAGAGGGCATTATGCAAAGTGAAATAAGCCAGGCACAGAAAGACAAATAATGTATAATGTCACTTACATGTAGAATCTAAAAATCTTGAACTCATAGAAGCAGAGAGTAGAATGGTGTTTACCAGAGGCTGGGAGTTGGGGATTGGGAAAAGAGGAGATGTTAGTCAAAGAGTACAAAGTTGCAGTTGGACAGGAGTAGTAAGTTTTAGTGATCTATTGCACTGCATGGTGACCACAGTTAATAATAATGTACTGCATATCTCAAAATTCCTAAAAGAATAGATTTAAAATGTTCTCACCACAAAAAAAAAAGTAGGTGAGGTGATAAATACGTTAATTAGCTTGATTTAATACATACATCCAAACATTACATTGTACTCCATATATACAACTTTTAAATTGTCAAAAAAAATTTTAAAATATGAAAAGAAAGCCACTTCTCTGTTAGAATGTATCAGGGAAAGCCCATTCTATATTAACCATTTTGAGGGAAGAAACCTGTTGGGAACAGGCCTCCCAAAATCTGGCCATTAAACTGGCTCCAAAACTGGCCATTAACAAAATCTCTGCAGCAATGTGACATGTGATGGCCATAACACCCAGGCTGGAAGGTTGTGGGTTTACCAGAATGAGGGCAAGAAACACCTGGCCCACCCAGGGCAGAAAACTGCTTAAAGGCGTTCTTAAACCACAAACAATAGCATGAGCAATCTGTGCCTTAAGGACATGCTCCTGCTGCAGATAACTAGCCAAACCCATCCATTTATTTCGGCCCATCCCTTTGTTTCCCATAAGGGATACTTTTAGTTAATCTAATATCCATAGAAACAATGCTAATGACTGGCTTGCTGTTAATAAATACGCGGGTAAATCTTTGTTCGGGGCTCTCAGCTCTGAAGGCTGTGAGACTCCTGATTTCCCACTCCACACCTCTATATTTCTGTGTGTGCGCCTTTAATTCCTCTAGCACCACTGGGTTAGCACTGAGCTGGTCTTGGCAAGTGGCGTCCATCACGGGGGCTCGAATCCAGGTCGAAGGGTCACCGGAGCGACGGTTGGAGAACGTGGAACTAAGCTGGAGGACACTCGAGTACTCTTAAAGCCAACCCCGTGGTGAGTAAGAAGGGGAGCTCAGAAGCATCAGGGTAACAGTGGCACAAGTGTGGGCTCTGGTTCGTTCCACCTTGGAACACTTTCACACTAATGATGAGGAGGAAGGAGAGTACAACGAAGTAACAGAAGAGGTTACAGAGCAGGTTTGTTTGCCAGCTAAAGCGGCAAAGGAGGGAGAGGTTCATGTCTACCCTTCTGCATCCCCTCATTATTATGTTAAAGAAAAAGAGTGGCCTGACCCTCCAGATCTTTCCTTTCCAGAGGACACTGGGCGAAAAGTAGTTGCCTCAGTGACTGTTCAAGCAGCGCCTTGAATAACCGCTCTTAGTTTTATTCAGGCAGGAATTCAGCAAGTTAGATGAGAGGGTGATTTAGAGGCTTGGCAGTTCCCTGTTAGAATACACCCCGCAGATCAACAGGGAAATATTATAGCTACATTTGAGCCTTTTCCTTTTAAATTCGGGAAAGCATATTTAGTCGATTATATCAAGGCCTGTGATGGTATCGGAGGTAATCTGCATAAGGCTACTCTGCTAGCACAGGCAACAGCAGTACTGAGTGGATAAAGGAAATACTCCACTTCCTGGAGCTTGTTTTAACTGTGAGAAGCATGGGCATACTAAAAAAGAATGTAGAAAAAATCAGCGAGTCAGGCTGCCAGATAGGGGAAAAAAGAAAACTGCTGAGTCTGAAATATGTCCAAAATGTAGAAAAGGAAAACACTGGGCTAATCAGTGTCACGATGGGAACCCGATTTCGGGAAACGCCATGAGGGGCCCATCCTGGGCCCCATTCCAAACCAGGGCATTTCCAGCTCAGACCATTCCCTCACCCCTGTACAATGTCTGTCCCCCGCCACAGCCGGTAGTGCCCCAGTAGATTTATGCTGCACAAAAGCTGTGAGCCTTCTGCCTGAGGAACCCCTGCAAAAGGTCCCAACAGGAGTCTGTGGACCCTTGCCAGCGGGGACGACAGGATTACTTCTAGGCAGGTCTTGTTTACATTTAAAAGGGGTACAAATACATACAGGAGTCATTGATTCAGATTACAATGGGGAAATTCAAATTGTTATATCTACTTCTGTTCCCTGGAAAGCAGAGCCAGGAGAGCGAATAGCACAGCTCCTGATTGTGCCATATGTGGGAATGGTAAAAAGTGAAATTAAACAAACAGGAGGATTTGGAAGCACAAATAAACAAGGCAAAGCAGCTTACTGGGTAAATCAAATTACTGATAAACGTCATACCTGTGAAATAACTATTCAGGGAAAGAAATTTAAAGGTTTGGTAGACACAGAAGTGGACATTTCAATCGTTTCTCTACAGCACTGACTGTCCACGTGGCCAATTCAACCCGCTCAATTTAACATAGTTGGAGTTGGTAAAGCCCCTGAAGCATATCAAAGTGGTTATATTTTGCATTGTGAAGGGCCCGATGGACAACCTGGGACTATTCAACCAATTATAACTTCTGTACCTATAAATTTATGGAGGAGAGATTTATTACAACAGTGCGGAGCACAAGTTCTAATTCCAGAACAATTATATAGCCCTCAAAGTCAACATATGATGCATGAAATGGGTATGTCCCTGGTTTGGGACTAGAAAAAAATTTGCAAGGTTTGAAAACCTGTCACAATGAGTAACTTAATGGTAGTTATGAGAGCGGTGATCACCACTGCCGTGAGTATTCCTTCAACAAGGGCTGACACAGAGAACAATTATCCTTATTGGGCATATTTATCAATCTTGGCCGGTAATAATGCCTCAATGTAATTACTCTATGACGCAGTTACACATGCTTTCTGATCTCAGTATTTACAATAAAAATGCTCCCATAATCAAGGCATTCCACCCTCAAAAATCTTTTTGTAAACAAAATTGAACCTGGCCAGAAAAAAATGAACTTACTTGTTTAGAAAGATTGCATTGCAGAACAGGCAGAGGTGCTGCACAATGATTCCTATGGAATCATTATTGATTGATCCCCTAAGGGGATGTTTAGCTTGAATTGCACCTCTCAGTCTGCATGCCACGGTCACACTATGTTCAGATGGTCTGAACAAAACGGTCAGATGGTAGAAATGATAAGAAGTACAGCAAGAGTTCCTACTATCTGGAATTACGGTGGTATAGTGGCACCTCAACCTCAAATGATATGGCCTGTTGTAGAAGCTAAACATAAGGATTTGTGGAAACTATTAATGGCTCTTAATAAGATCAAAATTTGGGAAAGAATAAAAAAGCATCTAGAAGGACACTCCACAAACTTGTCTTTGGATATTGCAAAATTAAAAGAACAAATATTTAAAGCATCCCAGGTACACCTGACCTTAATGCCAGGAACTGGAGTGCTTGAAGGAGCTGCAGACAGATTAGCAGCTAGTAACCCATTAAAATGGATAAAAACAGTTGGAAGCTCTGTGATTTCAATGATGATTGTGCTTTTAATCTGTGTTGTTTGTCTTTGTATAGTCTGCAGATGCAGATCCTGACTCCTGCAAGAAGTAGCTCACCATGACAAAACTGCCTTTGCTTTTATTGCTTTGCAAATCAAATAAGGGGGATATGTTGGGAACAGCCCCCCCCGCCCCGAATCTGGCCATTAAACTGGCCCCAAAACTGGCCATAAACAAAATCTCTGCAGCACTGTGACATGTTCATGATGGCTGTAACGCCCATGCTGGAAGGTTGTGGGTTTACCGGAATGAGGGCAAGGAACACCTGGCCCACCCAGGGTGGAAAACTGCTTAAAAGCGTTCTTAAACCACAAACAATAGCATGAACAATCTGTGCCTTAAGGACATGCTCCTGCTGCAGATAACTAGCCAAACCCATTCCTTTGTTTTGGCCCATCCCTTTGTTTCCCATAAGGGATACTTTTAGTTAATCTAGTATTTATAGAAACAATGCTAATGACTGGCTTGCTGTTAATAAATACGTGGGTAAATCTTTGTTCAGGGCACTCAGCTCTGAAGGCTGTGAGATCCCTGATTTCCCACTCCGCACCTCTACATTTTTGTGTGTGTGTCTTTAATTCCTCTAGCACCACTGGGTTAGGGTTTCCCTGACCAAGACGGCAGAAACCATATCTAAATATTCCATACCAATGGTCAACAGCTTTCTTAAAGGGCTTGACAGTAAATACATTTTTACTCTGTGGGCCATAGTCTCTGTTGTGACTACTCATTCCTGCTGCTGAGCAAAAGTAGCCATAAACAAAGTAAGTAAATGGGCGTGGCTGGGTTTGGCCCAGCAACAAGCCAGATTTGGTCCAAAGGCTGTAGTTTTACCACCCCTGTTTATGTATTCCCACCCTTGTTTATGTATTCCCACAATTAGCACCATGATAGTATCTCACCTAACATTAGATGAAACAATATGTCTTTAGTTAAAGAATATGCACACTATGAATCATTAGATTTGCTTCCTAATTAGATTTTCTGGTAATAATTACGATTTTAAAATAGAAATCAATGGAAGGATAAAAAACAGAAAAAGTAAAATACTTTTAAAACAGCCTATCATAAAATGTGTGATCACTGATTCTGTAGAATAAGATGCTATGTCAATAAACTGTTAAAAAATTTTTTAATCTCCACATTTAATGTATACTACTAGAATGTCATATAGTAATTTATATTCCCTGAATACCATTTGTTCATCACTTATTGAAGATCTATGTGATAGGTGTTAGAAATACAGCGAAAGAAACACTAAAAGCAAATATACACATTATTTTAAATAAAGTTCATCTGATATTTATGAAAGCAGTCTACCACTGTAAATACATTTTTAATTAAAATTATTGCTACTTTAAAAGATATAAAATTTTTTAGATAAATAAATTTTTTTCTTTTATTCTTTTTCTTATTGAGACAGGTCTCACTCTGTCACCCAGGCTGAAGTACAGTGGTGCAACCATGGCTCATTGCAGCCTTGACTTCCTGGGCTTAAGCAATCCTCCCATCTCAGCCTCCCGAGTAGCTGGAACCCACAGGCATGCTTATTTATTTATTTATTTATTTATTTTTTTGAGACACAGACTTACTCTGTCACCCAGGCTGGAGTGTAGTGGCATGATCTCTGCTCAATGCAACCTGTACCACCCAGGTTCAAGCAATTCTCATGCCTCAGCCCCTGGAGTAGCTGGGATTACAGGCGTGTGCCACAAAGCCCAGCTAATTTTTGTATTTTTAGCAGAGACAGAGTTTCACCATATTGGCCAGGCTAGTCTCAAACTCCCGATCTGAAGTGATGTGCCTGCTTCCCTCCCAAAGCACTAGGATTACAGGCGTGAGCCACCGCACCCAGCCCAAAAATTTAAAATGTGGATAAGTTACCTATTTTTAAAAACAAAATATGAAGTAAGCGATAAAAAAATTCAAAAATCAAAGAAAACACTTCCATTTTAAGAGTTGTGGTGGGCTAGGTTATTCAGAACAATCTCTTGCTAAAAGACAATGTCAGATAAAGTATAAAAAGTATATCTGTAAAATTACTGAAGAGCTGACAAGATAGTATGGAATTACCAAGGAAAATTTAAAGGAAGGCAAAATCATAGTGAATTAGGCAAAGCAATTAAGCTGCTTTTGTTCTGAGGCCATCTGTTGATATATTCCAGCAAACCTTAATTAAGAAGAAAATTGAGATGAAAAAGACCAATCAACCAATAGAAAGATGAAAAAAAAGGTATGATTAAACAGTTTACAGAAAAAGAAATGCAAATGACTCTAAATATGCAAAAAGAGTTCACTTTCACTTATAATTTTAAAAACTATAAATTTTCACTACAAAAATATATCCATTCTCAACTATCAGACTGACAGAAATCCAACAATCTAACAAAATATAGTCACTCTTCATTCAACAACAGGAATACATTCTGAGAAAGGCATCCTTAGATTGATTTCGCCACTGTGCGAACAATGTAGTGTACTTACACAAACCTGCTGGTTATACTACACACGTAGACTATACCACATAGCTCATTGCTGCTAAGTTACAGATCTGCACCATATTGTACTGTACTGCATACTGCAGGCAATTATAACACGATAATAGGTATCTGTGTATCTAAACATAGAAAAAGTAATGTATTGCACTAGGAGGTTACCAAAGCTACTACCATCACGAGGTGATGGGAATTTTCCAGCTCCATTATAATCTTATTGGACTACTGTCATATTTGCGGTCTGTCACTGACCAAAATGTAGTTAAATGGCACATGGGTGTAATATGATGGCAAGCATGTGGGCAAACAGGAATTCTACCACAGCACTAGTGAGATCAAAAATGGCACAACCCCATATGGAATGTAATTTGGCAAAAAAAGAGCAAAAACAAGTGTCATTTACCCTTTGCCTTAACATCCCACTTTTCAGAAGATATCCCAAAGATAATCTGGCAAAAATATTAGATGATATATGCAGATTGTAGTATTAATTGCAATAGCAACTGCAATATTGTAGTATTAACCGCAATGGGAAAATATAAGATAAAAACAAAATGTCCAATAGGGGACTGGTTGAATAAACTATGGTACAACTATACAATGGTGTAAAATGCAGTTGTAACAGGGAATATGAAATATCTCTTAGATTTTTGTAAATTTAAATTTGGTGGTTTAATCTAAAGGTTTGATTATGTACTTCCTATAGCATTGTATCAAAGGACATAAAATGTCTGGCTCTTTTTTTTTGGGATATGATGGATTCAGGTGTTACCACCCGAATGTTAATCACTCACACTTAGAGGAGTTACCTCTAAGATATACTTTTAAACAACAAAAGTAGGGTACAGAGTGTATGTATCCTATGCTACCTTTGTGTAAGATGGAAGGGTATGACTATATATTTATTTGCCTCTATTTTCAAAAGAAAAAAAGGATATACCAAAAACTAATAAAAATAAAATGGTTACCTATGGGATGAGGAGAGAGAAGGGACAGGGATCAAAACAAGATCTATCTCAATATAGTGGACTTTACAGAGTTTTGGTTTTGGACCCACGTAAATTTTTTATATAATTACAAAACAAAGAAAATGTCAATCCCTAAACAACACTAAAACAAATAAATTTAATGTATATCTACTTGATTGCAATTCCACAGAGAAATACTTCAAGTGATTTTTAAAACACAGTATTTTGACTGCCTATTCCTCACGGGATATATCTCGGCAAAAAAAAAAAAAAAAAACCCATGAAGAAATTTTAAATATTTATGGTCTTGGTGGTAATGTTGTTAGTATTATTTTGAAACTATTCTATATAGAAATGTCCACACACATACATAAAGTAAGTAATGATCTACATTACTAGGAACCAAGATTTTCGCTATAAGTAAAAAGAGACACAAACATAAAATTAAAAAAGTAAAATCCTTGTAAACTTAAACTGGAATTGAAAATATCAGTATACATTAATGATGCATTTTTCTTATAAAAATGTATTTGTGGTGGAGCATGGTGACTCATGCCTGTAATCCCAGCACTTTGGGAGGCCAAGGCAGGTGGATCACGAGGTCAGGAGTACGAGACCAGCCTGGCCAACATGGTGACACCCCATCTCTACTAAAAATACAAAAATTAGCCAGGCGTGGTTGTGGGCGCCTGTAATCCCAGCTACTTGGGAGGCTGAGGCAGGAGAATCGCTTGAACCCAGGAGGCAGAGGTTGCAGTGAGCTGAGACGGCGCCAGTGCACTCTGGCCTGGGCGACAGAGTGAGACTCCATCTCAAAAAAAAAAAAAAAAATTTGCTAATGCTGTTAACTGAAAGGACTTAGAAGAAATGACCCCAAAATGTGTACCTTTAGTATATACATTATGATTTCTAAGTACTATTTCCTAATAAAAGGAACCAGGGCTCCTTGGCTGACTCCAGGTCTGGATCAAAGAATGTACAAGAGTCTGCAACACCTAATCATAATAGAAAACAAGAAAACTATCAAACACTGCTTAGACTGTCCTGTGGGAAATTCACAGAAACCAACCTGAAGGGCTCCCTCTAAGCATCAGAAAGGATAGTGACACAATGTTTTTTTTTCTTTTTTGAGACAGGGTTTCACTCTGTTGCCCAGACTGGAGTGCAGTAGCGCCATCTCAGCTTACAGCAACCTCCACCTCTGAGTCTCAAGCAATTCTCCCATCTCAGCCTCCTGAGTAGCTGGGATTATAGGTGCGTGCCACCGGCTAATTTTTGTATTTTTAGTAGAGACGGGTTTTCACAATGTTGGCCAGGCTGGTCTCAAACTCCTGACCTCAGGTGATCCACCTGCCTTGACCTCCCAAAGTGCTGGGGTAACAGACGTGAGCCACAGCACCCAGCTGATAGTGACACAATATTATCAGCAAATATGTTGAAAATCCATGAGTTTATATTGGCACAAAATAAAAAGTGATCATATGTGTAATATGCTACGGCAACAACAAAATATTCTGAATACAAGTAACTAGGGAGAAATAATAAAACATTTATTATGTCTTTTCTGTGTAAACTATATGTCAGAATAACCAAATAGTTAATGAGGCAAAATTCTTCACAGAATTCCAGCTAATAAATGCACAAGGAATAACAGAATTTGGATATCTCCATTTTTTTTTGAGACAGCTTTCCTGCAAACTTCTGAAAACGTTGTTTCATTATTTCAGGATCTTAAGTAATACTAAGAAAAAGTTTGAGACCAGACTCTCATTTCTTTGTAGGTAACATCTTTTCAAACTGAATACTTACAGAATTATTTAATTTTTTATATGTACAAAAAAGCTCTTATTGCCCAGGTTGGAGTGCAATGGTGCAATCTCAGCTCACTGCAACCTCTGCCTCCCAGGTTCAAGCAATTCTCCTGCTTCAGACTCCTGAGTAGCTGGGATTACAGGTGCTCACCACCATGCCCAGCTAATTTTTTGTATTTTTAGTAGAGATGGGGTTTCACCATGTTGGCCAGGCTGGTCTTGAACTCCTGACCTCAGGTGATCTTCCCGCTTCAGCCTCTCAAAGTGCTGGGATTACAAGTGTGAGCCACCGTGCCCAGCCCTGGATATCTCCATTTTATAACCTCTAGTGAAATAATGACTCTGGGTAAAGATCATCAATGGGTACCATCAATTAAGTGATAGGGAACTGTTTAATGGGTCCATTAGGTTGATATAACACCTGAATCAATCATATCACAAAAAAGAGAAAACCAGAAATTACCTGTCCTCTGATGCAATGCAATAGGAAGAACATAGCATCACTTGAGGATTCGTCTCAAAAACAACTGGAATTTAATCAATCCTTTAGATTAAACCATCAATTTTAAATTTTGGAAAATGTAAGAGACATATTAACCAAATGCAAGCTATGAATTTTGGGGTGAATATTGATTCAAACAAATAATTAAGAACACACTTATGAGATGACTGAGGGACTGTGTACACTAACTGGATTATTTGATATCAAGGAATTATTTTAAACATTTATTTAAGTACAATAATGATTTTACAAATATGTTAAAAACAGAAGTCCTTATCTGTTGGAGATACATACTGAAAAAACAGCTGGGGGGAACAACAGGTGAAATAGGAAGAAAAAACTTTGATAACCGAGGCTAGGTGATAGGTGTGTGCTTACTATACTTTTATGTTTGAAACTTTCCATTAAAGAAACAAAAGTTAGTCCTAGATTGGTAATGCCCTAAGAGCCTGGCAAAAGTGAATGTCCTCTTGAAGAATAAACCTGAAACACTGGTAGAGATCAGAACATGAAACAAAAGAGTATAGGAGAGCAAATGAAGAGCGGACATAGAAAATACAAAATATGAAATTATGAACATAATCACAAATAAATCAGCCATTACATTAAATATAAATGGATTAAATGTTCCACTTAAACACAAAAAGTGCCCTAGAAAATGAAAAAGATAAATCCCATTATATGTTGTTTGCAATTAATATAGAATACAAGGAAAGAGAAAGGTTGAAAGTGAAATAATTGAAAAAGGTATTTCTTGTAAATATTAACTAGAAGAAAGCTGATGTTATAATATTAATATTAGACAAAATAGTTCAAAGCAAAAAGCTACTAGGATATAAACAGGGTCTTTTCATAATGATAAAAGGTTCAATTCACTAAATACAATAGTCTCCCCTTACACTCAGGTGATAAACTCCAAGACCACCAGTGGAAGACCGAAACCTCAGATAGTACTGAACCTGACTGCCATCAATCAGAACACGTTTCTGGGTCCATGTCTCCCACCTACAAACTTAATAGCTTTTCCATCAATTTTTTTTTAGATCTTGCTCAGTCATCCAGGCTAGGCTGGTGCAATCACAGCTCATCGCAGCCTTCAACTCCTGGACTCAAGCGACTCTCCCACCTCTCAGCCTCCTGAGTAACTGGGACTACAGGCAAGCACCACCATGTCCAGCTAGCTGTTTGTTTGTTTTTGTAATTTTTTTGGTAGATAGGGCCTCACTATATTGTTGCCCAGGCTGGTCTCAAGCTCCTGGGTTCAAGAGATCCTCCCACCTCAGCTTCCCAAAGTACTGGGATTACAGGCATAAGCCCACTGTGCCCTGCTGTCTTTTCCATCTTAAGCACTTATCATGCACTGTGGCTATAACTTGCAGTTTGAGGTGTAGCAGCAAAACTAGCATGAATTTTTTTTCCTTCTTCACAACGTCACAGATAATTCATTCTTACCACAGATTTTAGCAACCTCTGCATAAGAGATTTTTTCTTTCCTAAAGTCGAGAACTTTCGTCTTTTCCCTTAAGGGAAGCACTTTACAGCTTCTCGTGAATCCAAATTGTCAGCAACAGTACTCTTGCACTCTTGGGCCACTATTAAATAACATAAGGGTTACCTGAAACAAGCACTGTGATACTATGACAGTTGATCTCATAACCAACACCAGCTACTAAGTGACTAATTGGCTGGTGGTATATGCAACATAGATATATGCTGGACAAAAGAATTTCTGTCCTGAGAGGGACGAAGAGGGACGTGCACGATTTCATCCTGCTATTCAGAATGGTGTGCAATTTAAAAACTATGAATTGTTTATTTCTAGAATTTTCCATTTAATGTTTTCAGACTGAGGTGGATTGCAGGTAACTGAAACCACAGAAAGTAAAACTACTTAAGGGAGGATTACTGTAAGTATTTTAAATTTGTAGGCATTTATTTTCAAAATATGAGATGTCTTTTATGAACAGAAAATTATTGGACTTAAATCCTGCAAATCTGCCTTTGAACAAGACAACTTAAATTTATGAGTTTTATAGTCAGAATGGTTTTGAATGTTTCTACTTGTCATTGTATTCTGTATTTTCTGTTTTTGCTACTGCTTCCTTTATCCATTCTTCCTTTTGCTATGTTGACTCTGGCTGGTTTGTTTCTTTTTTTCCAATAACCACATATAATCTCTCATTTTATCAGACAGTAAAAAAAAGTTTCTCGAAAAAATGAATATATGGTATAAGTATCTATAGAAAGAATGATTAAAAATTTTTTCTTGCTTTTTATGAAAGAAATTTCACAATTCCTCCGCCATCATTCTCCCGTTCCATGTTTTATTAATAAATATAGAGAAATAAAGCAACTCACTAATCTCTTCAAAATGGAAATTGTTTTTCAAAGAGCCTAACATTTACTTTTGTAAAATTTAGTTTTTTGACTTATTTCAATAACTTTAACAAGTTTCAAAGCCTATTTTCTACAACTTCCCTAATTCCGAGTTCTAAATTTTTACTCTCTCCCATCGTGCTCTGGAACATATCACAAGTAATCTATTCAGAATAAGTAAATGGAAAGTATATTTTCTGAGACTGTATTTTCTCATAGTATCTCCCTATTGTTACAAAAAGATAAAATACTTGGGTCACTACAACTTTCCTGCAAACTTCTGAAGATGTTGTTTCATTATTTCAGGATCTTAAGTAATACTAAGAAAAAGTTTGAGACCAAACTCTTATTTCTTTGTAGGTAAAATCTTTTAAAACTGAACACTTACAGAATTATTTAATTTTTTATATGTAAACTTTTATCCCAATATATTCTTTTAAAATCCATTCTTTAATTTTGCCAAGAAAACAACAAGCCCACTTGTTGTTTCCCCAAAAAAGGTCTTTATTAATATGAAGAAACGTCTATACTTACTGTCTGATTATCTAGCCAATTTATTGGTTACCTCTTTGAGTATACATATTGTTATTTACAGGTGGAACTCTAAGATCCATATGGGTAGCCCCTGGGTTAAGTACTACTCAACCATAAGTTAAGTTTATCCTTATGCAAATTGTTTCATAAGTTACATATTGAAGTTGCAGAGATGCAGAAAACTTTTCATTAATGTAGAAACACAGTATTATATATATATAGTTAATAAATACACAAATTTGTTTCATGTTTCTTTCCCCATTGAGGTTTGCCCTACATTTAAGTCATGTCATTTATGTTTTGATTTTCATATAGACATTTCTCATAATAACACTTAGTCCTTTAAAGCTAGTTAATTGACAGCATTAAGTAAATACTAAATCTTTTTTGGTTTTCGGTAGTAGTTTTTTTTTCCCACAGTTAATTTGACCTCCTCTATTTACTTATACTTTAAAAACATATGTGTTCAAAGCCAGTAATGGCAGATTGTTGGGATATTCAATTACTATTGGCCCCATCATTCACTGTTATGATCCATTATAATGATCCTTCAAAGACTGCAGACATCCTTTCTCACCTAAAGAATGGTGAAACTGAAAACAAAATGAGTTTCCAGTTTTAAAAACAAAAAGAAGAATACACATTGGCAATTATGATTTTCACAACTGTTTTTTTTTCATATCGCCAACATCAAATTATAAAAGCTTCCAGAAAAGCAGAACTTACTAGCCCCTTAAATCCAATACCCTTGTACTCCATCTGTAAACTGCTGATTCAGACTAAATGTACCCCTATACCATAGCACAGATTAAAAAATGAGTAAAGGTCACAGCTAACATTAACAATGAAAGAAATATTTATATTCCGATAGCTGACGTAAACTGTTGAAAGAAAACAAATTGCGGAGTACAGAGAAGGGCTGATTCTTAAAACTGAGAAACCAATTAACTTCTTATCGAGTATTCTCAGTCCTTATATCTTACTGAAGACAGACAATTTCAGACAGTTTTGAAGGCCTTATGAAAAATTTGAGGTAGTTTCTTGTGAGCTCCAATCACCAATGCTTAATCAGAAGTCCTCAATTCCTGAACTTTTTTTTTTTTTTTTTTGAGACAGAATCTTGTTCTTGTCACCCAGGCTGGAGTGCAGTGGCACGATCTCAGCTCACTGCAACCTCCGCCTCTGGGGTTCAAGTGATTCTCCTGCCTCAGCCTCCCAAGTAGTTGGGACTGCAGGCACCCACCACCATGCCTGGCTAATTTTTGTACTTTTAGTAGAGACAGGGTTTCACCATGTTGGCCAGGTTGGTCTCGAACTCCTGACCTCAGGTGATCAGCCTGCTTCGGCCTCCCAAAGTGCTGGGATCACAGGCGTGAGCCACCACACCCGGCAAGTTCATGAACTTTAAGAATACAACACATACATGACATTATAGACAAGGAATCACTTTTTTCAAAAGTTGTAATCAATGTCAATAAAACAAAATTCAGCTGAATTTCTGACTCTTAGCTGATAGTCCTTTTAAATCAAACTACAAATCTTCCATAAGTTTAACAACCTCAGAATCATAAACAAAAGGGATTTAAGATAATTTTGTTAAAAACTGTGTTACAGGGCATGGTGACGCATGCCTGTAATCCCAGCTACTCAGGAGGCTGAGGCAGGAGAATTGCTTGATCCGGGGAGGTGGAGGTTGCGATGAGCCGACATTGCATCACTACGCTCCAGCCTGGGCAACAAGAGCGAAACTCCATCTCAAAAAAAACAAAAAACAAACAAAAAAACTGTGTTGTATCAAACCTGGTTTACAGGGTTCTACAGAGGTTTTCCAAAAGGATTTAAGTTCCATGGTTTTGTGATGTTACTAAAATTTAAGAATGTAATTTCTAGGCCGGGTGCGGTCACTCACGCCTGTAATCCCAGCACTTTGGGAGGCCGAGGAGGGCGGATCACCTAAGGTCAGGAGTTTGAGACCAGCCTGGCCAACAGGGCAAAACGCCACCTCTACTAAAAACATAACAATTAGCTGGGCGTGGTGGCAGGCACCTGTAATCCCAGCTATTCAGGAGGCTGAGACAGGGAGAACTGCTTGAACCCAGAAGGCAGAGGTTGCAGTGAGCCAAGATCACGCCACTGCCCTCCAGCCTGGGCAAGAGTGAGACTCCATCTAAAAAAAAAAAAAAATATATATATATATATATATATATATATACACACACACACACACACACGTATATATATAATTTCTAAATCTATATCCTTACTTTCCTCCATTTCCAAATCATAATATGTTCTTTGTAGTAGTTTATCTTATGACAAGGAAATGGTGGCAGTATATGATTAAGAAAAGTAATAGTAGCTACAGGTATTCAATTAACTGTTCTACAGTAATCCAGATAAATAAAGAACAAAGTACTACTTTCAACTTCTGACTCCAACAATATTTTCCTCACTACTTAATTTATTAGTAGTAGCATGCTGGATTATTGACTGTTCCAACGATATGTGGAAACAAATCAAACTGATAACATTTCACTTGCAAAGTCTGATAAAAGATTAAAGCATAGCACTTTGTCAAAGTTCTTCTAAATGTCTTCTAAATATTTGCCGCTTTTCAAAATGAATGAAACCCAACTCCACTCAAGATGCCATTGCTAATATTCTAAAGCTGTACTACTTCAAATATGGTACACAGACGGGTGCATTTTTGTGAAATGGTTGTTACCAATCTGCAGTAAAATAAAGTAAATCAACTATATTGCAAAGCACACTATTTTAACTAACTTTTTTTTGGTAGCAAAATTTAATGAAGAAAGCAGCATTCATTTCCATTCTGGCAACAGTGCTTCATCCTGAACCAGTCACAAACCATCTGCAGACAAGCTACTGAGAATAGCACTGACCTAAAGCATTCTAGAAAAAGATACTTCAACAATTTTGCAATCATCTCCAAACAAAGAAAAATTTCCCCCACTTTAAAACCTAACTGAAATTTACTACAACCATAATTTAATTCCATCCTCTTATCCTTTATGCCAATGAGAACAGGTGTTCAAATAGCAATGTTTCTGTGTCTATTTAAAGGGCAATATTTCCTTCTCCTTTGGAGTCCTCTTGACAAATGTATTTTGAATGAAGTCATTGGGAAGTCTATTATCTTGTAATTAGATACTCCTAATATAATACAAATCTTAAGATAATTTATATTACTCATTTATAAGACATACATCCACATTCCATTTAATAGCATCATATTTATGATCAGTGCTTTACAATTTTGACTTCGTTTTCAGAGTTTAAAAATCCACTCTATTAAACAAAATGATAGAATAGAGTAAAATTAAAATAAAACTAGTTTTTCTTTAGATTGTTAGTATCTGAGCTTTCTGTTTACCATTAAGGCAAAACAATGTAATTATAGTAAAAATTAATTATCATGTAAATACATTAGTAATCTGTTTATTCCTTTCTGAAGGCAAGCACAGATTTTTTAAAATAACTTTTTTTAACATTGAATAATCTATTACACCCGATAAGTCTAAGCAAAAATACAATTTTCTAATTCAATTAAAGCTAAGAGTTGTTTAAGCCCAGCCTAGCCTGTTAGAGGATGAGAGATTATGTGGAGGAGAGCTGAGAAGTCCCAACCAAGGCCATCTTAGACCAATCAGTCCACAGCTGACCACAAACGCGTGGACAAGCTTCGATGACATCAGCCAAGCTCCAACCTAAAGACTCATTAGAAACAACAAATGTTTGCTGCTTTAAGTTACTTAAAAAAAAAAAAAGTTAAGATTTAAGGAATATTTGATTATTACAAGGATGGCCTTATGTCCTGGTTTGCCTGAAGCCATCCTGGTTTTCATTTGTCTGGGCCTATTATTAACAGTGCCTCCTTTCATGTTAAAAAGTATCTTGAAGGCCGGGCGCGGTGGCTCATGCCTGTAATCCCAGCACTTTGGGACGCCGAGGCGGGCGGATCATGAGGTCAGGAGATCAAGACCATACTAGCTAACATGGTGAAACCTCGTCTTTAATAAAAATACAAAAAATTAGCTGGGTGTGGTAGTGGGCGCCTGTAGTCCCAGCTACTCGGAAGGCTGAGGCAGGAGAATGGCATGAACCCGGGAGGCGGAGCTTGCAGTGAGCCGAGATCAAGCCACCGCACTCCAGCCTGGGCGACAGAGCAAAGACTGTCTTAAAAAAAAAAAAAAAAGTATCTTGATTTGGTCAATAAATTATACGGACATCCTAGCATAACAGGGTGTTTAAAAACTTATTTTTGTAACTTAAATTACTTATACCATTTATAAACTGTATAAGTTTTTAAACTAGATGCTTTATATTGTCCTTTTAACTCTAAAAAAAGTCCCTACAATTCAGACAAATTAAAAAGAAAAATTATTTTTCTTATTAAGTTATCATCTTAAATATGGCAGTATAAGTACTTCTGAATTGTAGGTGTATTTTAGGATCCTAAAGAGAATTATAAGGAAAAAAAAGTCGATGTCTTCCTTTATATTAAAAAAAAAAGTTAGAAAATATAAGGGAAGAAAATATTTTAATCAGAAAAAAGAGATATAATCAATTTATCTATAAATAATCCAATGCAATGAGATAAGCACTAAAGCAAAGCAATCTATTCTTCTGTTCTTATTTCATACCTTATTTATTTCCCATACTCTGTTAAGTAAAACACAATTTAAAGGATCACCTTAGGTAGGGGGCTATAAAGAAGTAAGGATGTCTATTTATTAACAATGTTTTGTTAAGTTCATTATAAGAATGGTCTTCAAGAAAGACAGAAAGTTGCAAAGGGCCACAAAAACATATTCTCACAGATGAACAGGAAAAGCGCTTTACTTAACAAATTTAATTTTGCTCTTCTATAAGTTATTTTTCAAGTGTAATAATAATGTAGATCCTTTTCCTGCTTTGATCTAGCATAAAAATGAACTATAATAGTAATAAATCTTTTATAAGTAGTCATAAGAGAAAGAGATGCTCTTTAGTATCTTTACAGAAGTGCAGCAGGTAGAGATTAAGTATACATCTATTTTTTCCATTGTCAGAAAACTTGAATTTATTTTTTTAGAGGAAGAATAAAATACTGAGGTTAGTGGCTAAAAGAATGTGTTTGTGAATATTAAGTTATTACATTTCTATCCTCTATTCTTTAGAACACATTTATAGCATTGATTGTTAATACACAACACCGTGTTAAAATTGTATGAGGTAAAACTTAACATGATTTTATTAAGCAAAGTGATTTCACATCATGACTTTTTTGTCTAAAGAGTAACACTGTTTTACTTGGAAAGAACAATTTTACATGTTGATATTATGTTTATATTACACATTAAAATATTTTATAATTTTATAATGATATATTTTATATATAGGTCAGAGGACACTACATATATTTGAAAACTATTTTATAAACAGTAATGGTTTCCAAATAATCATTTTTTTCATGAATACAACTTAAGCAAGCAATTTGTTTTCTAGCTAGTCTTCAAATCTAACTCCAATACTGAATTGCTTTTTACACATTTAGCTTGTCAAAATCATGTTGTTAAAAACAAACCTACAAAATGTAACCTGTAGATTGATTTTAAAAATGTCACCTATATTTTGCTCTTCCTTATATTCAGACCTCTTACAGTGTGACTCCCATTAAGAAGTGGAGTGTAGTTGCCCACCTTTTAAATGTGGGCTGGCCTTACTTATGACTTGCTTTGGCCAGTATCTTGTGGTGGAGGTGTAACAGTGCATCATTTCCAAGCCTAGATGATATGAGGTCTGCTGGCATGGTTTCTCTCTTCTGTGGACCCATGCCTTGTCCATGAGAATAAGCTGCAGGATGAGAGACTGTGAAACAGAACTGAGACTGCCCAGCTGAGGCCACTCTGCATCCAGCTAGTGCCCGGCCAATCTGCCATCTGACTGTGCATTCATGAAGTGAGCCCAGCAAAGATGAGCCAAGCCACCCTAGATCAGTAGAACCGTTGAGATGATCCACAGACTTAGGAGCAAAAATAAATGTTTATTGCCATAATGCCATTGAGTCTTTGTGTTTGTGGTTAGCTGCATTATTGTGACAATAAACAATACAGAAATCGATACCTAGAAGTGGTGTGTGCCATAACAAAAACTTAAAATAAGTGGCATTAATTCTGGGGCCAAACTAACAGTTACAGCTACAAATGGTGGAAAAATAATGAGGAAACTATAGGAGATGAGGAAAATGGTAACCATGTTATGGAGTGATGTAATATGCTATCTTACACTAACCTGGAATAATTCAGAAAATGTATCTAAGAAACTTTTGGACTTAGCAAATTAATTTCCAAGCAGAATACCAAAAACGCCAACTGGTTGCTCCTAGCTAAGTATAAGGTTCTGCAAGATAGAGATGAACTAAAGAAAGAGCTAGTCATTTTATAAGCAGAATCTAGAAGAAATCTAGAGCAACTAGAACTTGCTGGGTTGGAAAATAAAACTGTTTCATCTGCAGTCTCCTGAAAATAAAACAAAGCCCTTGAACAAAGATCAACTCAAGGATGTAGCTGTAGCTTCCTTTCTTAAGATCACTAAAAGAATTAAGATGTAAGCAGACGTTCTCAGCATGACAAAAGGATTTTTAGAAAGTTGATGGGCATGATCCCACAGAATTCTAATCCCCAAGTAGCAGAGATTGGTAGATATGCTATCTAGAGAGCAAGCATGTCTCAAAAACAACTGTGGCTGTGGGCTTTAAAGCATGGAATAAACTTATCAGCCATATGGACAGTCCACAAAGTTTTTTAAGTGAATTGTACTGGCCAAAAAGCCACCAGCCTGACTCGTGACCTCGCACTGTGACTTGCTTGGCCAATGGAATGCAGTGGAAGTAACAGTGTGTCAATTGAAGGAGACTTGCATCTTCTGCTCTCTTTCTTTTTTTGTTTTTTTTTTTAGATAGAGTCTCACTCTGTTACCCAGGCTGGAGTGCAGTGGCACCGTGTCGGCTCACTGAAACCTACGTCTCCTGGGTTCAAGCAATTCTTCTGCCTCAGCCTCCCGAGTAGCTGGGATTACAGGCGTCCACCACCACACCTGGGTAATTTTTATATTTTTAGTAGAGATGGGGCTTCACCATGTTGGCCAGGCTGGTCTCGAACTCCTGAACTCTGGTGATCTGCCCGCCTTGGCCTCCCAAAGTGCTGGGATTACAGGCGTGAGCCACCGCACCCGGCCTTCTGCTCTCTATCTCAGACTCTTGTCTCCACCATGAGAACAAGTCCAGGCTGGCCTGCTAAGAAATTAGAGACCATATAGAGCAGACCACAGCACAGGCACAGCTGTTTTTATTTTTTCAACAAGATGGCAAGGTCAAGGCAAAAAAAAAAAATAGAGAATCTCTTGCTCTACTTCTTCTGTTAGTCCCACTGCCACCACTCTTTGTATAGATCTCCAGATTTATATCTTGAGTTACTATCAAGTGCCTCTAAACTGTTTCCTAGGTTTCTATTTCTTCTACACAACCATCAGTCTAATGTATCATAATATCCATCATGTTAGTAAGTGCTTATTGTAATAATAGTGATAAAATTTTATCCTTACTTAGAAACTATTGATGGTTACCCAAATCCCTAGTGTCAACTCTTCTCTAGACATTAAAGTCTTTCACAAATATAACCTTGCCATTCTTTACTACCTTTCTTCTGTAATTCTCCTAGAAAATATCCAATTTCCTAAATATTCTTTTTTTTTAATTTTTATTTTTTTTAACGTTCCTTGAGATGGAGTCTTGCTCTGTTGCCCAGGCTGGAGTGCACTAGCGCAATCTCGGCTCACTGCAAACTCTGTCTCCTGGATTCAAGCGATTCTCCTGCCTCAGACTCCTAAGTAGCTGGGATTACAGGCGTGCACCACCACGCCCGGCTAATTTTTGTATTTTTAGTAGAGGTAGGGTTTCACCATGTTGGCCAGGTTGGTCTCAAACTCCTGACCTCTGGTGATCTGCCCGCCTCGGCCTCCCAAAGTCCTGGGATTACAGGTGTGAGCCACCACACCTGGCCCCTAATTATTCTTAAAAATAACATGTTCGTTTCTATTTCCAACACTTGATTCATGTGGCTGTACTGAATCATGCTGTTCTCTTCTACAAATATGATCTTTCACTTTATACTTTGCCTATCCAAGTCTTAGCCATACTTTGATCTTATCCCTCCATAATGCCTTTTCTAACATACTAAACCAGAAAGACGTCTTTCTGTTGATTCCTAGAGCACCTCTTATACATACTTATTGATCTTAGCCAAAACGCCAAGAAGTTATTACATTGCTTTATAGGTACCATTGATAAAGATTATTGTTTTAGTGTTTTCGTGAAATAGTGAAAAGATGAAAACAAATGAAATACCCAACAGTGGGTGACTGTTAAATTATAACATGTCACAGTGTAATAGTTAATAATTAAAAATGATATTATAAAACTACATTCACTGATACAGAAAAATCAAGTGAAATAAGCTTCATCATGTATGTTTGTATTTCTATTTAGTTGCTTTGTATGCATGTCTTATTTTTTCCCATTATACTATAAGATTTTAAAGAGCAAAAATTAGACCTTATACATTTACAGTAAAGTCCTCTCAAGGCTCACTACAAATTCATAAACACAGGTTCAGTATATCCAGCATTATCATTAAATTCATGTGAATAATCCCAAAATATCTATTTAATAAATAAAATTTATCTGAGAAAATAATTACTTGAATATAGTTCATTGTTTTCCTTATATATGCTGGAATAAAAATATGTAATTAAATTTAAATTTAAACTGTACATCTTATGCAAAATATATCATTTTCACAATAAAATACATACCCTCTCTGAAACAAATCCACATTGTAGAACTTGTTTAGCTCCACAGAGAATTCTACCATTGCTTGAACTTCAGTCATTTTTAATTTATACCCAGAAGACTATTCTGATAACAGCACCTTTGTTAAGGAAAGGGAAAAAATCATGAGAAGCGTAACAAAAATGCCAACTTATAAAAATGCTATTATTTATACATATTTTAGAATATGACACATAGGCAGAAAATAAAAACAAATTATTTCAGTGTACTTAACAACCTAACCCAACTAAATAGGACCAGAATGTATACTTACTAAGCTGCACTACTCTCTATAATTTAAGATTGTCCTGTCAGAAAGCTTTTTCTAAGATTTGTTACCCTTGATGACATTTATGTGATAATAAATAATACAACATATTGCTAAAAGAAACTCAACTTTATCTCTTATAGATAGGAACTTTTTTAATAGTGAAGATATCTAATATTCTCTTCTTGTGCTACATTGCACATGTAAGTAACTCCAGAGTCAAAAAAAAATTAACACTCTTCAATCCCCAGTTAAGCTGATGAAAGGTTTTTCTTTAAGTGAAGAAAAAAATTCTTAAATCACTTTTCACTTTTAAATTTAAAGAGAAAGAGATTTTTTCCTTTATTACAAATTCTAAAGTATTCAATTGCAAAGAAGTTGAAGAAAAGAAAATAGACAAGCACAAATAGAAAACATTCACAATTCCATCCACTGAAATACATACTTTGGTACGTTCTTCATGTGTGTGCATTTGTAAAATTTTTTAATAGTGGGATCAAACCACATGTACATTTTATCATCTGCTTATTTCACTTAATTATTCAGTGAACATATATGTCAATAATGTAGTTTTACAATATTAATTTTTTTTTTTTTTTTTTGTGAGACAGAGTCTCGCTCTGTCACCCAGGCTGGAGTGCAGTGGCGCGCTCTCGGCTCACTGCAATCCCCGCCTCCGGGGTTTAAGCCATTCTCCTGCCTCAGCCTTCTGAGTAGCTGGGACTATAGGCATGCGCCGTCATGCTCAGCTAATTTTTGTATTTTTAGTAGAGATGGGGTTTTGCCATGTTGGCCAGGCTGGTCTTGAACTCCTGGCCTCAAGTGATCTGCTCACCTCAGCCTCCCAAAGTGCTGGGATTACAGGCATGAACCACCGCCCCCGGCCATTAATTGTTAACTATGACACTGGGAACATGTTATAATTAAACAATCCCCTATTGTTGGGTGACTTCAGTAGTTTCCATTTTTTCACTATTTAAAAAAAATTATAACAATCATCCTTATCAACAGTACATATTTAAAGAATAACTTCTTGGACTGTTAAGTAAGCTAAGTGTAGAAAGCAATTTAGAGTAAGAAAGTGTTGGAAGACAATTCTTCACAAATCTCTCATGTTTCTACACGTCTCACAAGCAGAGACATAGACAGCCTTTGTTCCAGACTATCTTTTCACGGATGTTTGTATAATGAACAATCTTAGAAGTCAGAGATAGTGTCTTATACTAGAACAAAGGGCAGATTTGTCTACTGTTCTGTATAATACAGATAAAGCCTCCCTCCAGGAAAAAAGTCAGGCAGGTTTACTGTCCATTCTAAAAGACTCAGGTTCCCCTAATTCAGGGTTCTTCTCCTGTAACACAAACTACTCACATACAGGTGTCACCTGGTACTCTTGCTAGTGCTATGAGCATAAACAATCCTCGACCTTGATCCATGACTCTCATGTCCTGCCAACATCCATGGCACCGTGGCAGACTAACTTGTCAGCTTGCAAGTGGGGTAAAATCTCAGACCCTTCCCAATTCTTGAAGCAGTTCTTCATAGAAATTTGGCAAATACTCGAATCTATTAAGAATTAAGTGCAAAAAAGTTATATTCTTACCTCTGCTTTTCAAAGCCTCATTTTTAACATTATTAAATAACCAATCTTGTACTTCCAGTTACTGATTCCCGTTGTTAAAAATACACCGTTCCCCCTATGAGAAAAAAAAGTAACATCTCAAACCAAATAGTAGACATAAAAAAGTCTGTCTTAAGGAAACCTATGTTTTGTTAGTTACTTACTATTTTCAATTTATATAAAAGATATATGTCCTTCGAAGGCTTATGAATAAGTTTTAGAGACTTTTTTCATTCACAATTTCAATATCAATATTAACTATTATATCTCTATTAAGGATTCACTTACATATAATTCAAAGTACAATAACAAATAGAGTACTTTCTTAGTTCAGTAGGAACCCTCATGAATACACAAAACATTATAAGCTCATTAATTTTTTTTTTGTTGTTGTTTTTTTTTTTTGAGACGGAGTCTCGCTCTGTCGCCCAGGCCAGACTGCGGACTGCAGTGGCGCAATCTCGGCTCACTGCAAGCTCCGCTTCCCGGGTTCACGCCATTCTCCTGCCTCAGCCTCCCGAGTAGCTGGGACTACAGGCGCCCGCCACCGCGCCCGGCTAATTTTTTGTATTTTTAGTAGAAACAGGGTTTCACCTTGTTAGCCAGGATGGTCTCGATCTCCTGACCTCATGATCCACCCGCCTCGGCCTCCCAAAGTGCTGGGATTACAGGCGTGAGCCACCGCGCCCGGCCCTAAGCTCATTAATTTTTAAGAGGTGGAACTCACCATTTTAAAGTAACTCCCTGAGTACGTATATATGTATGTGTGTGCATGTATGCATATATGTATGTATGTGTGTATAAAGAACTATTTAAAATACTTTGACACAATGATTGCTTCAATGTGCTATGGATAGTTTTCCTCACATTTCAAATACTGCTTAAATTTTAAAAAAATCTATCTTTTGTCCTTGGTATAATTATTTTAGGTACTAAAAATGTTGGAATAAAGACCACGTTCACTCTTTGATACAGAGTTTTTCTTCTCTCCATTATAAAGATGTAGACTTTACCAGCTCCCATAACTGCTATTTTAAACTTTAATAGTCACATCAAAAGATTTTCTGGTAACTATTTCTAAGATCAAACAATGCTATCTTTATATAAGATATTCCCCATTTTGTGGAAATGATGTCGAAGATAGCTTCTCCTGTACATATATTCTTGTGTGCAGGGTTTAGATTATGTTCTGGTTTTGATTCTAAGTAAAGTTTGGCCAAGTCTCTATGCCTTAACTTACTCAGGTATAAAATGGGTATTTGTTCATTCAAACATTTATTGAACACCTACTATAGGCTAGGAATTGTAGTAAGTATGAGGTATAGCTAAGTTCTTGATCTCAAAAGTTAACTAGCCATCAGAAAGAGGTATACTCTGTGTGTGTGTGTAATATGTATTTTATATATATAAATATATATTAGATATATAGAATATATATATGAATAGCATAATGCTTAAAATATAGGTTTGGGATTTGGGTCCAGATAGCACCCATACCACCTAACTCAGTAAGCTGGCCTTTTCCTTAATATAGAAATTAATATCAGAATTAAGATACTGCTATAACAAAATCCTAAAACGTGGTACTAGCTTAGTAATTAGGTAGCAGGCAAAAGGAGAACATACTACTACGATACTAATAACCACTGTTATGTGGAAATAAAACAATTGATTAAACTGTTGCCTACAATAATCTGCAAAACTAGTGCCCATAAAAAGCCCATAGTCCCAGAAAAAGTACATGAAAAATGCCACAATACCGGGTGTTGGTGGTTCTTCGCCATGTTTACTCAAGCAAGAATTGGCTAGTTTGTAAGCAAAGATGGAAAGAAATAAGGCCGCTTAAATGTGGGGCCTTGCAGCCAATACCCCATGTCAGGTTTAGTGCCTTGGTCAAAGGAATTCTTGACAAAACAAAGGGATCCAGCTCTGCAGTTAAGATTAGATTAAGGATGCTGCTATCCCACCAATACTTGTTGTTTCAAATAGTTTTAAGACAGTGACCATTAAAATGAGGGATGAGGATGTGCTTCATTAAAATGAGGCCATCAAAAGATGTTGGGTGCATAGACAGAAATAAATAAGGCAGGCTTAAGAACCACATCCAGAAAATAACTTTGGTGTAGTTACTGGCACAGAGAACTGAATGGAGAGAAACGTAAAAGAATCCTATTATGTTTCTGACGGAATAGTATTTGTCAAATAAATTATAAGCTAGGGTGCAAAGGCTTGTGACTGTGTAACTTGCAAGCTGGAAAACCTGCAGTAGCAAGAAGCAGGCTATGAAAACTGAATAGCCTTCAAAGTGGGCAAACTTTCAACATCAACTTCAGATGTGGCCACAGAGGTTAATGTAAGGAAGAAACACCCAGACAGCAAAGACAGGGATCTTAATGCAATGAATATTGACATTCATTCTTACCAGAAAGCAGAACTAAGGATATTAATCCACTGCGAGGGCATGAGATCTTCATCATTCTCATGAAAAGAGTTTTTTCATTGTTTATTTTCCCAAATGGGAGATTTTATTACTGTTTTCCTGTTTCTGATCCACTATAATATGTTGGGTATGTGTGGGAGGGATGGAGGAGGAGTAGATAACTGTGATTTGTTTATAGGTCACTGGACTTGCAGATCTAAAGTACTGTGCCTCTCAGTGAGCTTGGATTAATGCAACTAATGGATGGTACTATGGGTTGTCTCCCTTGAGGAAGAAATATAGGAATATTATCAACAGGTAGGATGAAGGCCAAAGTGGCAGACTGTGGTAGACTGCTTGTCACATCTGTTTTCCCTTCCTTTTAGCCAAATGGTCACCCAGCCTGAGACTATATTTCCCAACCTCCCTTGATGTCAAGTGATCCTATCCATGGAATGTAAACTGAAGTGAAACATGTAATATCTGCTTCACTTGTTTAAAAGGAAATTCTTTGCTCTGGACTTCATCTGCTTCCCTTTTTCTTACAGGCTGGAATACCAACTTGACAGTGTCCCTAGTTTTGATCACATAGATTAGGACCAAGTCCTCAAGAACGGTAAAGCAAAAAAATGGACAAATTCTGGATTACCGAATGTCTTCCCTACCTAGACTGCTCAGACTTTCATGTCTCGTAACTCTTTGTTACAGCAGCTATACCTACTCTATACCCTAACTAATATATTCCCCCTCTTCAGGCTATTTTCAAAAAACCAGCTTTTGTCTCTCTCCTCTGTTCCAAACCCTCTGTGGCTTCCAATCTTACTGCCTTAAAATGGCTTATAAAATTATATGATGTAATCTGAATCTTCTCTGACTTCATCTCCTACGATTCTCCTCACTCCCATCATACTTATTTCCTTTCTACTCTTTGAACGCATGAAATATATTCCTGTCTCAGGGCCTCTGCACTCGTTGTTCCCTGGAACATTCTTCTCTCCAGATATCCACAGGACTCACTCCTTCAGTTCCCTCTGGCCTTGACTCAAATACCAGCTTCTCAATTAGGCCTTTTCTGGCTGCACTATCAAAAATATTAATTCTTTATTCCTGGCATACCATATCTCTTTAGTCCTTTATTTTTTCCTCAGCACCTATCCCCACCTAACATACTAAATATTTTACTTATTAGTCTTTAATGTTTCTCCTCCACTAAAATGAAAGTTCCACGAAGGCAGGACATTCTGACTACTTTGTTCACTGCTATATTCCTATTGTCTGGCACATAGTACTCAACTTAATATTTAAGGAAAAATAAATTAGCATTAAAGATTCCATAAATAGTAACTATTATTACTTGTCTTCAATTGAAACTCAACCAACTTGGAGAAAGGAATTATTACACTGATATACTGAAAGCAGAAATATGCATGAACAAATTTTGGTGATAAAATTCCTTTATCAGTATAAGTTCAAGGCCTGTTTGCAGTTTCTTCCACTCTTACTCTTGTATCCTGTTGTGCTTTTTGTTCTATTGTTGCTGCCTAATTTCCTTTAATCTACCTCTTTTGTATTGATTATCCCCTAAATAGAAACATACATGTACATATATATACATAATGATGCTGACAAATCTGTTTTCCACTACCTCCCCTCTGCCTAACAGAAGGAATATTTTTATTTTTGTAGTAGAAGAAAAAATACAAAAAAGGGACTAAAGGAAAAGGAGAGCAGGCAAAAGAGAGCAAGGGAAAAAAAATTCAGAGGACTGTTGGAGTGAAAGGGGATCTGTTTGATCCTCTTCTTAGAAACTACTTGTTTTCCAGCTATAGGGAGCAATGGCTACTTAGCTCCAGTCAGTTCTTGCTGGCGTAACACTATCAGGGTCTTCTAAATTTTCAAGAGGTAGTTGGAAGTCTTTTTTGTCCCTAAAGGTGAAATCTCCTTAATTTTAGATGCCACCAACTAGTTATAAAAACTAAACAAACTGTGTATTTCTAACAAAATTCAACAACAGAGCAAATTCATTCTGTGGGCGAACAGTGCAAAATCTCTTGCTTACACAGATTCTTAACGCCACTTATGAACCAAAAAAACTCAGGTCTGTCATCTCAAGAAGTTGCAGAAAGAGCTTTTTTCCTTTTACCCAGATGATGCACGGCAGATTCTCCATTGCAAGGAACTCTCTGTATCTACAAGAAGCTAAGAGTTTCATGACCCTCCTGCACAGTCTGCTGGCTGGTTTGGAACCTGTTACTTTAAACCTATGCCTTTGAAATGACTGGAATCAGCTGACTTACCGGAGACTGAATTGTTCATTCTGTTCTACTGGCCCTGGCAAAGTGACATAAAACTGAAATCATCTGGAGGTCTATTCAAATGGGGCTCCTTACTGGGTCATATCCCAGGTCACTAAGTGAGAATCCAGCCAAGTAAACTACAAACACCAATCCAAAAAAGCTAGAGGGGGATCCCAAACAGGAAATGACTCTGAAACTAAGTGAGAAACTTACGTGAAAAGCCCTTAGAGACAAGAAGGGATTTGATTTCTCTGCCAGTCAAACCTGATAGGGTAAACAATCTGACAACTACCTTATTAATACCTTGGGGAAAGTTAGCTTACTCTCAAAGAAACAAACTTACTGATTAATCTGAAAGACATTCTTGGTCCTCTAGAGCTGCTCTGTCCAACATGGTGGCCATTGTAACATGTGTCCACTGAACGAGTGAAATGTGACTACTGTGACTGAAAAACTGAATTTTTAATTTTATTTAATTTTAAATTAATTTAAATTTAAATCCAAACACAGAAGCAGTGTAAAATATTTTTCCATTAAACATAGCTTTATCATTTTGATGGGATTACATTTTACCTTAATAGTTAAAAATGTAGAACACTAAAAAAAAGTAGTGTGGGCCAGGCGTGGTGGCTCACACCTATAATCCCAGCACTTTGGGAGGCTGAGACAAGCAGACTGCTTGAGCTCTCAGGAGTTCGAGACCAGCCTGGGCAACATGGCAAAACCGTGTCTCTATATAAAATACAAAAATTAGCTGGGTGTGGTAGTGCACACTTGTGGTCCTAGCTACTCAGAAAGCTGAGGTGGGAGGACTGCTTGAGCCCAGGAGGTTGAGGCTGCAGTGAGCTGAGATCACGCCACACACTCCAGCCTGGGCGACACAGTAAGACTCTGTCTCCAAAAACAAAAAAAAAAAAGTAGTGTGTGCTGAGGTATGCTGTAAGTATAAAGTATACAAAGAATTTCAAAGACTTAGTACAAAAAAGAACATAAATATCTCATTAATATGTTTTTAAAATATTTATCACATCTTGAAATAATGTTTTGAAAATATGGATTAAATTACTATTAAAATTAATTTTACTTATTTTTAATTTTTTAAATGTGGTTATTAGAAAAATTTAAATTATACATCTCACATACTTCTATTGGATAGCATAGTCTAGGAATACCAAGCCATCCCTTTAACTGCTGGAGTGTATAGTTAACTCCTTCAAATATAGTACTAAGTACATAAAACCATACAAAGTTCCTAAGACTACAGGCATCTTCGCTCCCATCAGATCAGCTGAGTTACATCCAATATCCACAAAGGAGAGTCCAGGCATGGATATCTGGAAAAATGTGGGAGACGTTCCTGCACCATCCACAGTGATCCTAAAACAATAGCTAACTACACCTTGCACATAGTCAGAATTCATGAGTGCTTCAGAACCTAAAAGAGGAAATGGACACATCCAAAACTAAGAGACACAGGTCCCTCAAGATGGACTGGAGACCACAGGGAATGATCAGATTCTCTCACAGAAATCATCAAACAGCCTTGACTCCTGAATTATGAACCCACAGATGCCCTGAGGATGTTCTTTCTCCTAAGCTAGAGGGTAAAGAAGTTGAACAAATTGGAGATTCCAGACACTCCCTTTTGTCACTCTAAGGAAAAACGGTACTGCTTCCATAAACTATGGTGACAACAGCTCCAGTTTCTACTTCCAAGTTAGCATCCATGAAACAAATTGGTTCAAAGCCCAAAATACTGATAGTCTGAATAATGATGCCCAAAAGATACCACATAAGGCAAAAGTCGCCTACAGACCGAATTAAAAACGCTTAAAAATCCCTTAGGCCTCATGTTAGCAACGAATATATCACTCTCATTATGCACAATATATTCACTTTTTCCTTTAGCTTTAAGAAAAAATTCGATTTCTTCACCTGAACACCAGAGAATGTAGTAAACGTGGATTCAGGGGCCATATTGTACAAAAAATATACATACTTTGAAATGTTCATTCAATGTAATGAGAGGCTCACATTATGAGAGACATATGAGAACTGATACCAAATGAAGGAACAGCAGATTCACACACAATTAGATGAGGGGCTTACACTATGACAATATGTGGGAACTGAGACTGACATTCCAGATCTGAGACCAACCGAGGGAAAAACACGTAATCTGCATACTATTTAATTAAATTCAAGTTTGCTAAACAGAAATAAGATGGGAATGATGGGAACAGAGAGATGTTCTAAATCTAGAAGGAGGTTAATGCAGTACATTTAATACTAGGTAGTCTAATTTTGCATTGATGTTCTTGGGCCTTCTCTAAAGGAATAAGCAAGAAGCCCAAAACAGGAATACTTTTTTTTTTTTTTTGAGACGAAGTCTCGCTCTGTCACCCAGGCTGGAGTGCAGTGGCGCTATCTCGGCTCACTCCAACTTCTGCCTCCCAGGTTCAAGTGACTCTCCCGCCTCAGCCTCCCAAGCAGCTGGGACTACAGGCGTGCGCCACCACGCCCAGCTAATTTTTGTATTTTTAGTACAGACTGGGTTTCACCATATTGGCCAGGCTGGTCTTGAACTCCTGACCTCGTGATCTGCCTGCCTCGGCCTCCCAAAGTGCTGGGATTACAGGCGTGAGCCACCATGCCTGGCCAAAACAGGAATACTCTTAGAAATCTTGAGAATGCTGTTCTGTTGTAAATAACCAAGTATTATTGTAACAGTCATGTTCTGTAGCCGACCCAGCGGAGTAGGAAAATGAGTTTCTTGGCAGAAGGTACACCTAGCTGCCATCTTTCCTAAATCCCAGTCACCTATAGCACAGAACTCCAATCAACATAAGCTCTGGCCCTTACAGTCTTTGAGCTAATCTTGACCAAGTCAGACCATACAGCAGTAAACTGCAAACAATCAGCCAGTGACATGTGGATTAGTCTTGCATCCCCAAACCTGCTATCTGGTGTAAATTCTGGCCACCTGAATTGGTTAGGTCTGTATTGGTTTGGTTCAGCCCGACTATCTGAGTTATAGTCGTATTTCTTGATTTACATTCAGTTTCCTTCTTGATTGGCTGAGGCCCTGACCTCCTGCCCAACTTTGTAAGTAAGCTCCCTCTTACAGAGACTAAACATGCTCAGTCACTGGATTATATCCCTGCTCTAAAATGACCAGGCCAGGTCAGGCACAGTGGCTCATGCCTGTAATCCCAGCACTTTGGGTGGATCACCTGCGGTCAGGAGTTCGAGACCAGCCTGGCCAACATAGCGAAACCCTGTCTCTACTAAAAGTAAGAAAATTACCTGGGTGTGATGGCACGGGCCTGTAATCCCAGCTACTCAGGAAGCTGAGGCAGGAGAATCGCTTGAACCCTTGAGGAGGAGGTTGCAGTGAGCTGAGATCACACCACTGCACTCCAGCCTGGGTAACAGAGCAGACTCTGGCTCAATAAATAAATAAATAAATAAACAAATAAATTAAATAAAATGACCAAGCCAGCTGTCACTTGCCTCACTCTGTAGATCATCATCACTCATGACCTTCTTTTGCCCTACAATCACTCACATATACAACTTTTATCACAAACATTATCTCATTTTAAAAGTGATTCACAGCAAAGGTGAGCTTAGTAGAATCATTACACTAAAGGGCACAAAGTAAGGAAAATCCCTTGTCTAGAAACTTTTGCAGCCATTCCTCACTCATCAAAATGAACTCATGAGGGCCAGCCATATGCCATATTGCATGAATTATAGAAATACTTAAGAAAAAAATAGAACACTAATTTTTTCTCTTTGGTGGAGAGGGTGAGAAAGGACATCTTCCAAAGGAAAGACAATGAGAATCGCTTTTTAGAATATAAGACAAACTATGTTTTAAAAAGCTATATGTTTCTCTGTTGATGATACCAAATATAGTAAACCTGAGGCTGTTCTAAAAATCTGGGATTCTCAATTCCAAAAGATAAAAGAGATGGTAAAGGGTATACAGGCTTCCACAGTCTTACATTTTTTATTGCCAATAAGGGCTGACCTTGCTGCTTAGACATTTATAGATAGCAGTATTTCCAATGTAAGCCCTTGACTTGCTGGCAATCTGAAGACATCAAAGAGCAAGTGTCATAGTTAACACTGCTCTAAAAACAATCATGAATGAAACAGCTGCATCCTATAGGCAACTTCAAGGGTATTTCAATAAAGGAATACTTATTCTAGTTCAGGTTAAATTAAGACCAGTAGCAAAAGAACATTTCATAACACTTAACAGAAATGTCCCAGACTACAGCCAGGCATAGTAGTTCATGCCTGTAATCCCAGCACTTTGGGTGGCTGAGGCGGGAGAATCACTTGAGGCCAGGAGTTTGAGACCTGCTGGCCAATATGGTGAAACCCCATCTCTACTAAAAATACAAAAATTAGCCAGGTGTGGTGGCCTGGGCATGTAATTCCAGCTACTTGGGAGGCTGAGGCACATGAATCGCTTGAATCCGGGAGGTAGAGGCAATACAGTGGGACTCTGTCAAAAAAAAAAAAAAAGTCCCAGTCTATTATCAATATATTTATAACATAATTTAGAAATATGTTCTATATTCTGTATGATCTCATAGAGACCTAATGCCATAAAAGGAAATATGCTATAATTTTCTCAGAATGGTTTCTCGGTTGAGAGATAGTTTATCAAATTTTTTTCATCAAAATAAGAACTACCTGAAGGGTTAGTTACTCAAGTAGGAGATGTCTCTTAATGGTATAATATGCCTGATACTTTTACATTTCTATTAGGAAAAAAGAAGCTAATATTTCTTCTAAATTTAGCACATTATCAATAACCAAGTATGTACCTGTTAACAACTGCCAATCTTTAAAAATAAAATGTGAACCTACTGTGGAGTTGTTTCACCTTATTCCTTCTGAAAAACCTAGACCTGCCTAATCACTTATGCTTTGTAACTTTTCTGAAAAACCACTGAGTCCATTAAGAATGATTTCTTCTATATTACCATTCTGCTTCTTATTCCTCTTTCTTTCTTTTAATTAGGAGAGGGTTTCGCTCTGTTGCCCAGGCTGGTCTTGAACTCCTGGCCTCAAGAGATCCTCCTGCCTCAGCCTCCCCAAGTGCTAGAATTACAGGCATGAGCCACCACACCCCACCTTATTCCTAGTCATCTCTAAACCTTCTTCCTGACAAACAACTCATGAAAAAACACTTCAAATCTATATGCCCTCAGCTCCATCCATTTATTTAAATGCACACATGTACATATAAAAAACTCAATGTTAAAGCACTTTTTCCTCAATACCTAGAATCAAAGCAAAGGAAATCCTTGGCTTTTCTACCCCCTAAACAGCCCTCACAACAAGGATTTAATGTAAACAAAATAAAGATTTTATTTAATGTAAACAAAATAAAAATATAAAACAGAAAATTAAGGATTAACTAAAGATATAGGTGTAACTCTTACATTTCCTTTCAGTGTCAACTCGTGGCAAACAAAAGGAATATCTGTTTTACAAACTGAATGCTGCAGTGTCTGTTTCACTGTGTATGAACATTAACTAATGTGTGAACATTAGTTAATGTACTAATTAGAAAACTCTAGTACATTAGAACTGCTGCTTCTCAAGGAAGCTTGCACTTCTTTCAAAGCCAGGTCATTTTATTTGGTACATCTATCTAGTACATTAGAAAAGTCTAATAGAGTGCTAGTCCACAGTTCACCAGCATTCTACTAGACTTTTCACAGAAGTCTGAAATTTAAAAAAGAAATGTTTGATTTGGGATTTAAGCAGTCAATTATACTCTTACTACACAGTCTAAAATTAAAGAGATAAAAACTAAGTATTTATATAGCAATTTTTGTCTGCGGTGGCCCTAAGCATGTTTAAATGATTAGGGCTTGCTTTGCTATTAATTACTTTACAGCTGGAGATACTGAGATACACAGGTTAAGTGGGTTCTACAAACTAATGTCATGAGTCATCATAAGAGTTCATATATTCTGACTAGAAATTCTAGTCTTCTGCCTGCTGTCCACCACAAATCCCTATTTAATTTATAAGAGCACAGGAACCAACTCACTAAAAATACCAGCAAGAATTTGTAGGCATTTACTTTTTTAAAATGAATGTTTACCTAAAAATAAAAAGACCTGGCTTTTTATTTGAAGGAAGTGCAAGCTTCCTTGAGAAGCAGCAGTTTCTTTATTTGCATTTGAAAAATCATTTTTAAAAAATCTTAAAAGCTGATGAGTGCATCACCTCTTACCATACACAATTGCTAGTTCTTCTCAAAGAAGTGTGGTTTGATGACACCAGAGCCTCCTAGTTTTACTTTAAATCACTTTGAATAAGGAACTACACTTTTTTTTTTGCCTTGGTATTTCCCTTCTTAAAACAGAAACAGAAAACTTAATTCCTACCTGACACAGACAACATAAGGAAGAATTTGTTTGTGGACTGCTTTGAGATTCCAGAACCAAATACATAATCCAGTTGATCTTCAACCCTACAATAAAGACAAACTTCACTAAACATAATTGCTTCAGCAGATGCCTTCAAAATAAGATACTATACCATTATTTATGGAAAGAGAAGTTTTATTTAAGCCAAATCTTGATCACAATGCAATGGAGGAAAAAAATTACAAAACCGTTTAGAAAGTTCTTCTGCTCAATTAAAAAATTTAATACTTCTCACGTATGTCTCCTATAAGCACACTAATTCTAAAGGTAGCAGAAATTGTATGCATTTATTAGAGAACAGAGACTCTCAGGAAAATTATGCAATCAATTGCAATAGCAAATGTATAAAACAAATTAATAATACATTTTAAAAAAGAAATTCTGTTAAATTTCATTTAAGATTAGTTCTTGGACAGCTACACCTAATGGAGGACAAGAAAATTTCCAAATTTTAAGTGTATGTTTGTAGGTCAACCTTTAACAAGTCTTAACCCATTATAGTTTCATTTAGTCTGTACTCAAGTTGCTTTCCCAGGCATGCCAGGTAAACATAATTCTTAAAAATTAAAGCTTTAATCAGTAAGTGTAACCGATTTGTTGCTACTGTCACTCTTTTGATGATACTTCCACCAACCGGTAAAGAAAGAAGAAATGTTATTAAACTGGAAGATGAACTAGAAACATTGAGTGGATACCTAGCTTAGGCAGAAAGCAGCAAGGACTAGAAGGGTATGTCACAAAGAAGTCTTCAGAGATTTAATAAAAAGTAAAACAAATGGAATGAAGTTAAGAGGCTTGACTTATACAAATGGGGGGGGGAGGGTGGAAGAGTTTTGGAGGGGAAAAAATTAAGATTAGAGACTCACTGGGTGCAGAATGGAAAAGGACGTGAGGATAGGGGCCATTAGACAGAAAGCGATGAAGCAGGGTA
This sequence comes from Homo sapiens, assembly GCF_000001405.40. Taxonomy (NCBI): domain Eukaryota; kingdom Metazoa; phylum Chordata; class Mammalia; order Primates; family Hominidae; genus Homo; species Homo sapiens. The sequence continues at coordinate 70,414,403 of NC_000006.12, read as the reverse complement.
CCAGAGGAAAGAGAAGGCAGTGAGGGTTTCCGAAGCTAAGATGGGGCATGGAATGAACTCCAATGCAAAGCGATGCTAAAGCAAAACACAATCGGCAACTAACAAAAAGGGAACCAGGAGGAAGTACCGAAAGGAGGTGGATGAGAGGAAAATAAAACCAAGGAAGAAATTATGGAGGTAACAAGAGTGAGAAACCTGGTCGGCCAGGGTAAGGAGCTCCGGACAGGGAAGAGCCAGGCAAGGGATGGAAGCACAGAGATACGCTGCTTCCCAAGGAGGGACCACCCGGGCAAAAAGACACGTGGGAGGCGCGGGATGAAAAAGCAGAACCACGAAAGCGGGTAAAGGAGGGACAGAGCGACGAAGATGGAGCAGGGGTGAAGGGCAAACACGCTAGGCGCGAGGTTCAGGAAGAACGGGTCGAGGGACGCGCGCAGGGGCAGGGGCGGCCGCGGGCACCGGGAGAGCAGCGCGCCGCGGCCCCTCGCCTCCCTCAGAGCGCTCCGCACCGCCGTCCCCACCGACCTTCAACGGGGCCGGGGCCAGGCTCCGACCGCCAGCAGTCGGGTGAGGGGCCGCGGCGGGCGAACGGCGGACGAAGAGGAGGCCGCTTCCTTCCTGGCCCCTGGGCAAGAGGGACGGAGGGAGGGGTCGTGGGTGTCGGGAGCCGGGGGAGCCAGAGGGGACAGTAAGGGGGTTACCTCTCGCCCGGCTCGGCCTCTTCCCCCGCCTGTCGAACGGAGGAGCTCGTTGTCCAGCTGCAAGAAGACGGCCCGACCCGGGTCAGCACCATCCCGCCCCGGGCCCCCTCACATCGCCATCACAGCAACCGCAAACACCGCAACCGCGGAGCCGGTTCGTCACCGCGGCTCGGCTACTGGCCCAGCGCGGCCAGCGAGCATGCGCAGTCGCCCCAGTCCCGAGGGAGCCCGGGCCAGCCGGCTATACCTGCGATCAACAGGTCCCCGGCCGCACGGCCCCGCCCCCGGCCTCTCTCACCTCCTCCTCCCGCCTCTTCCCTCCCCTCTCTGAGGCTAGGCCCCGCCCCTTCAAGCTCCGTGCCCCGCCCTTCAGGAGCTTCAACTGCCCCTCCAGCTCCAGCGCCAACTGAGATTTCGAGAGATTTGTCCTCCCTACCAGGCTCCCGTTCCCAAGTTCCCGCGAGAACGGGAGGTTTGCGTCAATAAAAGGCGCGCGTCAAGAAAAGGGGCTCGCTTGTGGGTTTAAGGGATGGAACTTGGAGGTGGTTGAAGAGTAGTGAACAAGAAGAGGGCAAAAACACGGAGTTCGAGAACTTTAGCCGTTTTTCTCACAATGTTGTTTCTCCTTTTCTCTCTTTAGCTCCTCCGTGCAGTCCCGGGTAGAGAGCCCGGTCCCTGCGCTAGTCGATTTGTGCAGTAGGAAAGGAGGCTGCAGGGGATCTGCGCCGGGGCAGGACAGATGCCTTTCGGGACCCAGTGTTTGCATCTTGGGAGATGTGGGTGCTGATCTGGTTGTTTCTTGGTTTATGACGCCAAAAAGGGCGGGAGGGGGCTGATGAAGTGAAGCCTTTCGCTAATACATTCCGTTAACAGAAGCCCACGAAGGATCATTGATTTATTTCACTCTTCCCTGTTTCTGAACCTTATCTGGCAAAAACTTTTGTGGTGCATAAAGTTCAGTATGTTGCTAAAGCTGAGTTAATGAAAGGAAAATTTCAGCTGCGACTCTTGTTTTAAAAATGAATCTAGGATGGATAGTGGTGTTGGTTGCACAACAATGAATGGACATAATGCTACTGAACTGTGCACTTAAAAATGGTTAAAATGGTAAATTTTCTGTTATGTATATTTTACCACAATAAGAATGAATTAGAAGGGAAAAGCTTTGTGCATTCATTTGAAAGTAATGGTGAGGTCTTGTAACGTAGGCCATTTAGGGGACAGGTTTTGAATATATCTTTGTACCAGTTTTTTTTTTTTTCGAGTGTGTGTGTGAGACAGAGCATTGCTCCGTCGCCCAGGCGGGAGTGCAGTAATGTGATCTCGGCTCACTGCAACCTCTGCCTCCGGAGTTCAAGCAATTCTCCTGTCTCAGCCTCCCTAGTAGCTGGGACTACAGGCGCACACCACCACGCCTGACTACTTTTTGTATTGTTAGTAGAGACGTGGTCTCACCATATTGGTCAGGCTGGTTTCGAACTCCTGACCTTAGGTGATCCACCCGCCTTGGCCTTCCAAAGTGCTGGGATTACAGGCCTAAGACACCGTGCCTGGCTTGTACCAGTTTTTACATGATTGGGTGTCCTCTTATCCTGTGAACCAATTTATTTGCATTTGTATGAATGGCCTGCTTTCCTGATTTCTAATTTGTCCCTTCTTTTATAGCCCTATACCATTTTACTATCCTTGCTAAACAGGCTTTTATTGCTTGTTTTGTGACTTGAACTTTAGCCTCAAAATTGGAAAGGCTTTTTCTGTTTTTTTTTTAGTTCCAGCCATGTCTTAGGAAAATATAGTAAACAACCAATTATTTGCATTTCCACGTCCGTGCATCCCTAAAACACACAGTGTGCCAAGATTCTTTCCCTGTTCCACGTTCTTTTTATTCAAATCACATTGTTAACTCATCTGCTGTGTGCCAGGCAGTGTGCTAATCTTGGAAGATACCAACATGAATGAAAAAGAACTTGGGTGGAGTGTTTGCATTATTACCCTATGATGTAATGTGTATAGTGCAGAGATAAATGCACAGAGAGCTATTGAAGCTCAGAAGAAGCATTAATCCAACTTTGGGAAGAGGTCATGGGTCAGGAAAAACTTCCAGGAGAAAATGATTCCAGAGAGTTGAAGTGGGATGTCTTGTGGTGGCGGTTGGGAGGAGTAAAGGGAAAAGGATTGCTTGAACAGAAGCTGTACAGTAAGAAACTGGTCTTTGTGCTGAACTAAAACTAAGACTTCTATGCCACTGTTTAGGGATGTGAGGCTGGAGAAGTTGACAAGGATCATGGTGAGCCTTCAAAAAAAGTCAAATCAGTTCAACCATTATATATATATATATAGCTTATTAGATATTTGCCAAATACTGTGCTAGTTACTGAGGGATATAATGAAAGTTAAGGGTCAGTCTAAAATCTCAGAGTTTGCAATCTAGCAGGGGTAGACAGGCATGTAAAAACAAAAAAAAAACAAGTTCTGCTACAGAGTTAAAATTGGGGTAGGTACGGGGTTGTCTGGGAACCCAGAAGAGGAGCACTTAACTAACCTAGAGATTTAGCAGGACTTCCTGGTAATTATCTATTGATAGAAGAATATAAAATAATCTCTTAAAGAAATAAGAAAATTCACCTGGGGTGGCTCACTCCTGTAATCCCGGCATTTTGGGAAGCCGAGGCAGGCAGATCACTTGAGGTCAGGAATTTGAGACCAGCCTGGGTTTAGTAGAGAAACCCCATCTCTACTAAAAATAAAAAAATTGCCGGGCGTGGTGGCAGGCGCCTGTAATCCCAGCTACTCCAGAGGCTGAGGCATGGGAATCACTCGAACCTGGGAGGTGGAGGTTGCAGTGAGCCGAGATCGTGCCACTGCATTCCAGCCTGGGTGACAGAGTGAGACTCCATCGCAAAAAAAACCAAAACGAACAGCAACAACAACAACAAAAACAATAAGAAATACGAAAATTTATGGCATCTACTGAGGTACAGACTACTAGAGAGTATAGCATACTGATCTAATTGTCAGATTACCTGGTTCTAATTCTAGAGTCTACAGTATACTGTGTTATCTTGAGAGTCTCTTATCTTCTCTAGGTCTGTTTTCTCTCAAATATAAGAAGATAATCACATTATATAGACTTTGAATTCCTTTAGAAATTTGTCTAGAAATTTCCTGATTCTAAATTTACTTCCCATATTTATCTTCCCAAGTTTGGTGTCACCCATTATGCTGCTAATAAACAGTTTTGTGTCACATTTAATGTACATTAACATTTTATGTTATATATGTGTCCTTTTCAATCTATGTTGTGCTCAAGGAATATAAGATTTGGAATCCTTTCTATCTTGTAATTGGTTTACATAATTTAACTTTGGCATGGAGTGTTTTTGAATGTTTGCTAAACCCTTCTAACTGTGGAGTATTCTCTTAATCCAAAGATCAGGTTATCTCTCCCTTTCTCGGTTGCACAACATTGGTTCAGCTAAAGATTGAGACAGTAGAAGAAATGAATATTGTAAATTTGAAAACAGCCTCATGAAGGCCGGGCGCAGTGGCTCATGCCTGTAATCCCAGCACTTTGGGAGGCCTAGGCGGGTGGATCACGAGGTTAGGAGTTCGACACCAGCCTGGCCAACATAGTGAAACCCTGTCTCTACCAAAAACACAAAAATTAGCCAGGCGTGGTGGTGAGTGCCTGTAATCGCAGCTGCTTGGGAGGCTGAGGCAGGAGAATCACTGGAATCCTGGAGGCAGAGGTTGCAGTGAGCCGAGATTGCACCACTGCACTCCAGCCTGGGCGGCAGAGCAAGACTGCATCTCAAAAAAAAACAAAAGAAAGAAAGAAAAAGAAAATAGCCTCATGAAGGATGTCTCATATTTGTCAGATGCTAAACATTAATTTACTAAAAAAAAAAATTAAGCTGGCTTTTTCCTTACTGGGCTTTATGATTTTTAAAATATTCCTGTTGTAAGTATGGTCATTATTTGAAAATTAAAAATGAGATATAGTCAAAGTTATTCCACAACTATATATATATGTACATACACACATATATATACACATATATATACATATATATATACGTGTGTATATATATACACACACACACACACATTTTAATTTCGACTTCTATTTTAGATATAGAAGGTGTATGTTCAGATTTGTTACAGGGGTATATTGTACCCAGATAGTGAGCATAGTACCCAGCAAGTAGTTTTTCAACCCACACTCCACTGCCTCCATTCCTCCTCTAGTAGTCCATAGCGTCTACTGTTCCCATGTTTATGTCTAACACAGCTATATTTGATGCTTCCCTTTTTTTAGTTTCCTGTCCATTCCATTTCCATGTCTTGTCTGACCTTTCTTTCAAAATATTTTGTCTGTTTCAAAATGCTTCTGTAGTCCAAGGAAAAGTCAAACTTGAACAAAAAGAGGAACATCTCTTCTGGTGAGACTGGAGAAAGGATTTAAGGTACAATGTGAATGGAAATTAATGTAATTTGTAGATTTTAAATCTACATTTTACAGCAAAAACAAAAAAAGTTGAGTAAAACTTTAAGCATTGCATAAACTACTATAATATCTTTTAGTTTTCTGATACTAGTAACAGTAGATAACATCTTGAACCTTTATCATCTGCTGAGTGCTAGTCTTAATATACATTATTTCTGCTCCTTATAACAAAATTTCAACGCAGTAGGCATTATCCATTTCTCTTTGTAGTTTTATGTGTGTTTACTTCATGTATTTTGACACGCTTTTATTAAGTGCATATTCGTTTAGGATAGTTAGGTCCTCTCAATGAATTTATATGAATAATTCACCATTATGAAATGGCCTTCATTTTCCCGAGTGAAATTTTTTGCTCTGAAATCTACTTAGTATTGTATTAATACAATCATTTCAACTTTATTTTGATTTATGTTACTATGATATAGAATTTCCTATCTTTTTACTTTTAACCTACTTTTGTCTTTATGTTTAAAGTGGATTTCTTGGAGGTCTCAATCTGGCTTGTAATTGATATGTTTATACCACTTGTATTTAATGTATTTATGGATGTTTTGGTTTAAATGTATCATGTTGTTGCTTGTTTTCTATTTGCACTATCTGTTCTTTTCCCCTCTTTTATTCTTTTTTAAACTTATTTTGCATTAATATTTTTTAATGATTCAATTTTATCTCCTTTGTTGGCTTATTAGCAATTGCTCTTTTTATGGTATTTCGGAGGTTATTTGAAGGTTTATCATATACAGTTTTTGCTTACCATGATCCAATGTCAAGTGTATTACATACCTTACGTGTATTAAAAAACCTTATAACACTATACTTCCATTTTCCATTCCCATGCTTTGTGCTGTTGTCATACATTTTATTTCTACATGTGTTATAAACCTCACAATGCATTTTTTTGCTTTAAATGGTCAATTATTTTTAAAAGACATTTAAATATGTGATAAATTCTTTTGTATTTTCCCACATAGTTATCATTTCCAGTGCTCTTTATGTTTTAGTGTTGACTTAGATTCTCATCTGGTATTGTTTTGTTCTTGACCTTTAACACTTCTTAGAATGTAGGTGTGCTAGTGATGTATACTTTCTGCTTCTGCATGTCTTAAAATGTCATGACTGTAACTTTCTTTTTGAAAGATATCTTCATAGGGCATAGAATTCTAGAGTGACTTTTTTTCCCAATGTTTTAAAGATGCTGCTCCACTGTGTTCTTGCATTGTTTCCAACAAGAAATCTGCTGTTACCTTTATTTTGATTCCTAGTTGTGTAATGTGGCTTTTTTTCTCCCTTCTGTCTGCTTTTAAAATCTTTTCTTCGTTTAAAAAAGCAGTTTGACCGTAATGTGCCCTGGTATAATTTTCTTCACTTTTTTTATGCTTCAGGTTTGTTGGTTCATGGATCTATGGGTTTAGACTTTTCACCAAATTTTGGAATATTTTCGGCCATTATATTTTCAAATATTTTTCATTTCCTTTGGGAACTATAATTATGCATATATTAGACAGCTTATAGTAGTCCTATAACCTACTCAAGCTCTGTTCTTTTTTCTTTAGTGTTTTGTGTTCTCTGTGTTTCATTTTGAATAGTTTCTATTGCTATGTCTTCAAGTTCACTTTTCTTCTACTTGCCTACTCTGCTATTAATCATATTCAATGTATTTTCCATTTCAGACATTGTAGATTTACCCTCTAGAACAGGAGGTAGCAAAATATGACCCATGGACAATTATCCCTTGGCCCTTTTTTTGTATAGTCCACGAGCTAGGAATGATTTTACATTTTAAAAGGTTTTCGTAAGAAAGAATACTTTAAGTGGCCTGCAAAGCCTGAAATATTTACTTTCTGACTCTTTATAAATAACGTTTGCTGACCTTAACTCTAGAATTTTATGTCTTTTTTGTATTATCCATGTTTCTATTTTACATGTTCAATGTTTCCTCTAGTTTCTTGAATATATGATATAATTATGACTGTTAATGTCCTTGTACATGAATCCTTATCTTGTCACCTTTATCATTTCTGGGTCAATGTCAATGGGTTGGGTTTTTCCCCTTATGATGGGTTATATTTTCCCCTTTCTTTGAATTCCAAATAATTTATGATTCAATGGCCAACATTGTAAATTTTGCTTTGCTGGTTTTTGGCATTTTTGTATTCCTATAAATATTCTTAAACTTGTCATGGGGTGCAGTTAAGTCACTTGGAAACAGTTTGAATCTTTCAGATCTTGCTTTTATGCTTTGGTACATGGGACAAGAGCAGCATTTAGTCTAGGGTCAATTTTTCCCTAATATGAGGCACAGCTCTGTGAGTATTCCATGATATCTTGTGAATTATGACATTTTCCACTCTCTTTGGTAGGAAGAGGCATTATATCCAACCCTGTATGAACACTTGGAATTGTTTGAAATAATTCTTTTCAAGTGTTTCCCCCAGCTTCAGATGGAATTTGTACATAAATGCACTTTTCATTACCCAGCTGAAGATTCATGGGAGATCTGCAGATTTTTGGAATTCTCTATGTAGCTGTTACCACTCCTCTACTCCACCCTGCAAACATTACCTACCATGGCCTCCTCTGACTTCCAGGTTTTTCTCAACTCAGAGATCACCAGGCTTTGTCTGCGTTCCTCTCCCTGATGCACAACATGGACACTTTCTCCATGCAGTAAATTAGAGCAATTATAGAACTTCTCTTATTTTCTTTCTCAGGCATTATTGTCTTTCGTCGCCTGATAGACTTTTTCTAGAAAAACATTATATGTATACATACATACATATATGTATGTATCAACATATATATATCTATATATCTACATATGTATCTACATATATGTATGTATTTTCTATACACATACATGTATCTACGTATCTACATACACATATATGTGTCTACATACACTATATATGTATCTACATACACATATATATGTATCTACATATACGTATATATGTATCTACATACACGTATATATGTATCTACATATACATATATGTATTTTTCATTTGATTTTTTTAAAGGCCCTTCACAATTTAGCACCTACCTACCTTTCCATCTTAACCTTTGCCTTAGCTAAACCGATCATATTTCAGTCTTGGCACTTTGGCTCACTTTCTACCCCTGCCTAAGATTCCTTCTACCTTCTCATGCACAGTGCCATGGGACTTAGATAACGCAGATTTCCAGTCTCTTAGAATCAAAATAGGGGTATCTTCCAATTTCTTAGAGAATTTTTACTTTAGGTAGGGTGTGGTGCCTCATGTCTGTAATCCTAGCACTTTGAGAGGCCGAGGCAGGCAGATTGCCTGAGCCCAGGAGTTTGAGACCAGCCTGGGCAACATGGCAAAACCCCATCTCTACTAAAAATACAAAAAGTTAGCCAGGCGTGGTGATGCACAACTGTAGTCCCAGCTACTCAGGAGGCTGAGGCATGAGAATCACTTGAACCCAGGAGATGGAGGTTGAAGTGAGCCGAGATCATGCCACTTCACTCCAGCCTGGGCGACAGAGCGAGTGAGACTCTGTCTCCAAAAAGAAGAAGAAGAAAAAAGAATTTTTACTTTAGATTGTCCTTACCATGGTATTAGAATAGCAAAGTAGAAGGGATTAAAGATTAAAATATATTTTTTCAAAAACTCTCCTTTCTCTCAAAGATATTTTTATAAATTAGAGAAGACTTGGGCTGGACTATATCTAAATGCAGAAAATAATTGCTATTTCATATTGTTTGGGGAGGTCTATTCTTCTACCTGTCAATGTGGTAAAATGAAAAGACTACTAATAATTTGGGGAATTGGATTCAAACTCTAGTGCTGTCCCTAAACTGTATGAATCTAGGCAAGACATATTAATCACCTGAGTCCTCAGTTTCTTCTGTGTTGTGAAAAAGATGCTAATGTCATGGTCTCCATCATCTGTGATTCTCCTGTTTTAAGATAACCTTGTCAGTTCTAATTAGTTTATTGCTTTCATTTCTTTCAATATGCGTTTGATATTTTCTCAGGATATTTCATTAAGCAGGAGAGGATGAGTGAAGTAGATTTTGGGCCCAGTTTGGTCTGCTCAATTCTTTACAAGCTGTCAGTCTAGAAGCTGAATATTTTGTTTATCGTGCTTGTGTTTTTGAGATAGTCACAAACGCTTCATGTATACTCTCTTGGCTAAGAAGGTATTAATCTTAAATTGAGTGTTTCTGGGATATATATTATATAAAAGTTTCTTTGAGGCAGGGAACATCTTTTACTCTTCTTTCTATCTGCCAGAGTGCTTTGCACAAAGCAGGCTCCAATTAAATATACTTTATACTCTCATGTACCTTATCTCATTTATGAAACAATTTATTAAGAACACATGTTAAGATAATACTTAATTAAAATTCTGAGCCTTTAGGAAAAAAATCCAGATATAACCCACTTATCTTTTTTATCTTTAAAGAGTTAGTTTATTATTTTTGGTCTTGCTAGACACAGTAAAATAAAGATAAATAAAGTAAAATAAAGGGTAATAAAATTATGTCTTTTCTGAAATCAGTTTAATGAATCCTTTAAACAAATTAATAGTTTGCCTTTCTTACATGTAGGCAGAGAGCATAAAATTTAATGTTAGATGATTTTTAAATTCTAATGAAGATACTATTATTTGCTCACCTTTCCCTTTATCTCCACAGGGCAAATAACAAACAGATCTTTAACATACCTGGACTGGAATGTTCTGTTATGACTGATATGAACAGTCATTTATCTAAAACTATATTTTATTTTACTGATAATAACAAGGCATAATGTCAGCCTTTATTTTTTTTTAGTTTACTCTAAATGTCTTCTGCTACCAGTTTATGCCCTTCCAAGCCATCCTCTACACTGCTGAGTGATTTTTATAAAATGTAAATTTTATTATGTTATCATGCTTAGGATTAAAATTCTTTGGTGGCTGTCTAGGTTCAAGTGCACATGTCTTAGCAAAGCTTATAAAGGCTTATAATGTCTGCATCTGGGATGGAAGTAACTTTGGCAGAGGGAAATAAAGGGTTCTGGAGCAAATGGAACCAGGAGGAGAGTATGAATAGGATGGCTTGAGGAAGCTTTTCCAGAGATGAGGACTACAATTGCTTTCCAGTGGGCATCAAGGTTGATATTTAGATAAGAGTATTTCCAAAGTACCAAAACAATGAGACAGATTAAAAATGAAAAGGAGTTATATGTAAGGAGTAGAACTCCCCTTCATGTAGTGTGTGTGTGTGTGTGTGTGTGTGTGTGTGTGTGTGTGTGTGTGTAGGGACAGCTTGGTGGCTTAAAGGAATTAGAACTGGACAAGAATGAACCTTCACAATCTGTCACCTGCTAACATCTCCAACCCCCTTACTCACTCCCTAAAGTCCAGTCTTCTGAATGCATTATGCCTTTCTCTCCTTTGCCTTGAAACCATCACAAATGGTATCCTCTCTTCTAAGACTCAGGTTCTTTCTTCCTGAAACTTTTCTTGGATCTGTCCGCCACTTGGCCATGGCCTGTTTAATTGCTTTCTTTCTGTGTTGTCATAACATTCCATTCACATCTCCCTCATCACACTCATATACTCACGATATTTTGTCCCCCAAAACCAGATATGAGTTTCTCGAGGTCATGCTCTGTCTCTTGTTCATTTTTTAATCCCAAATACTCATCACAGTTTTGGCAGATAAAAATCAATATGTTACTATTGAATGAAGGAGTTTACAAGTTCCTAATCAGTTAATTAACTAATTAATTACTCTTGTGGCTCAAACCAAAGTTTGTTACTCTCTCACCTTTCATTCTGATCCTGTCTTTCACCTCTTGACTCCACTTTTTTGGTCTCTTGCAGACCAGTGTCTTCATGCCGTTTCAGTTCTCCATAGTCCTACATTCCACCATCCTACTCTCTTTCCCTGCCTATACAAACCCCAGCTCCAAAAGTGGTGATTCAGTTCTATCAGTGAGATGTGGGAAATTGAAACCAAGGTATGAATGATGCTTAACCACTTCCCAAGATATTTGCATTTCTGTTTAAAATTAATTTTACTGTAAAAATAATACATGCTTATTTTGGGCAAGGTAAATAAATATTTAACAATTATTTACTTGTAGACACTGAGAATACAGCAATGGAAGGGTGGGGAGGCAAAAATCTGCTATCATGGAGTTTAAGTTCTAGTGGAAGGTGACACCAAACAAAGGAGATAGGTATATAGTAAATTAAAAGGTAATAAGTGCTATATTCCTGTGTGTGGGGGGGGTGGGGGGGAAGGAAATGGGCAGATAATTTATCATTTTAATTGATATGTTGCTGAACTATAAGGCCACATTTTTATCAGATAGAGAAAGAACTGTACATCATTATCACTTGGAGATCCTGTATTTTGAGCTGGACATAGTGACTGGCTGGGATTTTGAATTGTCTCTTTTGAGAAAGAGGTTAGCTTGTGTAGGAAGAAGAATAAAAGACTATGTGATAACCAGTAGAATAGGTTCAGCAGAAACTGGCTAACTGTTGACCAAACCCAGTTTTTCTTCTGGTACACAGAGAGATTACATTTCCCAGCCTTTTTTGCAGTTAGAAGCAACAATATACGAAGTTCTAATTAGTGGGATGTTAGTGGAAGTAATGAGTGCCACTTAAAATGTCCCATGTATATTCTCCTTTTGTTCCCTGTTTGCTGGTTAGATGCTAATTCTCAGGGCAGCCTGAGAAACTATGTATTGAAGATGGTAGAGGCTCCATCAGCCTGAGTATCTTGATCTTGAAGACAGTACCTCACACGTCGCACTCTGAAATTATGCTCTCCTCACCTCCTTGACACTGCCACTAGTTGAACAACAGAGGAATAAGAAATCAACATATTTTATTAAACCACAGAATTTATAAGTTATAGCAGCTGGTGTTCCCTTGACTAATACAATAAATAATATTATTTATTATGTTTGGGAGATATCTATCTACTTCTAGTATATTGTGGGTGTTTTAAAAATGAGGAATTGGCATTGAATGTATTAGGTACCTAATGTATTAGGTACCTTTTGATATCTATTTTTATTTTCTCATTTGACATATAAATGCCACATGGTTATGTCTAGTGTTCTAGATTAAACTGTCCTTTAATTTCATGAGAGTAAAATTTCCTTGGTGGGAACAGATTTTTCTTTTAATATATATTTTGTTTGTTTGTTTGTTTTTTGTTTTGAGACAGGGTCTCGCTCTGTCGCCCAGGCTGGAGTGCAATAACGCAATCTCGGCTACTTGCATCCTGGGCTCAAACTGATCCTCCTGCCTCAGCCTCCCAAGTAGCAGGGACTACAGGCATGTGCCACCATGCCTGGCTAATTTTTGTGTTTTTTGTAGAGATGGGGTTTCACCCTATGGCCTGGGTTGGTCTTGAACTTCTGGACTCAAGGATCTGCCTGCCTCGGCCTCCCAAAGTGCTGGGATTATAGGCATGAGCCACCACTCCCAGTCTTAATATATTTTTGAATTTGATTTGGCAGATTGTATTTAACATTACTTCATCTATATCCATAAATGCTATTTTGTTTAATTTCCTTTCCTTTCTTTTTACTTCTTTCTCTTCTTCCTCAAGTAGTCTCCCTTGGTTTTTTTGTTTTGTTTTGGCATTTGTCAACTGTTGATATCAGATTTGTAAACCTGATCAAATCAATTTGGAAGTTTTTTTCTTTTTAGTTATATCACATGGTATTTTAAAAGAATTTGTTGTTAAAAACCATCTTGCTCTATAGTCCTTTTATATTTTCCCAGAAAAAGATTATGTTTTCAGACAGGCTTCTACCTAGCATATATTCTTTTTATTATTTCTGGTTTTCCCTATGAGCTCACATACAAAGTTGGAAAATAAGGTTCCCTAGGGTATAATCAAGGTAAGGATAATGGCCAGAAGTTCTGCATAGGTAATGATCCATGTTTTTATAAATATATTTCTATGTAAAATATTCTAAACATATGTGAAAAGATAAGAATAATGCACACTTGAGCCACCACAACCCATCTTTGTCAAATGTGAATACTGTCTTTTTTTTTTTAACTTTATAACTTTCAGTAGGTTCTGCTTTTGGGACTGAATCTTGATGCTGCCTATGTTATGAATTTTAGCTATGTTTTGATACAGTTATTTCTCATTGTCTTGGAATAATTACTTTGAAAGTTTCATCATGTGATTTTTAAAAAAAATGGTAAAATTAATATCAAAACAAGTTATTGTATATATGATATGTTATATATATGTATTATACATATAAAACACAAACTAATTGTAAGGCTACATGCTAGTCACATTAGTTTTCTTTTAATTCCTTGCTATATAGGCAATACAACATACTTGCCGTTAGTTCTGGCTCTTCAAAAATAAGAAAACCTAATTTAATAGTCTGGTGCTTAAAAACAAATGCAATGAAATCATCTAAATTTGGGCTCAGCTGTGCAACTCTGGGACAGTTACTGTCCTAAATTTCTTTATTTGTTGATATGGTTTGGCTGTGTCTCCACCCAAATCTCATCTTGAATAGTAACTCCCACTATTTCCACATTTTGTGGGAGGGACCCAGTGGGAGGTAAATGAATCATGGGGATAGGTCTTTCCCGTGCTATTCTCATGATAGTGAATAAGTCTCACGAGATCTGATGGTTTTAAAAACAGGAGTTTCCTTGCACAAGCTCTCTCTCTCTTTTTTTTTTTTTTTGAGACGGCGTTTCGCTGTCACCCAGGCTGGAGTGCAATGGTGTGATCTCGGCTCACTGCAACCTCCGTCTCCCAGGTTCAAGCGATTCTCCTACCTCAGCCTCCTGAGTAGCTGGGATTATAGGAGCCTGTCACCACGCCCAGCTAATTTTTGTATTTTTAGTAGAAACAGGGTTTCACCATGTTGGTCAGGCTGGTCTCAAACTCCTGACCTCATGATCCACCTGCCTCAGCCTCCCAAAGTGCTGGGATTACAGGTGTGAGCCACTGTGCCCAGCCAGCTTTCTCTTTTTGCCTGCTGCCATTCATGTAAGATGTGACTTGCTCCTCCTTGCCTTCTGCCATGATTGTGAGGCCTCCCCAGCCATGTGGAACTGTAAGTCCACTAAACCCTTTTTCCTGTATAAATTACCCCCTCTTGGGTATGTCTTTATCAGCAGTATGAAAATGGGCTAATAAATCAGTAAAATGGTGAAATAACAGCAACATTATGGAGTTGTTGTGAGCAAAAGCATGTAAGGTGCTTGGTTTAGCACCTATTACATAGTAAGAATTCAATACAAATTTATTATTTTATTTTAGAAACAATTTTTTCCTAAAGAAGATTATTTTTTTTTTATGTCTTGGCATTTAGAAAATTAACTGTGTTCATGTTGTTTTATGAATTAGTAGTATCCTCACCTTCCAAGTAGATAAGAACCTATTATTTTTGCTCCTGCGAAAAAGCAGAGGTGCCTAACTTGCTGTGTCTCCTCACATCTCTCCCCTCTTCCTCCCCTCCAAGTTCTTTGGATCAACTGGAGAGAGGGGTGTCATAGAAGTTTTATCACTTGGCATTGTCATACCACAGTCTACTATAAGGAAAACATACCAGTGAACCAGTGAGTCTGGTCTTTCCTCTTAGTGGAGAGAAGGGCATATGGTCACAATTTCTCTACCAGATGGAAGAGGAGTGGCTTAGTTTTCAGTTTTGTTTAATCACCATAGACTTTCACTTCAGATTTCCCACTTTCTCAATCCCAAAGTAGGTTGCTGCTCTGTGCTTGATGGTAACAGCTCACAGACTCATCAGAATTGAAATGAACAAATATTTATTTATCTTTTATAACAAGTAAGGCAATGTTGCTTAAAGGAAGACAAACAAACATAAAAGATTCCGTTGACAATGCATTTTTTCATCTGTTCGGCACAATGCTTTTGTCATAATGGAGATGTGACAGCAAACTTTCCAGGACATTCAGTCTTCGGCGGCAGCACTTAGGGCAGATGACTGGCCGCTGCAATGTGAATACAAGAATGCCTGACTCACCAAATGATTTCCTAGAATAGTTAGCTGGGTGGAGACTCACCAAGTTAATAACTAAACCCAACCCTCAAGTCCATTGGCAAAGGACATATTTGAGCTTAATGACTCTGTATACACCCAGAAAGATAAAGGAGGCTTTGAGATCCTGCTTGGTAGACTGGGAAGAAGAAAATGACTCATTAGGTACCTGGAACACTGAATGGCCTGCACTGGAAATATTTTGAAAGGTGGGTTTAAGTACTAAACCAGTCTTTCAGAGGCTATACCGTATCAAGCCTGAGACAGATGATGATTCAATAAATGACTTTTAAGAGAGGGAAAATGTTGTGCAACAGAAACGTAGGGCAGAACAAATAATCTCTGCATTATGAACAGGTGAGTCAACAGCTGTGCTGGCTTAGAAAATGAAAAACTAGTTAAACACCTCCACAATTTTAAAACATTTTCTACTTAACTATAACGTTAAATGACCTAAGGTATATGAAGCATCTATCCCAGTGTCTGGCTGACACATGGTGTCACTCGATATACTTTTCTTCCTTTCATCTCTGATCTTTGCTTTTTTCGATTTGTTTGTTTAAGAGAAAAAAGTACTTTAAGATGATATTGCTGTCTAGTTTCATGTAAGTCCATATTTTGAAGATATTAGTGTCTAAAGTCTAGCACTCTCTGTTGGTTTTACTATTAACAATAAACAAACATGACAGGAAATTTAGTCATCTGTATCAAACATCTGTCATGTGGTTCAGAAATTATTTTGGGGCAACATTTTGGAATGAAGACTGTTAGCTCGCTTTGGTATACTCATGACTTTGTTGAAACAGTACACATAGCAAAAATATAAATTTTAAAAGTATCACTGGTAACTCCATGTAGTTATTCATTTTGAAATGCTAAACTATGAGTATTGACATTTTAAGTTTGGATCCGAGTTTTCTGGTCCTTTCCCTGAGAAAATAAATGATGCTTTGAAATATTAGCGAATTAGAGCAACTTTTCAACTTTTCTACAATAGATTATTCCTCAGGCTAGAAAAAAATTGAATCCACAAATACCACTCAAAGTCATTTCATTCTAAATCAGGATAACAAACACTCTCATACATAAAATCAAATATACAAGAAATGAACAATCTAAAATATATGGATGCCTCTTTTTCAGCTCTATCCAGTCACCTATTGCATGTTTTCTTAAAGTGTATATTCAATCATTCTATATATTTAGAACTTCATTAAACTTTGAGATAACCTCAAAATATATTTTGTCATCAACATTTAATCATGTATCTCTCACTTAAGGAGGTTTTTACTGAATCAAGGTTTTTCTTTTCTAGAATATGTTAATATCACTATCTTCTAGGACAAAATATCAGTAAAAAATTCATGATGATTTACCTGACTGAGCATATGTGGAATTTTTAAGGCTGGATTTTAACTCTTTCGAGAACTCACCTTCCTATTTTGTACGCTTTCTGCCTCTCTGCTCCAACAAACACTGTTTGGGGCAAGTTTAACCTCAATAGATATAACCTTGTTGTTGGGCCAGTCCGTCTACCGACAGGACGTAACTTGTAAGAAGGAGAGGCACTGGTGTGCGAGAAAGATTGCAGCTGGCAGCTGAGAGACAGGTCTGCCACTTCCCTTCCCTTTGCTTTGCTACCAAATCTTTGCGTGCCTCAGAAGTAGGCCATGTAACTCAGGAGTGCCAGGAGCTGTGACTGATACCAGGCTCTTTGTAAGGAAGAGGAGAAAATGCAGGATGCAGAATAATTGAAGGGGAGGTGGTGCTCCCCAAAGGAGGAACAAAGAAAGAATGGTCTGAAGACTTCAAATGTTTGGCAACCTTATTTTTTTTACCCAAGGCCAGCATTTGTATGAATATGGGTGCGTGTGTGAATTTGTATACAGGAAGGAACTAGCATTGTGAAATAACCCCAAACACGACTGGTCAGTCTGCCTCCCTTTGAAAAACAACAATAAAGAAAAAAACTACTTTGAATAATCTTATAACAGGAAATAACACAATGGAAACTGGAGAATTTTGA
This sequence comes from Homo sapiens, assembly GCF_000001405.40. Lineage (NCBI taxonomy): Eukaryota > Metazoa > Chordata > Mammalia > Primates > Hominidae > Homo > Homo sapiens. The sequence continues at coordinate 70,397,141 of NC_000006.12, read as the reverse complement.
TGTGGAAAAATCTAAGCACCTGGAACAATAGATGCTAAGTAATTAAAATACTGTGCATATATAATTGAAGTTGAAAATAAACAAAGGGAATTTTAGGCACCCAGTTTAGTTTACTAGGCAGCAAGTAAGGTAATGAAAGTATGAGTCACCCATTTGCTAGGTTTTCAAACATATCACAGATTTTTAGCACTCTCATCTTCAAGTATAATTGTAACCCTTATTCTCTTTGGATTGCAACTTTCTTCAGATCGTAGTAGTAAAGAATTGACAAAGGATTGATTGCACACATTTCAGAAAAATACGTACTGGTAATTTTAAAAATCTATTAATAATAAAGATGAATGGGTTATTGCAGAATTAAAAAGGCTTATGTATCATATTTTACTTTAGTCAGATTAGAGTAAGTTGCTCCTACTATTATGAAGTAGAGATGTCATGTATGTGACTAGTTATTAGACAGCCATCAGATTATTGTGATAAATACATACCTACATGTAACCTAGATCATTACAGGAAGAAGTTACTGAAGTAATAACACACCGCAGAAACAATACCATGATGATAAGTGTTAAGGAATGAAGTTCTTTCCCTATGAATTCTAACTAATTCATTATTTTCACAGTCTATCTCATTTCAAGACCTGTATTTCCCTTTTAGACATAGGACACCTGGGTTGTCTGATCATAAACTCTTTCTCCAGTGGCCTTTGGCCTTTTAAGTAGATCTGTTTTGTTTTGGCAAAGAAAAAAGAAAGGAGGAAGTGAGGAGGAGGGACTTGAAGATGTGCTACTGCTGGAAACAAATTTTGATTTTCTAGTTTTGCTTGGTGGGAAGCCTACTTGTCATTTGTACTACTCTTCCACAGTTAGTGTGTTTGAGCAACTTAAAGTTCAGTGGCAGCTCCTCATAGACTCATTGTTCAGAGTTTGTTTATTGTGAAGAACTTGCTTTTAACGGTTTATTTATAAAATGCTCCTTACTATTCTTATATTAATTCTTTACATCACTTTATTCTTCATTCTCACTTCCTTTGTTTGCCTCAGTTTGATTCATTATCCTTCAATCGTTCAAATATCCTTCATTATTCAAATTGCTGCTTTACTGACCCATTCTCTAAACGTATTTTTTTATATTGACAACTGACTCCTTGGAAAGAGTGAAAATAATAATACTATCTATTAGGGAGCTTTACTAATAATCCTATAATGCTTTGTGAATAATGATTAAGATATTTAATAAACTGTATCTTTGAAGTGATCATTGATGAGATTGCTTATTTATACTCAAAACAATGAAACAAACTACTTAAAGTTGAATAAAAATGCATTTATATACATGAACTACTTGCAATAATTAATTCTAAAATATCTATTAGGCTAGTAGTACATTGTATGAGAAGTTGAAGCCATATTCAGGTCGGGGGTAAGAAATATTTTAGACTTTTGTATTAAGTATGAAAACTCAGGTATTAGCCTGATGTTTCTTTGACTAAGCCTTGTACTTTATATAGCTTGTTCTATGTGCAGTTATGTAATCTTTTAGAGTAGCTGAAAGGATATTAAAACAATATCTTTCAGTTTTGCTTTTCTTTTCCAGTAACAAGCTTCCATGTTAATCAGCATATTCAAGCTTCCTTCTCATTAGTTTTTAAGAATTCTAGGAAATACTTTCCATGGCATGTTGTGAGAGATTTTATTATAGGATTAAAATCCTTTCAGCAAACAATAGGCACACATGAGGCAGGGTCCAGGTATTCTGTCTTATAAGCCAACACTACACTTAGGTAACTCTAGAAATGGACTACATTTAATTATTTTCTACTTTGTTTTTATGGCAAAAGCAGCCATGTCAAACATTTTTCAGATCATATCTTACCTCAGATTCTCTATCTTGTTTCAGGACAGTGGAAAAGCTGCTGGAAAAAAATGCGAAAACAATTTTTTGACTTGAGTTCATATTTTTCATTCAATGTCTGCGGGGCCCTCAATGTAACTTTTTTTTTTTTTTGAGAGGGGTCATCCTCCAATCATTAACTACTTCTAATCTTCACTGCTACACAGAGTTTCCAATATTTAGCAACAGATGGCTTTGCTTTTACCTTATAGATGAGGCCAAAGCACCAGGTAGGTGGAAGGTTCTTGTATCGGTTCGAACCCCGACAGCGCGCCAACAGACAACACGAGGCAGTGGGGAGCAACATGCTGTTTTAATGAGCGCCTGGGTGCAGGCGTGCTGAGGCTGAAAATGGCATCAGCACCAAATGAGGATGGGGCAGGGGTTTTATAGTCTCCTGTAAACAGGAAGTGTCTCAGTCTGATGTAACTGCTACGTGGTACCTGGACGGCCTCTCTCTCGGTCTTCACAGGGTACATATCTTCCGGCCAGCTCTCTTCCTGCTTCTGCTATCTTGCTGACGCATGCTGCTAGCACAAGTGGCCTTGCACCTTGGGACTGGGCCTGAGGAGGGCGGAGTTATTCATTCCCTTAAACTTTCAGGCCCCGGGGAGAATCTTTCAGTAAGAGCTCTTTCAGCTTTACCAACTACAGTCTACACACTTAACCTGCTTCCACGCACACCCTCATCGTTCTCTTTCTCGGTGGAAAATATGTGCTTCCCTTGGCAAAGGCCAACCTGTTCATCTGTGCTCCTGAACACAGCCTCTCCAATGTACTTGTTATATATATATGTGTGTGTGTGTATATATACACAACTATATATATATATACGTATATACAACTGTATATGTGTGTGTATATATACACACAACTATTTATGTATATACATATATGTATATATCCCTCCCACCATGGGGTCTTCCCATTTTGCCCAAGCTGGTCTTGAACTCCTGAGCTCAAGTGATCCACTCACCTTGGGCTCCCAAAGTGCTGAGATTACAGGCATGAGCCACTGTGCCCAGCCTGTCCTTGTGCCTTTGATTCATCATTTATCCTCTCCTTCTTCTTTATTTTTCCACTGATCCTTTGTCACAGGCCTTAGTCTTCTGCCAGCTGATAAATGGGAATATTCCACAGGTTCAGTTCTCGCCCTTTTTCTTCTTTCATTATGTACATCACAAAGGAGATCTTATCCACATTCATGGCTTCTGCACACACATTAAAGCCATGTACACCTGCCTTCAGCCCTAGGTGAGTTCTAGGTGCCCACAGGACCTCTCTACCTATCTTCTCAAAGATAAGTCAATCTTAACATGTTCAAAATGAATCCATTATAATTGATGTATTAGTCTGTTCTCACACCGCTAATAAAGACATACCCAAGACTGGATAATTTATAATGGAAAGAGGTTTAATTGACTCACAGTTCAGCATAGCTGGGAGGCCTCAGGAAACTTACGATCATGGCAGAAGGGGAAGCAAACATGTCCTTCTTCACATGGTGGCAGCAAGGAGAAGTGCAGAGCGTTGGTGGAGAGCCCCTTATGAAACCACTAGATCTCGTGAGAACTAATTCACTATCACGAGAGTAGGATAGGGGAAATCATCCTCATGATTCAATTATCTCCACCTGGTCCTTCCCACGACACATAGGAATTACAGGAACTACAGTTCAAGATGAGGTTTGGGTGGGGACTATATCAATTGAGAATTAAAAAAAATCATTTCTTCTGTATTACCCTTGTTCTGTATTCTCTCTATAGTGAATGGCATTATGATTGTCACATCCTGAAACCTAGGAATCAACTCGTGTCTTCCCTGTCTCTTACTCTCTCACCTTCAGAGAATCACCAAGCTCTGTTGAACTTAATAATAATTGACAATGCTGAATATGAAAGGCATTTTTTAAAGAAGACTAAATGTATTTTCTCAATTTTCACAGTCACTGTGTTATGTGGGTGGCTAATATCACCTCCATTTTAAAATTAAGAAAATTGAGGCACCAAGAGGCAAAATAACTTGCTTTGGTCACACAGGTAATAAACGGCAGGGATGGGATCCAAATCTAGGCAGTTTACAGCGCTGGCCTCTTAACAACCATACCATGGTCGGCTTACTAAATGCCAGGATCTTAAATACCTCTTCAGTTCATTTCCTCCTATTCTTTCTCATTTTGGTAGAGTTGGTTCATGTGCTTCTTTTCTGCTGTGTAACTTCTTACAACCTGCTGCTCTAAATCCATTTTTAAGTTATCTTACTAATTAGCCTTCATCAACATTTTCAGGAATTTGGCTAAGCTATGTCTTTGTAATCTATAGATTTGAGATTTTGTTTCAAGAAAATTATATTCAATTATATATTTGAATTTTTCCCATTCCATATATTATTTTCTTCCATGAAAGTGATTATTTGTTTAATGTCCATACCACCTCCTTTCTTATTTTATCTCTGTTCTTTTCCAATTCGTTTTATGTTATTTACTCAAGGGCTTTCTTTTTGTCCTAGACTGTATTTTTATCCATATATATGTGTTACCATTTGTTGACTCTAATGAGAATTTCACCTCTGTAATAATTTCATCTTATGCTTCTATTCATCTCTGAGCTCCACACACCCACTGTTTATCTCCTGTTCTTGCTTCATCTCTCTTTTGATCGATCTCTTGTTATTCTTTCAGGATAATTTTTTTTTTTTTAAGGAAAGCCAACTTGCCTTTAGTTTCTTTGAGTCTTGGGAGAACTGTTTGTTTGAAATTGGCCTATTTTTCTATGAATAGGTCCTGAAATTTTGTGTTCTTCATTTGCCTTTTGTTTCCTTTTTTCTCCTATGTATTTTTTCTTTACTGTCTAACCTCTACCAGGGAAATGGATGTTTCAGAAAGAATTAAAGGTAAAGACAAGTGATAGTTTCTGAAATTAAAAAATAAATGTATACAAGTTTTGAGAGAGAATTTTATAAATTCCTTAATCTTTCCTACTTAACATACCCAGGGCTGAGCCTGGATGACCTAGAACACAGAGTTCTACCGTAGTATAGAAAGGATGTCCCTTCAGTCAATGGTAGTGAACTCAGAAAGCTTGCTTTCCAACCGGGAAGGAAGACAGGATGTAGGGAAAGTTAAAGAAAAGCTTGTCTATTTTTCTAGGAATAAAAGGGGAAGGGGAGAGAAGAAAGAGAGAGAAGGAAGAGATTCAGGAAAGTTGTGTTTCAGTTTTACATGTGCTAACTAAGTGAGGGCCGAACAGGCCGAGGACTTTTATTTCTGTTTCCTATTTTGGATTTTGAGAGGAGCTTAACTCTCAGACATCCCTGAAGAAATCTGGAGCATGGCTACATTATCTTGGAGGCATAGCAGAATCAGGTATTTGGAGGTTCTTAAGTTTAATTTCCCTGCTGTCTTAGTTTGTGTGCCTCCAGAGACAGACCTGTGGCAATGAGTGGAAAGGGTTTTGTTTGGGATATGTTCCCAAGAAACACCAGTAGATAATGGGGAAGTTAAACAGATGGGAAGAAAACCAATAAAGGTGTGTTATCACATTATCACTGTGGGCAATTGGAGTTTGATCCTGCTGGGGAACTCTGGGGGACAGTTTACAACACTTACTTCCAGTTTATCCAAGTTATTGGTTGAGAACTGCTCCCGAGAAACGTTAATTCCTTGGTATTTTCAGCCCGTTGTGTGTTCAGACTGAGTAGTCACTGATGGCCAGAGAAAGCCTTCAGGCAAAAAATGGAGGCATTGGCAGGTGAAGGGCTGGTGTATACGGAAATGGCAATTGTTGAAGAAATATTGGCAGTGCCCTGAAAGTATATGATACTGCTGTCACGGTATACTGAATATATAGCATTTAAAATGAATGAAGTAGAGATACATTTACTGATGTGATAAATCTCAAAAGTACAATAATGAATGAAGAAAAGTTATTGAAGAATGCTACCACATGATTTCATTTATATAAAGCTTAAAAACAGGTAAACCAAACAATATGCATAATTATATGTATCATACCCGTGGTAAAGCTGCAAAGAAAAGCATGGAATGATATTCACAAAATTCAGCGTAGCGTAGCATTTGCCTCTTATGGGGGAGAAAGGGAAATGAAGGTTTTGGTTATGTTCTATTTCTTAAGCTGTATGGTAGGTAAATGGGTGTTTTATTATTATTCTTTAAACTATACATATAAATTATACTTTCTTGTTTGTATATTTCATTAAAGTAAATCTAATTAATCTAAAAGAGGCATATTAATGTTAGGTCCCTTTTCTTGCTTTAGAAAATAAATCACAGGAAATTGTAAGCATTTTAACAATTCAGTTGCATGGAAACAGCTGAATACCAAACTCGAACTCAGTCACCAATTCTGATACCAAGTTGTTTTTATTTTAAGTTTCTAATATTATGTAACTTAAATAATACAATACACCTAGACACACCAAAGCAGTCCTATCTAGGTGTCAAAATACTGCTAGTCAATTCTAATAATGGAATGATAAACCACAGTCATGGACTATATTTCCATCCTTTAATATTTTGGCTAGAGTTTTAATTTAGTCTCTAGGTGGAACATACATAGATCAAACTAGATCAAGGGATATTCTCAAAGTGGCAAAATGACAACCTTCGACTTTTTAAAACTCAGAAATCACTCTTCTCCCCGTGAGGACATATATTATTTCTCCATATGTGGTTGGAACCACAGAAACTATGGTTGAAAACATTGTTGGGACAAACAAGCATGACTATTTTTAAGACTCTGATGATTTCGGATATAATCAGCACTGAACTAGTAAGTCATATGTAATTAGGTTGATGATATATTTAATGTCTAATGGATCCTGGCAACCTCTGATCAAATGCCTTTCAGTTAAACATCACAACAGCTCCAGGGCATGAGTCCTCTTTGTCAGTACACAAATGGATATTTACATAGACCCACTGTGCAGCTGAATTCCATTATCTTAGTAGTCCACGTGGAGAGACAACCAAATATCTATAATAGGAATGTTGAGTAACTCCCTTCAGCTTTATCTACTAAATGTGTCTTTTAAAAATCTTTTTAAAACTTTGTTGTGAAATACAGTATATAAAATAGAAATGCACAAAACAACAAAAAAAATTGGCACATTATTCTAAAGGCAACACCCATTTAACCACCATCCAAGTCAATAAGTAAAACAAGGCTAGCACCCTTTTAAGCACTCATGTGCCTTTCCTCTGGGCAAACCCCTCGGTACCCTTCAGAGGAAACCACTACCCTGGTGTTTTTGTTTTCTAGGAAGACGAGGGGAAGGGGAGAGAAGAAAGAGAGAATTCCTGAATTCCTGGCTTTGCTTTATAGTTTTGCTGCCTAACTATGCATTCCCAAGCAATATAGTTTAGTTTTGCCTGTATTTAACTTTTATAAATGGAATCATAGTATTTATGTTACTGTGTCTTGCTTCTTTTGCCCAATATTATATTCCATTAGATTCATCCATGTTACCCTACATAGGTGTTCTCCTTAAGCTTGTAAATGTGTCTTACATGATCTAGCTGCCATGTTTTGTAATTTCTGCAGCACTCTAGGGATGGGAGGTATCAATAATTCTACTTTGGTATGTATGTAATTGTAATTAGCCTGGCCCATTTTAATTAGCTTGGCCCTTCCACCATATGATAATACTTAAAAAAATTATAGAATGTATTGAGTATATACCATGTTCTAGGATTTTATGAAGCACTGTTCATGTGCTATTGCTGTACTCAAGATCATGCTGCCTAGTATGTAGTTTTAGCATACCTTTTTATAGACAGGAAACTGAAATTCAGAAAGAAAAAGTAAATTCAGAGTGTAGCCTTTCTGATATTTCATTATTAGGAACCCTTTTTTTTTTTTAGCTATTTTAGTCATATTAAGGGAGTGAGTAAACTTACCATCTTATAGTAATCTTTTTCCATCTCACAAGCTCTTGGTATTTTGCTCTAATGATCCATTGGTGCTTGCATACAGATAAGAAACTGAAATTCAGAAAGATGAAGGTAACAGCTTTAACAGCCTTTCTTCTATTATTCCCACAGTGCTTACTTCCTTCTGTCTGTGGCATCTATAGAATATTGTCCATGAACTTCTTTTCATGGGAGTAATAGATAGGTGACCTCCCATATTGTAGGAACCCAGATGGGCAGTCTAAACAGTAAGGGTGTAAGCGTGGGAAGAGCACAGAACTAAGGATTAGGCTGCATCAGTTCTACACTTGATTGTCATTATCTAGCTAAGTGACCCTGAGTAAGTCACTTACCCTGTCTGGGGCTCAGTTTCATCATGTATAAGTGAGGGTGTTGGTCAGTAATTTTCAAACTGAAGTTCAAAGACTATCTTGAGTTCTTGTTTTAAATGCAGGTTTCTGAGCCTCATTGAAACCTCCCAGCCTGGGAATTTGTGTATTTAACAAGCTCCCCAAGAGATTCTGATGCTCACCATAAGTGAGAACCCGTGGAGTAGGTAGTGGCCCAAGCCCCACTGGTTTTAAAATTCTAAGATAAAATTTGAAGTTCTGGAACTTTAGGGTTTTTCATCAGAGCTACGGGCCTACTTATTTCAGAGTTCTGTGAGTTTTGTTAATAGAAGGAAATACAAAGTCATTAAACTTCATGATGCTAAATAAACAGTGGTTATCATTGCTGTGAGCAAACAGCAATAGCACAGGTTGAGGATGCTAGTTATCAAAACAGCTTGGGGTTGTTTGATGTTCATGAACTGAGTAAAAATAAAATACTGCCCCTGTGAAATTATGTCCACGTCATTAAAACCATTAATACAATGTTGCAGGAAAAAGCAGCTTAGTCTCTCTACAAGACATAGCAGTATGAGTACAGCTAACAATGGATAATATGTAGAGTGCCATGCAGTCTTATTAGGTAAATTAAGTAGTTGTAGTCTCAAAACAACTTTAAAAGTCAGCTCATTTAATTACAAAATATGCTAAATATATCACCCAACAGATTGGAGACAGTCTGGTTGGCTGATTTATTTTTACTTTGATATTACATTTCTTACATGTTTAAAAAATTCTTTTGTGACCATTTAGGGAGGAAAAAAGTCTCCTTGTGTAACATTTAGTACTTTCCTGGGTCTATTCTTTATATTCTGAGGAACTGGAGTCACTCAATTAATTACTATAATGTTTTGTGTTTTCTTTTTCACAGGAATAACTAACCTCAAATTTGTAACCGTTCTGCTTTTTGCCACCCAACATACCCTGCAGTGGCTCTCAAACCTGTACCTGAGGAAAGTGGTCCACTCCCACCAGTGAGAAGACTCACAGGGCAGCAGGGATTCTTAGCTAGAGGGCATAGCCATTGAAAGAGATGAAAACGGAATCTCCTGGAGTGTGTGTGATTTCAAAAAGCTCCCCAGGTATTTTTCCACAGTGCTCCAATTGCAAAGCTGAGTCCAAAACCCATCAATTAGCATCGTTTTCATACTGAATAGTAGGTTAGAAACCTTAATACAGGAGTCGTTTATCCTGTATAAACTAGATGTTAGTATCTGAAGTAAACAGAGAACTTCACTATCAAAAGTATGTGAATGATTGGTCAAGAGTGATACTAGATTCAATATTATATGTTTATTAATTTCTACGTTAATATAGACCTTACAATTTATTTTCTTAACCAGTTTCCCCTTCTTGTTTCCCTTCTCCCTTCTTTCTAGCCGAGATAAGGTAAGATAGATAAAATTGTTTAGTAATTATTTTTAATTCCTACCCCTCCTCCTCTTCTATAAAAGGCTTGTGAGTTGATTCTTGAAGGCCAGGTGAGGTTGATTACCTGAGAAAAGTCAGATGGTTTATCAGTCAGAAGGGAGAGCATACTCAATGACTTGGACAGTGAGAAGTCCATCTTGGCTAAAGCATGGAAGGAGGTGGTTATGGAATGTCTAGGGAGAACCAATCTCGGCTTGGTCAGATGTCAGGCTGAAGAGGGAATAAGAGTAAATGAGGAACTCTAGAAGTTTTTTGAGCGACTTAATGACATAAGGTAACTGGTGTTCTAGAAAATTAGTCTGGCAGCAGGATGGAGGATGGCTTGGAGAGAAGAGCAAAAAGAAGCAGGGAGGGTTGTTGGGAAGACGGAAACAGGTCTGAGACAAACAAAGAAGTCTTGACAGCACTTGAGCAACTGAAGAAAAGGGAGGAAGGGTGAGTTTTGAAAATAATTTGAATCAAATATCAATAGGACATATTTGCTGTTGGATTGCGAGAATAGGGAGAAGATAAAGACTCAAGATCTTCAATCTGGGCTTCTTCCCTCTATCCTGCCTTCTTCACATATTGCCATTTTCTGTCTCTTCCTAACTGCCAAACTTCTTGAAAGAGTTGTTCTCACTTACTGTGTTCACAATCTTACTTCTTTCTCACCACTTTAATGAAATGGTTCTGGAAAAGGTCATAAATGACTTAACTTATAAATGGAGTGGCCTCTTTTCAGTCCTCATTCTCTTAGCACCCTACAGAGCGTTTGGGAATATTGACTTCTCTCTTCATCCTAAAACATTTGCTTCCATGGGCTTTTATAACGTTGCACCTATTTGTCTCTTCTCCCACACCTCTGTTTACTTTTTAAAATCTTTGAATGGCTCTTGTCATTCTGTTAACATCTTATATATGTGGGTCCTTGGAATTTTATTCTTTTTTTTTTTTTTTTCTGAGACTGGGTCTCGCTCTGTCGCCCAGCCTGGAGTGCAGTGGTGTGATCTTGGCTCACCGCAACCTCTGCCTCCCAGGTTCAAGTGATTCTCCTGCCTCAGCCTCCCAAGTAGCTGGGATTACAGGCACGTGCCACCACACCTAGCTAATTTTTGTATTTTTTGGTAGAGATGGGATTTCACCATGTTGGCCAGGCTGGTCTCAAACCTCTGACCACAAGTGATCTGCCCGCCTTGGCCTTGCAAAATGCTGGGATTACAGGCATGAGCCACCATGCCCAGCCCAGAATTTTATTCTTACTCTTCTTATCACCTCATTCCCTGAATCCCCCACACCACTGCCAAATTCTGAGTCATCAACTTCTATAACTTTGCCTATCATTTACAGCAAATCCCAAAATTACAGCTTATGCCCAAATGGCTCTCCTGAAGTATAGACTTGTAGTTTCCATTGCCTTCTGAATGTCTCTACTTGGATGACTCATAATCATTTCAAAATCACGATGTTCAAAACCAAATTTCATATATCCTCCACCCACACAAAAAACAACAAAACCCACTTTTCCTTCTCCATTTCCTATCTCAGTTAATGATATTGCTCTCCAATTATTTAACTAAGCTAAATCTGTCCATGCTTCTCCATTAAACACCCATATATGGTTTGTTTTGTGTTATCCTCTTGACTCTCCATACTCCGTATCTACTGCCATTGCCTTTTTCCAGGTCTATGTAGTTTCCCACTGAGACTCCTCCTAACTCATCCCAGTTCATCTAGTTGCTCTACACTCTAATCTATCTTCCACATCATCACCAGAGATATTTTTCTAAAATAAATCTGACGATTTTACTCTTCTTCTTACAAATAGACTGCAATCTCCTTGGCCTTGGGGGAAAATCTAAATGTCTCCTCAAGGCATTCATGGGATGATCTGACTTGAACTGGCCTTTCCAGACTTATCTCCCAACAATGCTCAAATGCTCAGTCTCTGCTTCATTTGTGTTAAATGATGGTATCACTCTCTTTCCTGGTTCTGTGACTTTGCACATCTCATTCCTTCAGTTTTTCCCCTGAATTCTTCCTAATAAATGTCTATTCTCTTGTCAATGAGCAAGACACAGGAAACTTGAAATTTTCTGAGCATTCAGATTCAAGAGGATTAATTTGTATGTTACACACATAGTATCACTGTAAATGAACTTTGAACCAACTTATTAATTTACAATGAAATGTATAATGCTAGCAATTTTTTTTTTGAGACAGGGACTTGCTCTGTTGCCCAGGCTGGAGTACAATCACATGATCATAGCTCACTGCAGCAGTGACCTCCCAGGTTCAAGAGATCCTCCCACTTCAGCCTCCCAAGTAGCTGGGACTATAGGCATTCACCGTGACACCTGACTAGTTTTTTAAAAATTATTATTTATTTTTAGTAGAGACAAGGTTTCACTATGTTGTCCAGGCTGGTCTTGAACTCTTGGGCTCAAGTGATCCTTTTGTCTTGGCCTCCCAAAGTGTCAAGCAAATTTTAAAGTTTATACTTTTAACTCAGAATGAAATAAATAACCTAAATGTAAGACCTAAAACCATAAAACTCCTAGAAAAAAACATAGGGAAAAATCTCCTTGACATCGACCTTGGCATTGATTTCTTGGATATCACACCAAAAGCTCGGGCCATAAAAGTAAAAATAAATACATTAGACTACATTAAACTAAAAAGCTGTACAGCAAAGGAAACAGTCAACAAAATGAAAAGGCAATCTATAGATTGGGAAAAAATATTTGCAAGCCATCTATTTGATATAGGGTTAATATCAAAAATGTATAAAGAAAGTATGCAACTCAAAAGCAAGAAAACATATAAGCTAATTTAAAAATAGGCAAAGTACCTGAATAGACATTTCTCCAAAGAAGACACAAAAATGGCCAAGAGGTCTATGAAAAGGTATTCAGCATCACTAATCATCAAGGAAATCCGAATCAAAATCACTGTGAGATATCATCTCACACCTGGTAGGATAGCTGTTAACAAAAAGCCAGGAGATAACAGGTGTTGGCAAGGGTGTGAAGAAAAGGGAACTTTTGCACACTGTTGGTTGGAATGTAAATTGGTACAACCATTATGGAAAACAATATGGAAGTTCCTAAATAAATAAAAAATGGAATTACCATATGGCCTAGCAATCTCTCTTTTGGGGTATATACACAACGGAAATGAAAGCACTACCTCTTAAAGATATCTATACTCCCATATTCATTGCAGCATTATTCACAGTAGCCAGGATATGAAAACAACCTAGGTGTCTGTCAGCAGATGAATGGATAAAGAAACTGTGGTATACGTTTATACAATAGAATATTATTCAGCCTTAAAAAAGGAGGAGATCCTGCCATTTCCCACAACATGGATGGACCTGGTAAGTGAAACAAGCCAGACAAAACAAAAGAAAAATATTGCATGATTTCACTTATATGTGGAATCTTAAAAAAAAAAAGGTCAAATAAATGGAGATTGAAACTAAAACAGTGGCTACGAGGCTCAGGTGGAGGGGAGAAAATTGGGAGACGCAGGTTTAAAGTTCTTCATAGATAGTAGCAGATATGTAGGCTGACCAAGTCTAAAGGTCTAATATATAGCATGAGGACTATATTAAATAATGGTGCATTGTATTCAATATTTTTGCTAAATGAGTAGATTATAGCTGCTCTTGCCACAGGAGGGAAAGGTGGATAACTATGTGAGATGATGGATATGTTAATTTGTTTCACTATAGTAACCATTTTACTGTACATATGTATCTCATAACATCATGCTGTATACCTTAAATATGCACAATAAAATTTATTCTAAAAATTTTTTTGAGACAAGGTCTTGCTCTGTCACCCAGGCTGGAGTGCAGTGGTGTGAACATGGCTCACTGCAGCTTTGACTTCCTGAGCTCAAGCGATCCCCCTGCTTCAGCCTCCTGAGTAGATGGGACTACAGGCTTGTGTCATCATGCCTGGCTAATTTTTAAATTTTTTGTAGAGACAAAAATCTCCCTATACTGCCCAAGCTGGTCTCAAACTTTTGGGCTCAAGTGATCCTCCTCGTTCAGCCCCCAAAGTGGTAGGATTACAGGTATAAGCCACCATGCCCATACCTCAAAATTTTAAAAAAGAAGAAAAAATGTTTATGGTTGCTACTATGGGAACTTGCTTCTTACAGGAAAATCTCCATGGGAAGTGACATTACACTTAAGTTATTAATTGGGCATAGATCGGCATAAGAGGACTAAGTTGGATGATCCTCATGGCCCACCAAGCCACGAAAGCCTCATCATTCATCAGTGTTGTAAGAAGGTATATGTCAAGGAGGCAGACTATGAAAACATAGCTAGGATTTTGTCTATTGGGGATAATTCTAGAGATAGACTAGAAAAGTCATTGCTCCCTTTTTCTAGAATGCAGAGCAAACTGTGTCCCTCTGGTACCACATTCTCTCCTTATAGTCATGAAACCAGAACTTCTCAGGTTTATTTAGCTGTACAGTCATGCGTCACTTAACGACAGGAGTACATTGTGAGAAATGCATTTGTTAGGTGACTTACTTGTGTGAACATCATAGAGTGTACCTACACAAACCTAGATGGTATAGCCTACTATAGGCCTAGGCTACAGGTATAGTCTATTGCTTGTAGGCTACAAACCTGTATAGTATGTTACTCTACTGAATACTGTAAGCAATTGTAACACAATGGTAAGTAATTGTGCATCTAAACATATGTAAATGTAGAAAAAGTATAATACAAATAAGGTATAAAAGATAAAAAATGGGCCAGGCATGATGGCTCACACCTGTAATCCCAGCACTTTGGGAGGCCAAGGCAGGAGGATCACTTGAGGTCAGGAGTTTGAGACCAGCCTGGCCAATGTAGTGAAACCCCATCTCTACTAAAAATAGAAAACTTAGCCAGGTGTTGTGGCAGGTGCCTGTAATCTCAGCTACTTGGGAGACTGTGGCAGGAGAATCACTTGAGCCAAAGAGGTGGAGGTTGCAGTGAGCCAAGATCGCACCACTGCACACTACTCCAACCTGGGTGACAGAATGAGACTCTGGGGGGGAAAAAAAAAAGATAAAAAAAAGTACACCTATATAGGGCACTTACCATGAATGGAGCATGCAGGACTGGCAGTTGCTGTGGGGGATTGAGTGGGTGAATGGTGAATGAATGTGAAGATCTAGGACATTACTGCTTACTACTGTAGACTTTATAAACACTGTACACTTAGGCTACACAAATTTATTTAAAATTTTTTCTTTTTTCAATAATAAGTTAACCTTAGCTTACTATAATTTTATTGCTTTATAAACTTTTTAATTTTTAAACTTTTTGACTCTTTTGTAATAATCCTTAGCTTAAACACAAACACATTATATAGCTGTACAAAAACATTTTTTATATCCTTATCCTATAAACTTTTTTCTATTTTAACTTTTTTTGATTTTTTACTTTTTAAACTTTTTTAAAATTAAAAATGAAGACACAGAGACACACATTAACTGGGGCCTACACAGGGTCAGGATCATCAATATCACTGTCTTTCACCTCCACATCCTGTCCCATAAGGTCTTCAGGGACAATAGTGTGCATGGAACTGTCATCTCCTATGGTAACAATGTCTTCTTCTGGGATACCTCCTGAAGGACCTGACTGACGTTGTTTTATAGTTAACATTTTGTTTTAACCTCATCCCTGGTGGTACATAAACTTTAAAAAATATATATATATGTAAATGGAGTACACTTTAAAATAACAGTAAAAAGCGTAGTGTAGGAAATACATAAACTAGTAACACAGTTATACTGCACATAATTGCATGTGTTATGCTTTTTTTTTTTTTTTTTTTTAAGAGATGGAGTCTGGCTCTGTCACCCAGGCTGGAGTGTGGTGGCATGATTTTGGCTCACTGCCAACCTCCGCCACCTGGGTTCAAATAATTCTCTTGCCTCAGCCTCCTGAGTAGCTAGGACAGCAGTGCACGCCACCACGTCTGGCTAATTCTTTTGTATTTTTTTCTTTTTTAGTAGAGACCAGGTTTCACCATGTTGGCCAGGCTGTTCTCAAACTCCTAACTTCAGGCGATCCACCTGCCTCAGCCTCCCAAAGTTCTGGGATTACAGGTGTGAGCCACCGCGACCGGCCATAATGTTATGCTTTTGTAAGACTGGCAGCACCAAGATTTGTTTATACCAGCATCATCACAAACTTGTAAGTAATGTGTTACGCACTACAATTTCACAATGGCTATTGTAACCGCCCAGTGGGTTCGCCTTGCCTGCTGCCTAGACAGAACTGATTTATCGAGACAAGGAATTTGCAATGGAGAAAGAGTAATTCATGCAGAGCTGCTGTGCAGGGGACTGGAGTTTTATTATTATTCAAATCAGTCTCCCCAAACATTCAGGGATCAGAGTTTTTAAAGCTAATTTGACGGGTAGGGCCTTGGGAAGTGGGGAGTGCTGATTGGTCAGGTTGGAAATGGAATCATAGGGGGTTGAAGTTAGGTTTTTTAAATGTCTTCTGTTCTGGGTGAGATGGCAGAACTGGTTGGCCCAGATTACTGGTGTGGGTGGTGTCAGCTGATCCATCGAGTGCAGGGTCTGCAACATATCTCAAGCCCTGATCTTAGGTTTTACAATATTGACGATATCCCCAGGAGCAATTTGGGGAGGTTCAGACTCTTGGAGCCAGAGGCTGTGTGACCCCCTGGGGAGGTTCAGACTCTTGGACCCAGAGGCTGCGTGACCCCCAAACTGCAATTTCCAATCTTGTAGGTAATTTGGTAGTCCTGCAAAGGCAGACTGGACCCCAGGCAAGAAGGGGGTCTTTTCAGGAAAGGGCTGTTATCAATGTTGTTTCAGAGTCAAACCATGAACTGAATTCCTTCCCAAAGTTCCTTGCTCAGGAATAAACAAGGACAGCTTAGGGGTTAGAAGCAAGATAGAGTCGGTTAGGTCTGATCTCTTTCACTGTCATAATCTCCTCAGTTACAATCTTGCAAAGGCAGTTTCACTATGACATCACTGAGTGATAGTTTTTCAGGTCCATTATAATCTCATGGGGCCACAGTCATATATACAGTTGGCCATTGACTGTAACATTGTTATGTGGCACATGACCATAATTATAAATATAGTTACGGTAATTGCAAAGTAGCTGGTTGATTTTCCTGCCTGCCCGCCTCAGGAACTTGTAAGAATACTTAGCTGGATCCATGCATAAGGCTTGGTCATCGTTCTATGGTATAATCAGCGGCAGCCTTCAGGACCCAGTATTTCCAAAGAGATGCAGCTCCAATTTGGAATTCTCCCACCCATGTATTGATGGAATTGCATGTCTACCACCTAATGACTAGGGTCACTATCATTTCTTTCCTGAAGTACAGCATCTGACAGGTCCCCCTTAGTCCACCTCTGCCCTCCTACAGTCCCAGGGAAGAGTTCATGCTGCAGTTTGAGAATGAAAGTAGGCTACAGGCAAAATCCTTTCTTCCTCCGTAGATACTCAGTCTGTTTTCTTTTAAGGCCTTCACCTAAGCAGAGTAGGCCCACACACATTATGAGGGATGATCTGCTTTATTCTAAATCTACTGTTTACATAATAATAACATCCATAAAATACCTTCACAGGAGACTCTAGATTGATGTTTGACCAAGTACTGGGTACTTTGGCCTAGCCCAGTCAGCCCATAAAATTAACCATTACAGTTCCTCACTTTCGGTTTGTCTGGCCCTTCTCTTCATCTGGGACCTATGGAGAGCTGTTTATGGAGCTGAACGTTGCTGGTAGCTTGTGTTGAACATTGTGGTTGCTTTTGTTTTTTCTGTAGCAGATACACGTACAGAAGCTAGTAACTAACTTACAAGTTAATGGATTACTAACTTGTTTCTACTTTAGCTTATTACTCAGTCCTTTCTCATCAATAGCTTATTATTGTTCCCATAGCGATGAACTCTTAACAGTCTCATATATTTTTTGAATGGATAAAGACTTGTTTAACTACACATAAGAAACACTTTAGGTTAAAAATATACATTTGAGGCCAGGTGTGATGGCTCATGCCTGTAATCCCAGCACTTTGGGAGGCTGAGCTGGGAGAATGACTTGAGGCCAGGAGTTTGAGACTAGTCTTGGCAAAATGATGAAACCCTGTCTCTACCAAAAATACACAGATTAGCTGGGTATAGTGGTGCATGCCCATAATCCCAGCTACTCGGGAGGCTGAGGTAGGAGAATCGCTTGAGCATTGGAGGTGGAGGTTGTGATAAGCCGAGATCGCGCCACTGCACTGCAGCCTGGGCAACTGAGGGAAACTGTCTCAAAACAAACAAACAAACAAACAAACAAAAAACAAAGAAGAAGAAGAAATAAAATATACATTCAAAATTATTTCACCAAAAGTTATCTGAGATTTAACAACAACAACAATAAGAAAGTATTTTGGACTTGACTAGAAAGCAGGTATTTATTTTTTGCTCCACTATTTGCTATCCAGGTTTTCAACAGCATACTTAAAATTTTATTTTCTGAAGTACTGTTCTTCTTATTGTTATGCTTGGAAATTGCCGTTATCTGAGCAGTTGTTGGTCGGTTATTAACTCTTTTGATTATAGCCTAGTGGAGGCCAAGGTCATGGGTTCAATTCTCACATAGTCCAGTTAGCCCCACTTGCTTTGGGGCCTGCAGCATCTCTCCTAGACTGTCTCTAGCCACTGTGCAAATGAATGTATTGGACCCACAGGGCACTGTAAAAGAATGAATAAATGTGTGCAAATCTGTAGTTATTTGTGGAAAATCAATTGGAAGTTCATACACCCTATTTACAGTATTCAGTAATGTGCACAGAAAAGCGGGGAATATGAGTGCTTTTAAATTGATATCTTCACTAATTTATTTGTGTTTTTCCTTTCAAAAACAGAAGAAAAATACTCCAAGGGAAATCTCTCTTCTAGTCTTTCTCCTAGACATTTTGAATATTTTCCTAACATTCTATATACATTTTTAAAGAGGGACCTTTCATTTTAGTACCAAAATGATCTCTCAAATTTTCCTTCAGAATACCTTCAATGAGGTAAGGAGGATGTCTGTAAGGCACATGGATATAAATATGATTTTACTTTGTGCTTCTAGAACATTTTAGGTTAGGTCATGATTTTGAAAAGGTTTAAAATATCTAGCACACAAGCAAGTGAATTTCTCATTCTGTTTCTTTCCTTTAATTTTTCTTTTTTGAAAGTAATGTTTTAAAAGTGTGATTAGCATTCTGATAAATGGTTGGGGTGGTTTTTGGTTCAATGTTAGAAATTTCAGTTATGTGTTGTATAACTTAGGGTGCTTTGAATGGGGTGATTAAGAAATGACGAGAGGGACAACTATTTGATATATCAATCTTAGGTTGTGCCTTAACAGCAATTCTTAGAACAGGTCGCCTGTCCACATATACACCATGGAATACTATGCAGCCATAAAAAATGATGAGTTCATGTCCTTTGTAGGGACATGGATGAAATTGGAAATCATCATTCTCAGTAAACTATCGCAAGAACAAAAAACCAAACACCGCATATTCTCACTCATAGGTGGGAACTGAACAATGAGAACACATGGACACAGGAAGGGGAACATCACACTCTGGGGACTGTTGAGGGGTGGGGGGAGGGGGGAGGGATAGCTTTAGGAGATATACCTAATGCTAAATGACGAGTTAATGGGTGCAGCACACCAACATGGCACATGTATACATATGTAACTAACCTGCACATTGTGCACACGTACCCTAAAACTTAAAGTATAATTAAAAAAAAAAAAAAAAAAGAACAGGTCGCCTGTTATTTGTTGTTTCCTATTTGTCCACAGCTAATTTTTTGCAATAGAGGCACCTCAGACTTTAAGGGTTTGAAGCTCCTTATCAGCACTACTGCTTCAGCTAATCTGTTACCAGCTTTCCTGACAGGGACAGCTTTTCAGATTTTATCAAGGTTGGTTGAGAAAGAGCCCAGGACTGTTCATCTTTTGTTGAGAACTGAACTCTAAGGGAATCTAGAATTATCTAATTATGCCATTGGGCAGTATGTAGATAAATCTTATTTCTTCTCATTTCAATAAAACAGCTGATGGTAAAGACTCGTTAAAGTTTTGTGTCAGAATCTGGTAGCATGAATTTGTAAACTTTTAGCCATGACTTCCATAGGTTCACAGGTTGGCAAACTGGGTAACACCACATCCCTATATTTTGCAACTATTTTCACATTAGCACAGTTTCTTATGCAGCTTTTTCTTTTTTCATTCTTGTTTGTTCAATATTTTTCTAAATAATTAAAAAGTATGTTTAATGATGTAAGTATTTCATGTAAAAAAAAGTCAGACATTATAGATGAAGCCCAAGTCCCTGTTGACCACTCATGTAGCTTTTCCAGAGGTAATCACAGTTATTATCAGCTGGTGTGTCTTCCCCTGGCCTTTTCTTCATGTATTCATATACACATATGTATAGGGCATACCTACATAGGAATACAGTATGTGTGTGAATATACAGTTAAAAATATATCATTTTGTCCTTGTTTCTATTTTAGATCTTTTAGTGCCCAGAATATCTATTGTTCGAGTTTTGCTACACTTAGTTATATTTATCCATGGATTTTGTCACATTCCAGACTCCCTTTTTCTTATCAGGTTCTCACACATTTCCAGTGACAGACCTTCACAATTTCTTTTTGTTTTGGTTCTACAATATAGCACAATATGATAATGTAACTTTCATATACTTCATCTTATCACTATACATATTCTAATCTCAGCTAGAAAATTAGTGATAGTACATGCAATATTGGCCAGAAAAAAAAGCCTTTTGTTGTAGTTTCAATCATGAAAGTTTTTTTAAGTGTCATGGAATACCAGTTAGGGATTTTTGGAAAGAGGAGATAAAATTTTTAAACTCCTTCCCTTTCCATGAGTCACAGAGGGTTTAATGATCTTGACGATCTCGAGCTATCTTGGAAGATCCATACTCTGAGACAGAATCTTGTTTCATTGAATGGAAGATAGGTCAGTTGGTCAAAAATATCCACCAATGGCCCACTATAGCCAGGCTTTAGATTTTTTCCTAATAAAAGTTGAGTTAAAGTCAGGTATTTGTATATGTTGAATGGAGTAGGGGATTGTTTCAGCCAGGACTTCTGGTTGCAAAACACCCACCCAAACCATTAGATTGTTGAATTCTAAGTCTGCATGCTCTCTTGTTTCTATGTTTTGGTCTTCCACTATCTGTCTTTATACCGGTCTGGTCTTTCCCGTCTCCTGACCCGCTACAGTTTCTTTTCCCCATAACTGCAGCATGTACTTGGCTTTGTCTCACCTTGGTATGGTTTCAAGTTCTCTCTCCGTGACTTGTCAGTTCCAGAACCTAACACTAGTGGGCTCTCTTTGTCTTTGCTTTATCAACGCTTTTATCTACTAATAAACTAGCCGGCAATCCTGATCCAATCGCGTATGTGTTGGGGGTAGGGAATGAAATTACATGGTACAAACATGGATGTCTGGGCTGGTTCCTTGGGTGAGATTATAGGTAAAGGTAGTTGTATTAATCTCTTCTCATGTTGCTAATAAAGACATACCCGAGACCACGTAATTTATAAAGGAAAGAGGTTTAATGGACTCACAGTTCCACATGGCTGGGGAGGCCTCACAATCATGGTGGAAGACAAAGGAAGAGGAAAGGGACGTCTTACATGCTGGCAGACAAGAGAGCTTCTGTAGGGGAACTCCCCTTTATAAAACCATCAGATCTCATGAGACTTATTCACTATCACGAGAACAGCATGGGAAAAACTCGCCCCCAAGATACAATTACCTCCCACCGGGTCTCTCCCATCACACGTGGGGATTATTACAATCCAAAGTGAGTTGTGGGGGATGGGACACAGAGCCAAACCTTATCAGTAGTTTTCAGAGAAGGGGCTATGGATGGGGCAAGTAATCCCAGACGCGTTTACCACTAGGGACACACTCAATTATTTAAGGGAAAAGCACTTTGGTGAATATGGCAAGATAGTTGATTTTTGTTTTCTTGGAAAGAATAACTCTGTCTTTCCTCCTGTGCATAGCACATTGGTACAATAAACTATGTGTCATTCACAGCACAGGCATGGTGTGACTAAAATTATTGGAATGCAGAAACTGATGTGATGATGATACAATTCTCTGTGGGGATGAGATGCAGAAGACGAGGAAGAGAGGAAGCACAGTTTTTCTTTTAATTTCAATAATGTTAGGAAATTTGCAATTTCTATTTTGCAAAAATAGAAGTATGAATTATGTTTTACAGTGTAAGTACCTGGCTTCATGAATCTAACTCTTTCTCTTTCTCACCTGTATATATGATACTTCAACAAGCTCTCCTGGTTCTACCTGTAAAATATATCTTGAATTACTTCTCACCATATTCACTGGCAATATTATTTTTTGCTTAAAATTCTCTAATGTTTACCCAAAATGATTAGATTAATAACCAAACTCCTTATTGTGATGGACAAGAGCTTATGTGAAGCCTATTGTCCAGACTTCATCTCCACCACTCTCACCCTCATCTACTATGTTCCATCACCTATCTCTATCTCTTCCTCCAACAGCTAGGCTCATTCTCACCTCCATGTGTTTTCACTTGCTGTTCCCTCTACCTAGAACTCCTTTTTCCCAGATCTTCACATAGCTCACTCCTTTTCATGTTTTTGGTATGGGTCCAAATATTACTTTCACAGAGACCTTTGCTGACTCTCTGAGCCAAAGTAGCCCTTCCCCTCTCATAACTCTTTATTTAATCATCCTTTTGAATTTTCTTCATAGCTTTTTCACCACCAAAAATGATCTTATTCTATTTTTAGATACCTGTATTTCTTATCTCAGTCTATTCACTCTCAAGAAGGTCCATGATTGCAAGAACATTGTCTTGTTTATTGATGAATCTCCAATGCCTAGGATAATGTCTAGTTCATAACCAGCACTCTAAATATTTGCTGAATGAATGAATAAAAGAACAAATGATGAATGCTGTCATGCTTCACATTCTGTTATGCTGTTTACAGTTGTGTGTACATTTGTAGTAATATATTGGGTGGGGAACACATTTTGAAATGGGGGATCTTATGCGCCCCTGAACCTCCTCAGTGTTACCATTATAAATACAAATCCTGTCTACTTATCTAGAGACACCTGTGTTAGGTCTTCATAGGGGAATTTAACACAATCCATACTGTCTTCGGATGACACAATAAAGAGGCCAGCAACATTGTTTTTGGAGTCAGATCTGGGTTTCAGCACAGGTTCCACAGCATACTAATTTTGCCACTCTAGGCCATTAGCTTAACCAGACATAAAGTACCTGTACAATGTTCAATAATTGGTGTTAATTGTTATGATCCTCACATTGTATAGTACTTTTCTTAAGTAATTACTAACTTTTCTTAGGTAAGTTGATGATGCATTTTGTATATCATGTGTGGTTGCTACCAGCAGATTGGTTAGTTTGAGAGACAGCACTGATGAGAAATGTTTAAAAAAAAAAAGGTTCCAGGTAAATTGGACCACTTAGCCAGATGCTTTTTCAATATATGTAGTCTTCTAAACAAGTTTTCTTACATTAACAACTTTTATCAAGAAGCAAATAGACATCAACAAGCATTTAGTAAATTTACTAGTGTCCTGTATTATGAAATCTCAGAATTTTGTAGTTTGTAAATAAAATATATGAAGCAAAATGAAGGTGGAGATACATAACTTGATTTTTGAAAACAAAAATTAAACAGGTTTGTATGTTTATTCATTTATCAACATTTTATTGCATATCTACTGATGCTAGGCATAGAGTTGTGTTGAAATCACAAACTTATTTGAAATGTATAACCTTTGAATGTTTGAGCCTCAGTAAAGCATCTGGTATAATACTTCTTAATTTTACTTTCAAACGATGCAAATTATTTAAGATACAAAATGTTACTTGGACCAAAACAATTCAGTAATCGGGCAATAATAGTCTTTTCAACAAATAATGGTGAGACACCTCTATATCCAAATGCAAAAGAATGAAGTTGGAGCTCTACCTCACACTGTATGTGAGGTACATAGTTAACTCAAAATGGATCATAAATCTCATGTAAGAGCAATCAAACTCTTATAAGAAAACATAGGAGTAAATCTTAGTGACTTTGTGTTAGACAATAGTTTCTTAGATACGACACCAAAAGCAAAGGTGACCAAAAAAATGGTGAATTAAACTATGTACAATTTTTTTAAAAGTTTGCCCTACAGAGGATGCCATTAAGAAA
This sequence comes from Homo sapiens, assembly GCF_000001405.40. NCBI lineage: Eukaryota > Metazoa > Chordata > Mammalia > Primates > Hominidae > Homo > Homo sapiens. Next base: position 70,373,195 of record NC_000006.12, on the reverse strand, counting down.
GTGAAAAGACAATCCACAGCACAGGAATAATATTTGGAAACCACGTGTCTGATAAGAGATTTATATTCAGAATACACAAAGAACTCATAGAACTCAATAAAAAAAGACGAACAACCCAGTTACAAATAGGCAAAGGATTTGAATAGATATTTCTTTAAAGAAAATATACAAATGACCAGTAAGCACATGAAAAGATGGTTTATATCATCAGGCATTAGGGAAGTGCAAGTCAAGCCACAATGAAATACCATTTCACACCCTCTAGGATGGCAATACAAAACAAACAAACAAACAAACAAACAAGCAAACACAAAAACCCCAGAAATAGTAAATGTTGCCAAGGAGAAATATAGATAAATTGAGATGTTTGTACGTTGCTGGTGGGAATGTAAAAGGTGGAGCTGTTGTGAAAGTTAAGCAGAATTACCAATAACCCAGCAATGCCACTCCTAGGTATGTACTCCAAAATTTGAAAACAAATTCAAACAGATACCTCTACACCAGTGTTCATAGTAGTATGATTCATAATAGCCAAAAAGTAGAAACAATCCAAATGTTCAACTGATTAATGAATAAGGAAAATGTGGGATATCTATACAATGGAATATTTTCAGCCCTAAGAAGGAATGAAGTTCTGATACATACTGAAATACGGATAAATCTTGAAAACATTATGCTAAATGAACAAAATCAGTCACAAAAGACCATATGTTGTATGATTCTATTTATATGAAATATCCAGAATAGGCAAGTCCATAGAGACACCAAATAGATGAGAGGTTGCTGATGAGGTGGGACAGGGAGGGGGATGGATATGACAGCCAATAGACACAGGGATTCTTTCAAGGGGGACAAAAATGTCCTGACATTATGGTGATGGTTGTACAACCCTGTGACTATACTAGCAAGCACTGAATTGTGCACTTTGAATGGCTGGATTTTATGGTATATAAATTTTATCTCAATAAAGCTGTTAAAAATGTTATTTGGAATGAAAATCAGCATGAATATTTATCAATAAAAAGCTAAATTTAAGGCATTTAAATTGCACAATAGATCACCAGATGTTTTCAATTTAAATTCAACTAATTTTTAATCTGTTCCTAATAGTTGCATGCATATATTTACCTGTGTTCATTCCAAAAGTGGGGAAAGGGGGAATCACTGGTTTTAATCCTTCCCTATCCTGTGGTAATTTTTTCATAGCTAAAAATGGATAAATTTCAAGGAATATATTTTATTTTTTACCACCAATTTTCTTCCCTGTTCCCATGTATGACAAATTATAAAATTCTTGTATTCTAAACTTTCATACGGAAAACTTAAATATGATGTAGGGAAATATTATTTATTTATTCTTCTTCTTATCCTCTTTGACCCAAGTTAATACAAACTTTTCTTCTCTATGTCCACCATACAAAGATTCTGTGTTTTGTGTTTTGCTTAAACTACTTTTAAGCCAAGGCTGAGTCTCCAAGTCTATGCCATCTAGTGGCAAGATTGAAGAAATTCTGGTTTCTTTACTAGCTTTAAATGTACAAATGTTGGCAGATGTCCAAGAAATGTTAAGAACCATCAGCAAATTAGTGACTAATCTTTATGTTTACTCTTTAATTCAAAGCAGTGAACTATGTGTTTACATAAAGTTTTTATGACTTTATCAATCTTGTATTTTTTTCAATTTGGCTGCCTGAAATTTAAAACCTAGGAATTCAAGACTTACTAATTTATTGCTAGTTTCTAACCACTTACAATTGAAGCAGGCGAGATTTTACAAAATATTTCTGGGTGCAGTGTAAACAGAAGATAATTGAATAATTTATTATTTTTTTCCAGTAATATTAACTACGTTCAATCTTAAATTCTGATATGTATGTATATCAAATATTGGTTATATTCACTGCTTTAAATTAAACTTTGAGTATAATTTTCCACATTTATATAATGATAGATCTGCATACCATGGGTTTATTTTTATGACTGATGAAATTATGTCTGTCACATTCAAAGCCAAAAATAGTCTGTCCCATTCCTTCCTTAGAATATGTAAAATCCAATATTAGTAATGTCTTTATCTACTGACATTGTAATGAAGCCATTTTTACGCTGTTTTGTAATAAGCATATTGCGTTACTCAGAATATGTCATGCTTACTTCAGAGTGATCTACTTTGATCAAATTGTCAGCATAGAAGTTGCTTTGGGTCAGCTGGTTTTATTCAGCGACAGAAAAATACTATTTTAAAAAATAAAAGTGGAACGTACCCAAGGTAAGTTTAAAGGTGAAATAAAGTACAATTATTTAAAATAGAAATGAGGTGATTTGATTGTGGACTCAGCTCACTTCTGAGTAAATGTTAACTTACTTTCAAAAAAGTTATGTCAGACATGTAGGCAACATGTTCAGTAATATCTTGGATAGGGATTTAAATAAACGCAGCTTCTGGATACTCAGCTGCAGCATTTACATTCAAATGAACCAAAATCTTATTACTGAGGATGAATTTAGAGAGGATAAGCTTAAACCTTAATCCTCAATAAATCATGCTGTTTGGAACGGACACTGGCAAACTATGAATCTTTCCATCACTTTAGAAAATAGATTAGCATATGTGCGCGTTTGTAAATTATTAATGTGTTCATTCTTAACAGGGCTGCACAGGGGTGAAGATGGGGAGGACAGTGAAAACAGCATGTTTAATGCATCATCTTCTTGTCTAAATGCCATTGATTAAGGGCTGCCATGTTTAATTATTGCTAATATTCTCCACAATCCTAAAATTATAGACTGCTAGGTGAGAACCTAAAGAAGGGAACTTAAAGAAGTCATCAAATCTGTCCCTGATATTTGTGGGTCCAGTAGCATTCTGGAGGTAAGAACCTCTTTGTTTTGTTAGGAAACCTCAACTCATGGCTACACAAACTAGCCTGGTGACTGCCATAGCAAACCCTTTGTCCATACCAAGACAATGTTCCTATTTTCACTTTTCTCTCATTTGTGTACATATTAGCTTATTCTTTGGATGTGATTAATCATCATCTCCCCAGTTTTGATAAATTTCCAGTGGAAGTTTCCTGGACATCCACACGGGAAGTAATATTCTAATTTTCTCAGAAAGACCTACACAATTTGCCCTTTTGAGGTCTAGACATCATAGTCTAGTCGCTAGAATGCCAGGGCCAGACCAGCTGGCTAAACTAACTCCAACCCAGAAATCTGTATAAATAAGGACTGTGAAAAAAAAAAGTGAAAAATGTAGGACTATAGAGAAAATGAAATGTTAGCTCTCGTAATGGAAATCTGTGACTTCCATTGAGGCTGTTGTTTGAAAATCTGTAAAGGGAAGAATTTCCCTTAGGAATGAGTATAGAAGGAAAGAAGCAGATGTCCTTGAATTGTTTGTTTGAATATGTTCTTTATTAATGAGATAAAAAGAGGAAATTCAGGAAAGGACTCACAAATGTTAACTGAGAAGTTGTGAAAAAGTCCAGGAGAGACAGCTGTCTTTGAAGCCAAACCAGAGTACAAAGCAGGAAGAGTTGTTAACAGTTCAGAGAAACATGCAGAGGCCAAAAGGGAAAGAACAGAGAAGTCACTGGTTTTGAGTACAAGATTCCTGTCCAAAAGATGGGGCCAACGTAGTCGTTACTGCTTGGCGACAGAAGGGGGCAGCAGAGAGCTGGAAGGGTGGCCCGGTTGAATCAGAAAGTCAATTCAGCAGATCAGAATGCTAGGTTGAAGCTAGGAGAGTCAGAAAGCCTCCCAGTGAGTGTTATAGAAGTGCCAGATGGGCTGATAAAGTGGTTAAGGCCTGCAGAGGAAGCTACCAGCACAGTTTTCTAGCCCTAGAAAGCCTTTCTTTAAAAGACCATTCAAATACTCACTTTAGCATGACTGGGGGATGAATGGCTCAGGTCCTAAGAAAGCAAGCAGACTAGCACTTTTTCCAGAACTTTTATCCATATTCATCTATATTAAGGGTGCAACACCATCAGTGATGTTAATAGTGGCAAATAAACTGCTGCCTTTCTATTGGTTGCTTGTGAATATCATCAGGCTTCCATATAGGCGCCTCTCATCATTCAGTATTATCTCTTTTTGAAAAATTTATTTATTTATTTCAGATGGAGTCTCACTCTGTTGCCCAGGCTCGAGTGCAGTGGTGAGATCTCAGCTCACTGCAACCTCCACCTCCGGTGGAGTGATTCTCCTGCCTAGGCTCCCAAGTAGCTGGGATTATAGGCACCTGCCACCATGCCCAGCTAATTTTTGTATTTTTAGTAGAGATGGGGTTTCACCATGTTGTCCAGGCTGGTCTCACACTCCTGAACTCAAGTGATCTGTCTGCCTCCGCCTTCCAAAGTGCTGAGAATACAGGTGTGAGGCATCATGCCCAGCCCATTCAGTATTATATCTGAATGTCATACTTGACTTTGATTTTGGCATGACTGCTGCTGAACTTCCACCTGCCTCATTTCAGAATAATTTCACAAGCAAGGCTAAATGACTTAAGTACTCCAAAAGGAATCTTTTCATTGGTTCTGGCCAATGCTTTTGTCATACTTGTTCCTGGAAGTGTGATGGACAACAGCATCATTTAGACCAAGATCAAGTCCATGCTGGTGAGCTAAGGTAGGGAAGAGGAGGGCCGTAGTGCTAGGAAAGGAGGGTTTAGCCTCTTTATATTCTGTGAAGTGCAGCACTTCTTAGCTAGATAGATTAACTATTTCATTTTGTCTGCCAGGAATGGGCAGCTGTGGCTTAATCATTGACTGAAGCCAGCGGAAGTTGAAGGCCCTGTAGGTGGTGGTTGGTTCGTTGTTGATGGATCTACTGGATGCTTATTGAGTTCTGCTAGCAGTGGTGCACTTAAACCAGCTTGTACTAACTTCTGAGAACCAATTGTTAGCATCTCCATTATACCACAGTGGTAGCTTGAAATCAGCCACAGAAGCATACTTACACTATAGAAACTGGAAAACCCTACAGATGAGCTCCCTGTTCCATTCCTTCCCTGCATACTGGCTGTTAAACATTTGCCAGCACACCACTGGCTATGCAACAAGTACAATGCTAGACCCCTATTCTGTCATTGGCAGAGATAATAGTATTACCTCATTCTTTTTATGTCTTCTCTTGTTTTTTTCTTATTAGAACATTCAAAGATGTTCAGTATTATAAACTATTGAAGTGAAAAATTACCATTTTCCCACCTGCCCTCCGACCTTATAGTCATTGGATGTTGTGTGTGTATGTGTGTTCCTGAAGGCCCTACTTCTAATATGAGGCCAAACAGTTTGAATCTGGTGTGAGAGCTGGCTGTGTGGCACACAGGCAACTTCAAACAAAGTCGATTAGTGGACAAGAAATCTAGTGTTGACTTTGCCCTTAGTTAATTTGGGTGAGACAAATCTTCACCAAGACATAGTTACTTAGAGGGGCTTTGTCTAGCAAACTCCACTTATTTCTGCTCTAAAATTCTGAATTACATATCTAATTTTCTTTTGGACTGTCAAGTATCTATATACTTAGGGAGAGTATCAGTCATCATCTCTAAATAATTTGCTCCAAGCCTCCATTTATACTAAATCACTTTTTGTTCTCCCAAACATGCTATGTTAAGACTCTGGGCCTTTGCATTGAACGTTCCCTTTTATGGAATGTCCTGCCCTCCCTTCTGTCCATCTGACAAAATCCTACTCCTCTTTGAAGGGTCACCTTATATGTGACCAGCATATTGTAAAGCCTTCCAGGACTCTCTCAGCAGACTTTAGTGTCTCATGTCCCTCTGCTGTTTCTTGGAGTCCTGGCAGCTCTCTCCCACTGAACTGACACCATTGGAGACTGTGTAGAAATGAATCTGGGTCTATGTATGGGCACTCCAGAGAATTCCTACAGGCCCCATCTCTTCTTTATCCTCTTGAATCCATTTGCTCTTTCTAGTTTGGCTGAGCTTTGGATTCTGTTTCTGCTTGATTTTTCACTTCTCTGCTCTTCACTCTCCTTTGGACTTGATGTGTTAGAGGATCTCTGTGGATGTTACTTTTGTTACATTTTGTTCCTGAGCTCTCAGGACCCTTTCTCTCATCCCAGTCTGATACCTTTCTCCAATTTCTGAAATATCAAGCACAGCCATAGACCTAGTTTCCCACCTGCTTGACAGGGGAGTTGTTATAAGAGTTTGGAAATACCTTAGGGAGGAGGCTATTCTTTCATCTATGTGTCCTGAGTGCCTATAATCATGTCTGGAACATAGAAGTGTTCAATGAATGTTTGTTGAATGAATAAATAAATGTATAGGATGAGGAGAACTTACCCACCTAAGGACCTGACTTAGGGGACGAGAGTGAAATGCAAGCTTGATCTCACCTCTTGAATACTGGTCATTGAGCTTAACTTTTGCCCTAAAGATGGATGATTGTCAGCCTTTTGTAGGACCTCAAGAAGGATTTGAAGAAACTAGATATTTTTACCAGCAAAATAATTCACAGCACACAAATGATTGCACAGAATTTCAGTGCTTTCAGAAGTCCTCTGGAAACCTTTTTGTGAACGCCAGGTAAATATCCCCTGTTATACACATTGAGGAGGCATTACAAGTTTTTAAATCTGGGAATGACATGATGAAGATAATGCTTTAAGGAGGTGTTTAGTTTAGACAGGGGCTGGGAACTCTAAAGAGCTAGGAATTCTGGGTGTAAGGTGATGTGGGGCTTGAATAGAGTGTGAGACAGTGTGAGTGAAAGAAGTGGGCAGATATGAGATATTCGAAAGGAAGGAGAGAGGGGCTTGATTATTAACTGTATGAAAACCAATAGATAATTATTCTGTACTCTTGAAATAAGATCCCTGAAGATGCTAAAGTCTGATCTGTTGATAAGATAACTGACACAAAACCCACCACCTGTTTTTAAAGAGTGATATTGTCACATATAAAATAAATTAATATTTCCAAATCTGTTGAGGGATTTATTGGGAACAGTCAGTTTGCATGGCTACATGTCCACTGACTTGGTCACTGTGGGTTTGGGAATTTAGTGGGAGGGAGCAGAAGTAGAAGGAAAGTGTATCTTACAACTTAACAAAAATTTTAAACTGGTAACTTTCCCTTCCTCCCTCTATCCCTCCTTTTCTTATTTTCTTCCCATCTCTTTAATATAAGGCAGAATATATTTTTCTGTAAATTGTTTTTAAAACCTTTTTTTTCAAATGCTATGTATCTTTTTCTTCTATTTGATGCTCAATTCAAACAAAATCTCTTTCTGTAAAACCTATGCATAATGCTGTTGGACTTCTGTTGAGTTCAGGTTGGTAAGCTCTCTCATACCTCAGTAATTCCAAATCTGAATTTATGATATTGCTAGTGTGCATGGAGCATGAATAACTCTGTCTAGTACTGCATTAAAAACATGTAAGATTTAGAAGATATCAGGCTTAGCATAAATTAAGAATAGGTATTACATGTGGCCTGTAGGGATAAAGCCGAATAAATTTAAGTGTGTGAGAGAAGATTAATATAAGCTCAGTCACTTGGAAATTGCTTTGATTACACTTCTGTCAGAAGGTGGCTAAAAATGGTCCCTTTTGCGGCTTATTACATTTTCTGCAACTTTCAATCATTTCCCCCTTCTGTTTTTTGGTTTCTTCTCCCATTTCACTTTCCTTTGCTCTTGTCTCTGAGCAAAGACACCTTCTAAGATGTATCTCTTCATTTGAGTCCTTAATCTCAACCTTTCACTTCTCTTCATGAGAACAGATCTGTCTATTAGCTCCCCTGTTTCTTGCATTGCCTGTTTCTTTCTTTACTGGTTCCTTCTCAACTATTTATAAGCAAGCTCACACAACTTGTTATTCTCTCATACAATCATTCTCTCTTCTTCCTTTCTCTGTTTAGATATCTCCAGTGTAGCCCATTCTTTGCCTCCTGTGCCTCACTTCCAGATCTATTTTTGTCTTAATCACAATAGGCTAGATTATGTCATAATAACAAAAAACTGCTGAGCTCTCAATGGCTTAATGAAACAGAGACATATCTCCCTTTACATTGCAGTCTGTTGCAGGCTGGCCTGGTAGCTCTCCTACACCACTTCCCTTCCAGCGGCAACCCAGGGGCCAGGCTGCATCCAGCTTAACACTGCCATGTTGGAGTTGAGTGCTTTGTGTTTAATCAGCTAGCCTTAGGAGAGAGTCAACATGCAGAAGTCACACTTGATTTTAACTGCTATACCAGAAGGGACACCTCATCTCCCCTACATTCCATTGGTGAGAACATGGAAATTTGATGAACACTACTGGTTTTGGTCTCAGCCACTATTTCCATTTGTTCAATATCATATTTCTGCTCCTATGGATACAACGATAGAGGCAGGAGGCAGAGAAATTCTAGGCAGAAAGGGCGGGTCCCTGGCAAATGCCCCACCCTCCAGCTGAAAAGCCTGAAACCGCAGCCAGAAGTGAGAACTTACATCCCTGTTTTCCCACTTGAATGTTGCCTTTTCCAAAACCACTCATTGCCTGCCCTGCCCTCCATCCTGGGCTTATAAAAAACCTCATACCCAGCTGACAGAGAGAGGAGAAGCAGCTGGACATCAGAGACTATAGCTGGATGTCGGGGAGAAGCGGCTTGATTCCAGAGGGACAGCTTGACCGTGTAACTTGGGAGAAGAATCTGGTTGGAGACTCCTGGACTTCAGGAGAAGATTACCTTCCAGCTCTGTCCCCTTTTCAGCTCCCCTTCCCACTGACAGCCATGCCCATCGGCAATAAAATTTCCCACATTTACAATCCTTCAATTTGTTCATGTGACCTCATTCCTCCTGGACGCCACAGAAGAACTCAGGAACCACGAGTGCAGATACAAAAGGCTGTCACACTGACCCTTTGCCCTCTCTGGCAAAAGGCAGCTGCCTCACACCAAAAGGTAGAGGGTCCACTGAGCTGTTAACACTTAAGCTGTCTGTGGACAGCAGCACTAAAAGAGCACTGTAACACTCCCTCTGGGACTTCAGGGGTCACAGGTACCCTCCCAGATGTTGCTGTTGGGGCCTGCACAGACTTTGCTCCTGCTCACACCCAAAAGTGCTTGCCCTGGCTCCTGCACCTGCTCACCTGCATGCGCCTTCCCACGAGGGGTGGAGCGCAGTGGCTCCAAGTGAGTGGAATTTGCCACTGCCAGCACTGAAGTGGCTGGCTAGTTCCAGTGCCCGGGCACACAATTTCCCACCTTATTCGCTTGCGTGCTCCCTCCTGCGAGGAGTTGAGAACTGCAGGCTGAGGAAACAAGGCACCCCCTTTGTGAGTCCCATGAAGGGGCCAGGGAAATATCCTGCTTCACTACCTCTTTGAAAGAGTGAAATAACACACAGTGGCCTGGGTACCTCCACATCCTTCACGATGCAGCTGACTAGAGGTCTGGAAAGCAAGGATATGAATATAAATTGAATACTGTATAAGATCTAAAATATTAAACCGACCTAGACTTAACTGGATTTTTTTAATATTCGAAGTCACCAGAAAGCTATGGGATCTACCCAAGATGTTGTAAGGGGTCAGGAAAGGGAGATTTGACAAAGTAAGTCCGAAAGCAGTGAAAGGGAAGAAAATAAAACCATTTTATGTTTGTACTTTATTGGGTTCAAGACAATCCAATATGAAACCTGCATTTAGTTTACAGAATAATGAAAAATATAATTAGATATAAATAAAAGCATATATTTTTCATTGTTAGATTTAAGCTGTATGAGGAAACAAAAATTAATAAAGTTATTCTTTTGTCTGTGAATAAGCTTAAACAATGCCTTTATTCAGTTTAGATAACACAAAAGGGAACTTAATCACATTTTAAATCACATTCAAAGATAGAGCTTCTAAAAATAATTGAAGTTTGGTGAATGTCTTTCTGCTAAGAGTGCTGTGAAACTCTCATAATTAGATTAATGTGGTTAATCCCCCTGGAGTATTACAGTGAGTGTGAATCAGCCCTAATAATAAAATACATTACATCTAAACAAACTAAATGCCTTTTAATGTACTCTCAATGACCTCCTGAGTGAAGTTTTCAAATTTTTATAAATTTTCATTCACGCTTTTAACTTCTAGGGGCTTGAGCATGAATTATGATTCAAAGACAGAGTTTGATTAATAATGTACGGCTGTGGACAATTAAAAAGAACTCTTCCTTTACGGAAAAAAACACTTCAGGTATGACGGCAGTATCTCAGATAATGTTCAGAGGGCAGAAACGTGCCTGATACTTCATATCAACTCTCTCCTTTCTTAAGTCATCTCACTACTCTTGGGAAACGACTTGATTTTTAAAGATTGCTGGAGAAAAGGATTTCAACATCCCAGTTTAACCATCCTTCCTGCTACAACTAAAATTGTACATTATTAATTATACTGAACATTCTTCATTATGTATTTCTTAAAGTTAAGTCTATTAAATTCTTATAATCTTTCTTATTTATTATTCGTGTAAATTCTTTTGTTTGCTTTTTTTTTTTTTTTTTTTGAGATAGGGCCTCACTCTGTCACCCAGGCTGGACTGCAGTGGTGTGATCTTGGCTCACTGCAACCTCTGCCTCCCAGGTTCAAGTGATTCTCATGCCTCAGCCTCCCAAGTAGCCAGGATTACAGGTGTGTACCACCATGCTTGGCTAATTTTTTTGTATTTGTAGTAGATACAGGATTTTACCATGTTGACCAGGCTGGTCTCAAACTTCTGGCCTCAAGTGATCCACCTGCCTCAGCCTCCCAATGTGCTGGGATTGCAGGCATGAGCCACCGCGTCCGGCCATTTGTATAAACTCTTTATACATTAATCATTTAAAATCCCTTTTCCCCTCTGGAAGACACAGACTTTATTTATTATGAAATAGCTAATTTTGGGGATCTAAAATAATGTCTGGCTTGGAAAATTATTTATATGATTTTAAATGTAAGAGAACCCTACAAGGATATATATGACACCAACTAATCTTACAGAGCTTAAAGAACTCAGAAAGCTCACTTGGTTAGTGGGAAAGCTAGGAATCAACTGATTTTCAAGCCAGTGCTTTGTGCCTTATATTGTAATTTCTCCATTGTGTGTGCACCTTTTTATTAACCGAGTTGATGGAAAGTATTATAGACAAGTGGCTTAGAGGATAAAGACAAAGTAAAATCCAAATTATTGTTTATAATTATGCACTAATTTGTTTATTTGATTAATATCTGTTTTAACCACTAACTTGTAAGCTGCAAGAAAGCATTAATTACATTTTAAGTTATATCTTGATAACAGGCATACATACAACTGTCCTTTTAAAAATAGACATTTAATTTAGCAACTTATAACTCAGCTTTAAATATTTTCTCTAAGGAGTGTCAATGTATTGGCAATTTCGTAGATTATTTCCAAGGTCTGAATTTTGTGAACTCTTCTTTTCATAAAGTCATCCTTTGAAGTAATTACTGAACTTTATATATATCTAAATGTCATCAAAAGAGCAGCATTTTTAATACTCTCTTGAATTTCTGATACTGTGCTAAAGGATCTTTTAACTGTAATACTTGTTAATTACATCACTTTATTTTTTTTATTTTTTATTTTTGGTGACAACTTTTTTATTTAATTTCCTCATGACCAAACAATAGTGCTTCTTTCATCTGAATTGAAAGACAAGGTTGTCAGAAAATCTGTAAACTGTTTCCATACAAATCCCTAAGTACTGTGATTAGTGCCTCTGTCCAACTTTTTTTTTTCTTTTTCTTTTTTTTTTTTTATTATACTTTAAGTTCTAAGGTACATGTGCACAACGTGCAGGTTTGTTACATATGTATACATGTGTCATGTTGGTGTGCTGCAGCCATTAACTTGTCATTTACATTATGTATATCTCCTAATGCTTTCCCTCCCCGCTCCCCCCATCCCACGACAGGCCCTGGTGTGTGATGTTCCCCTTCCTGTGTCCAAATGCTCTCACTGTTCAATTCCCACCTATGAATGAGAACATGCGGTGTTTGGTTTTTTGTCCTTGCGATAGTTTGCTGAGAATGATGGTTTCCACCTTCATCCAGGTCTCTACAAAGGACATGAACTCATCATTTTTTATGGCTGCATAGTATTCCATGGTGTCTATGTGCCACATTTTCTTAATCCAGTCTATCATTGATGGACATTTGGGTTGGTTCCAAGTCTTTGCTATTGTGAATAGTGCCACAATAAACATACACGTGCATGTGTCTCTATAGCAGCATGATTTATAATCCTTTGGGTGTATATCCAGTAAAGGGATGGCTGGGTCAAATGGTATTCCTAGTTCTAGATCCCTGAAGAATTGCCACACTGTCTTCCACAATGGTTGAACCAGTTTACAGTCCCACCAACAGTGTAAAAGTGTTCCTATTTCTCCACATCCTCTCCAGCACCTGCTGTTTCCTGACTTTTTAATGATCGCCATTCTAACTGGTGTGAGATGGTATCTCACTGTGGTTTTGAGTTGCATTTCTCTGATGGCCAGTGATAATGAGCATTTTTTCATGTGTCTGTTGGCTGCATAAATGTCTTCTTTTGAGAAGTGTCTGTTCATATCCTTCGTCCACTTTTTGAGGGGTTGTTTGTTTTTTTCTTGTAAATTTGTTTGAGTTCTTTGTAGATTCTGGATATTAGCCCTTTGTCAGATGAGTAGGTTGCAAAAATTTTCTCCCATTCTGTAGGTTGCCTGTTCACTCTGATGGCAGTTTCTTTTGCTGTGCAGAAGCTCTTTCATTGAATTAGATCCCATTTGTCAATTTTGGCTTTTGTTGCCATTGTTTTTACTAGAGGTACAAGGAGAAGCTGGTTCTATTCCTTCTGAAACTATTCCAATCAATAGAAACAGAGGGAATCCTCCCTAACTCATTTTATGAGGCCAACATCATCCTGATGCCAAAGCCTGGCAGAGACACAACCAAAAAAGAGAATTTTAGGCCTATATCCCTGATGAACATTGATGCAAAAATCCTCAATAAAATACTGGCAAACCAAATCCAGAAGTACATCAAAAAGCTTATCCACCATGATCAAGTGGGCTTCATCCCTGGGATGCAAGGCTGGTTCAACATACACAAATCAATAAATGTAATCCAGCATATAAACAGAACCAAAGATAAAAATCACATGATTATCTCAATAGATGCAGAAAAGGCCTTTGACAAAATTCAACAGCCCTTCATGCTAAAAATTCTGAACAAATTAGGTATTGATGGGACGTATCTCAAAATAATAAGAGCTATTTATGACAAACCCACAGCCAATATCATACTGAATGGGCAAAAACTGGAAGCATTCCCTTTGAAAACTGGCACAAGACAGGGATGCCCTCTCTCACCACTCTTATTCAACATAGTGTTGGAAGTTCTGGCCAGGGCAATCAGACAAAAGAAAGAAATAAAGGGTATTCAATTAGGAAAAGAGGAAGTCAAATTGTCTCTGTTTGCAGATGACATGACTGTGTATTTAGAAAACCCCATCGTCTCAGCCCAAAATCTCCTTAAGCTGATAATCAACTTCAGCAAAGTCTCAGGATACAAAATCAATGTGCAAAAATCACAAGCATTCTTATACACCAATATCAGACAAACAGAGAGCCAAATGATGAGTGAACTCCCATTCACAATTGCTTCAAAGAGAATAAAATACCTAGGAATCCAACTTACAAGGGATGTGAAGGACCTCTTCAAGGAGAACTACAAACCACTACTCAATGAAATAAAAGAGGACACAATGAATGGAAGAACATTCCATGCTCATGGATAGGAAGAATCAATATCATGAAAATGGCCATACTGACCGAGGTAATTTATAGATTCAGTGCTATCCCCATCAAGCTACCAATGACTTTCTTCACAGAATTGGAAAAAACTACTTTAAAGTTCATATGGAACAAAAAAAGAGCCCACATTGCCAAGACAATCCTAAGCAAAAAGAATAAAGCTGGAGGCATTATGCTACCCGACTTCAAACTATACTACAAGGCTACAGTAACCAAAACAGCATGGTACTGGTACCAAAACAGAGATATAGACCAATGGAACAGAACAGAGCCCTCAGAAATAATACCACACATCTACAGCCATCTGATCTTTGACAAACCTGACAAAAACAAGAAATGGGGAAAGGATTCCCTATTTAATAAATGGTGCTGGGAAAACAGGCTAGCCATATGTAGAAAGCTGAAACTGGATCCCTTCCTTACACCTTATTCAAAAATTAATTCAAGTGGATTAAAGACTTAAATGTTAGACCTAAAACCATAAAAAGCCCAGAAGAAAACCTAGGTAATACCATTCAGGACATAGGCATGGGCAAGGACTTCATGTCTAAAACTCCAAAAGCAATGGCAACAATTGCATCACTTTAAAGTTGACAAGTGAATCAATGAGACACCTTACAAACTGGGAGTGAGTTTGACGAAACAGTCTATTGATGTCTTTCATTGATGGCTCATTCAACCTGCAATTGGTCCCACTCTGAAGTTTAAGAGATAATTGAAGGAAGGTATCACTCCAAATGAATTATGGACTTTTTGTGTTTTTTTTCACTTGGTTTTCTTTATTTTAAATTGTAAAAGAATTCATTAATATAGTCTCAATGTAAAAAGTTAAATAGAACAGCAGCTACAGAACAAAAACTAATTTTTTCCTTAATAATTTTATTAGTAATTATACTTGGCCATAACAAAATACCATAGACTGAATGGCTTAAATAATAGAAATACATTTTTTTCACAATTCTAGGGGCTAAAAGTCTGAGATTAGGGTGCCAGCATAGTCAGGTTCTGTCAAGGGCTCTCTTTCTCCCTTGTAGATGGCCAGCTGCCTTCTCACTGTGTTCTCACATGGTGGACAGAGATGACAAGATCTCTCTTCTCATAAGGACACTAATTGCACCATGAGGGTCCCACAATCATGAACTCATTTAAACCTAATCACCTCCCAAAGGCCATATCTCCAAATAACATCACATTAATGGCTTCAGCATATGAAGTTTTGGGGGACACAATTCTGCCAGTAGCAATAACATTGACAAATATTTACATAGTATATGCTAATTTATAGAGCGCATATTATGCCAAGATCTGTCTTAAGCAATTGTGCATGCACACATACATTTTATAGATGAGGAAACTGAGAGATGTAGAGAAAACACACAGCTGGGAAGTGGCAGAGCCAAAACTTAAATTTAGAAGGTTTGGTAACAAAGTCTATGCCCTTGAGCACTACTCCATAAAGCTTCCCTATAGCCCTCCTCAGAGGTTAACACTGCCAAGTGGCATACATTCTTCTAGGCCTATTTATAGATCTTTATTTTTGCTCTGTTTTTGGTCACTAAATTCATCGGGAGACTAATGTTGTAGCAAGTGGCATATAAAACAGGGTTTGCTGAGTCTTCTGGACTGCTTCTCCACCTAATTGTCTCATTAATGCTACCAAGACTTCAGATTTCAAACAAACAATACTTCATCATGGAAGCCACCCTGAATCTCCAACTGCTTTATTCTAAAAAGGAAGAAAATGAGATCCATAGAGGTTAATTAATTTCCTCCAAAGAGGCATCCTTGCTCTTTCATGTCAGAGTTAGGACTAGAATTCAGGCCTTTTGATTTAGCCAAGAGCTCTTTTTCAGTACGCCATTTTGATCTTCTGGGACACGAACTCACCACTTATGACTCAAGGGAGAAACTCATAAGAGTACTGCTGTCTTGTGATTTGGCCAATCTTGGAGAAGCACATTTTAAATCTTAAATTTGTGAATTGATTATTCTAAAAAGGAGCAGCAAATAATAGAGGGAATGCCAGCTTTCAGCATAAGCACAAAATAAATTTTTGAAATTCCTTCTGTGAAAGACAAAGCCATTTAAAATGATCTTTTGATTATAATTTACATGAAAGTATGGGATTATTATTATTATACTATTAGACAGTGAGGATCAACTCCTTTAAATGATTTTAATCTCTGGATGTGAATATGTATTAGATGCTTATTGCTGCCGTAACAAATTGTCACAAACGCAACAATTTAAAATAACTAAATGTATTTCACTATTATATAGGTCAGAGGTCTGGTAGGCTCAGCTGGCTTTTCTGCTCTGGGTACCACCATTGCACCATTTGCACCATTGCACTCCAACCTCAGTGACAAGAGCAAAACTCCAATGGTACAATCTCAGCTCACTGCAACTTCTGCTTCCCCAGTTCAAGAGATTCTCCTGCCTCAGCCTCCCAATAGCTGGGATTACGGGCACCTGCCACCATGCCCAGTTTTTTTTTTTTTTTTGTATTTTTACTAGAGATGGGGTTTCACCATGTTGGCCAGGCTGGTCTCAAACTCCTGATCTCAGGTGATCCGCCCACCTTGGCCTCCCAAAGTGCTGGTATTACAAGCATGAGCCACCACGCCCGGCCTTATATCCCTATTTTAATGTCCATAACTGTAATCACATTGGCAAAGTCCCTTCCCTTTTACAATCTAAACTAACTGTTTTTCTGGAAATTAGGATATGGAAGTCTTTGGAGAGGGTGGTGGTGGTGGTAATTATTCTGCTTACCACAGTCCACCTTATGGCCCTTAAAGATTCATGTCTATTTCATACACAAAATACATTTATTTCATCCCAAAATCACCAAAGTTCTCATCCCATTACAGCATCAATTTAAGTTCAAAATCTCGTCTAAATTCCATGAGCTCTAAAACCCCAAATCTAATCACCCAAATAATTTAAATTATATGTAGGTAGAATCTGGGTATAATCTTCCCTGAAGCACAGTTCCTCTCAATCTTTGGACCTGTAAAACTAAAAAAAAAAAAAAAAAAAAGTTATCTGCTCCAAACATACAACAGTGGGATAGGCACAGGATAACACTTACAGATATTCACATTCAAAAAGGGAGAAAGATGGGAGAATAAAAGGAATCACTGGTTCTAAGCAATTAAAAAACCCAGCCGGGCAAACTCCATTGGATTTCAAGGCCTGGAGAAAAAAATGTTCTGTGGTTCTTGATTCTTCCCTGTGAGTCACACTTTTTTTGTTTAGGAAAGGCAACACATGTTCGCAACAGGGTAGTTTTATCAGTCTGTGTCTTAGTCCATTCAGATGCTGTAATAAAAAGACCATATCCTGGGTGACTTACAAACAATAGAAATCTATTTCTTATAGTTCTGGAGGCTGGGAAGTCCAAGATCAATACACAGGTTTAGTGTCTGGTGAGGGGCTATTGCTTATGGACGACATCTTTTTGCTGTATCCTCACATGGTGGAAGGGCAAGGCAGGCTCTGAGGTCTCGTTTATATGGACACTAACCCCGTTCATTAAGGCTCTGCCTTCATTACCCAACCCCCTCCACAAAGGTCCCACCTCCTAACACTATTGCCTTGGGGATTAGGATTTTAACATAAATTTTGAAGGGACACATATGTTCAGACCATAGCAGTCTGTTTTCTGCAGGTAGAATTTTTATGGACTGACAGTTTTTGAAAATTTTGTACTCTCTATCTCTTTCAGTCCTAGCTGGCAGAATTTCTGTTGTCTTAATATTCTTAGGAACTTTGTGAGTCTCCCATGTATGTCATGGGATTCACCTTGTACACAGATCTTTCCTAGATAATACCATCTTTATTTATGGCTTCTGTTGAGATGGCCAAGGAGATTGATCTGTCACACTTTTGATCTCTTCAAGTAGTCTTTTGTGTAACTAAATATTACAACCTTTTGAGTTTTCTGAGGTATTACCAAAAGGTTTTACAGACACATCCTGGGCTCTTTTTTTATAACATGACTTCCTGACAGTGAATCTCTTAATTTTAGTCTGTTTCCATTTAAATAGGTGTAGAATTTATAAAATCACCAAGTATTGGTTTCTTTTTAATAGGTCCACCCTCAATTTCTCTCTCTCATCTTTCATTTCACTATAAGCTGCAAGAAAAAACAGGTCATACCTTCACCATGATGCTTGAAAATTTCCTCAGCTAAATGACCAGATTTGTCACTTACAAAGTCTGCCTTCAGCATAACTGCAGAACACAATATATATAAGCTTTCTGCTTCTATATAACAAGGATTCTCCTTCCTTCAGTCTCCAATATTGGGTTCCTCATTTTCTTCTCAGAGATCACCAGAGCATCCTTCAAGTCCACATTTCTACTAATAACCTATTCAAGGTAATCTAGGCTTTTTCTACCATGCTCCTAAACGTTTTTAGTATCACCACCCACCACCTGATTATAAGCTATTTCCACATGGTTAGGTATTTGTTATAGCAGTACCTCATTCCTGGTAACAGAATCAGTATTTGTTTTCTTTTTTCTTTTTTTTTTTTTGACAGAGTCAAAGTCTCTTTTGCCATGTAATAAAACATTCACAGATTCTGGAGATTAGAGCGTGAAAATCTTTGGGGGATCATTATTCTGTCCACCACAGAATCCCACAAATCTCCCAAGACATGGCTAAGAACAGGGAAGGAGGTGGGAACTGAAATAAAAATAGTCCCTAGGAGCCAAAGGAAATTGGGAAGGATTCAGTAGGGTTTATGGTCCTCAGTTTCAGAGTAATTCCATAGGATAGAGGCTGAGAGGACTGAGCAACCTCTCTTAGCAGCCTAACAGTCCAGAAAGGCCTTTCTGGTTTGACTAATGAACACAAGGAAGGTAAGTCTAGGCAGCAAAGAAGCTCAAGTGAAAAAAAAAAAGGCTCTATCTTTAGTCATTATAAATGCATCTGATCAGAAGTTTGACAGTGAGAGTAGGGAGATAGGGCAGCCCCTGCCCTCTAACCCGGCAGCTTGATAGAAGTTGCAGACACCAACATGTAAATCATATTAAGATAGGCTGTGATACCTAAATAGAAGACTTCTGAATCCTGGAAGAGTGTGCAGGAATCTATTTAAGGATGCTGCCATTTCCATCTGCTATAATTTAAATTACTTTGAAGTGTGATATTTAAACTTTTACTAGAAAATTAATCAAAGAATCTCATTCATTTCAGTTTGCTTTTCTGTGGTGTTGGCTCACCAGTACAGAAATGTGATAAGATACCATATTTAGTTTAGCACTTAAGTCAAAGTTACAAGGCTCTCTTAAGTATATATACTGATGTTAGTGTGTTCATCATCATTTTCCTGCCCTGATGGCTTGCTTTCTAAATGGGACTCATTTCAAATCCCTTCCACAGGGAGAAATAAAAGTAATTTAGAATTTAAAACAAGCCAGTATCTAGTAGTTCACACAACATGTTTAAGCAGGAAGCTAAATCTTAAATTAACAAAATTTATTCCAGTTATCAAGAAATTGGCCCTAGGCCATAGTGATAACTGAAAGGTTTCTTTTGTTTTGTTTTTCATTTTGTTTTTGGTGGTGAAATAAAGATTGTGGTCAGGTAATTTTCTGGTTAATTTCTTCCCATTGTCCCCTTTGTAATGCTCTGTGTGTGTGTGTGGGTGTGTGTATGTGCATGTGTGTGTGTGCGTGTGTGTGCGTGAGAGAGAGAGAGAGACAGTTGGCCTCCCTCTTGGCTGGCCTTCCTTCCTTCCTTCCTTCCTTCTTTCCTTCCTTCCTTTCCTCCTTCCCTCCCTCTTTCTATTTTTTTTTTTTTTTTTTTTTGCTCTGTTGCCCAGGCTGGAATGCAGTGGTGCCATCATGACTCACTACAGCCTTGACCTTCTCTAGGCTCAAGCAATCCTCTTGCCTCAGCTCCCTGAATAGCTGGAACTACAGGTGTGTGCCACTATGCCCGGCTAATTTTTAAAAATTTTTTGAGGAAATGGGGTCTCAGGATGGTCTCAAACTCCTGGGCTCAAGCAATTCTCCAGCCTCAGCCTCCCCAAGTGCTGGGATTACAGGTGTGAGCCACGTTGCACCTGGCCAATTTTTCTTATTTATGTTTTTGCTAAAGAGGTAGTCCTTAATATTTTTACGTGCTGGTACTTACTTCTTGGTAACAAGTCTATCCCAGAACGCCATTTAATCTTACATGGGACTGACTTTTCTTTATTATGCCATGGTTATCTGGGACAGTGTAGAACAAATCAGGGAAGTGGGGAGTGTGTCTTTTGGCTTACCAAAACACATACTGTTTAGTTTTCCTATCATTCGTAAGGGGTGGCATACCTACATTTCCTATCATATGCTGCAAATTTCTTCCTGGAGTTCACATTATTGCATTAAATTTCATCAGGAAAACATTAGTGTAGAATCTTTACAGCAGTACTGTTCAATAAAACTTTCTGTGGCAATAGAAGTGCACTGTAATCTGCCACCAACAGTTTGGGCCCAGATTCCATGTTGAAGGCAGAGGTTTCAGAGATTTAAGACTCTTGAGCACTGGTTAGTGTGCTATTGGGAAGTCATAAGTCTCACCTGGGGCCACTTGTCATTTGCTTCTCACCCTGTGGCAGGGTCTCTTTTGTCAGTGTCCCCTAGTCACCTCGAGCCTACAGGCCCACCTTGCCTGGTGGCAGTTGCTGCAGATGACTTGAAAGCACAAGAAGGTAATGATAATTTTTTAAAGTTGTTTGTGGAATGAGGTGAGAGGTGACCTTTCCTTATATAGGTACCCCACCACTGAAACCTCAGTCGGTTCTATTAATCATGAGTGTTCTCTGGGAGTGGACTTTTATTTGGGGGGGAATTGAAAGTTGATAAAAGGCTTGGATTTTTTGTTAAAATTGATGCCTAGTGAATTAAAGACACACTTGTAGATGTGGAAATCATCTGAGTCCTAGGATGGGCTTTGGACTTGCACAGATCAGGGCAATTTTAGCTACAACTCAAGGAATAGGGAAACTTCAGTTACCAGCTGGGTTATACATGTTAGCATACTAAGTGTTTAAATGTCACTATCAAAATCTTTACCATCAGACACTGGCGTTAGCTGAAAGTTCAGATCAACAGAAGAATTATCCCTTGCAGATAATTCTGCACAATGTAATCTGTGCCCTTCTGAAAGACAGCTCCAGACACTGTAATCCAATTTGTGAAGATTTGGGAAAACCAGATAGTGATCATCTTCCTGCTGTCTCTAAATATAATTCCAACCCTCATACCATTTCTCTCCTTCTTTCTTTGACTGCCTTACTCTTACTCTAGTCTGTGCTTGAAAATGACCCAAAGTGAAATTACATTCTCTGCCAGAGGTAAGCTATTAATTAGAACTAACTGCTCATTAAAGGGAGCCTGCTGATGGGGCAGCCATGGCAGAGTAACTACACTTCGCCATGTCTTTGATATCACATTGGCAATTTAGTACAAAATATTCCAGAAAATTTACACTTCAAACCCTGAAGGTTTGTTTTCTTTTCATGATCTGCGAGCAGGCATCTGGGAGCAAGGACCTGCTACTTGCTTGCTTTTAGGCAACTACACTAGTGAAAGCAACTTTAAATATAAAGTAGGTTCTGAGTTTTTAATTTCTCGCTGAAATAAAAACGTTTTGCTTCTTCCTCTGACCTACTTAGACTTTACCAAGCAGACGCTGCTGGAAAAACAAGAACTTTCCTTGTCTGCTGTTAAGATGCCAGAAAAATGATGAAAAGAGCACAGTAAGTCCATTTATAAAATAAAATCGTTTTAAGTCACCACCAACAGCAGTCTAATTCAGACTTTCCAGACTTCATAAATTTCTGTAAATTTGCAGAAACATTTTTGTAACATGTTAACAAATTCCCCAAACTCTTAGATTCTACATGTTTTTCATTTGGAACCACATTTAAGATATAAATAGAAAAGGAGTTAATATGTATGTAGGAGTTACTAGTTTATTTGAATTTCACATTAAGAAATCATTTGAAATGTGTAAAATTGTGGCTATAAATATGTTGTTTTTAGAGCTTGGGTATACCATTGATGGGCTCAGCATATCTTGAAATAATTGGAAACAGGATTTCCTGCAGTGATATATTTGTTCTTTTTTTTTTTTTTTTTTTTTTTTGAGATGGAGTCTTGCTCTGTCGCCAGGCTGGAGTGCAGTGGCACCATCTCGGCTCACTGCAACCTCTGCCTCCTGGGTTCAAGCGATTTTCCTGCCTCAGCCTCCCGAGTAGCTGGGATTACAGGCACGTGCCTCCATGCCCAGCTAATTTTTTGTATTTTTTACTAGAGACGGGGTCTCACCATGTTAGCCAGGGTGATCTCGATCTCCTGACCTCGTGATCTGCCCGCCTCGGCCTCCGAAAGTGCTGGGATTACAGGTGTGAGCCACCGCGCCCGGCAGTGATATATTTGTTCTAACTAACTTTCTTGTGCTACCAGGTACCGAAAATAAGAAGAGAGTAAAACCATAATAAGAAAGACAAGGTAAATACATATTCATATAGATTTATTTTTGTTAAGGCTTCAGCTGAGGAAAAGAAAAGTTGGCAGACTGTGTTAATTAAGATGAATCCCACGTGCTCTATAAATCTTGATGGAATCACTCAAGGTTTGCAATTTTTAAAATTTTACTGTTGAACAAATTTGACTTGACTCAAAATTATTTGCTCACCTATAAATCATTATAACTTCAGTATATTTTCCCAGTATTTCCTGCAAGTTACAAAAATTTGTTTCAACATTGTTTTGATAATAATTTAATAATAGCATTTAACAGGTATTGAGTGCTTCCATGTGATGGGCATATACTAAGCAATTTTACACATTAGTTCATTTAATTCTCATAAAAATCCCATACAATAGTATTATTAGTGGGTGAAATTGGTTTTGTGAGGTTAGGTAACTTGAGCATGTGGCTGGTAAATTGTGTAACTGGTATATAATAATAACAATTGCTAAGATTTATTTAACATATAATTTAACACACTGAATCTTGACATCAACCCAACAACAGGAGAAGAATAACAAAGTAGTGAAATGTGAAACCAGAGTTTGAACCTCAGCAGTTTGAGCCCAACTCTGTGAGTATTCAGCTATTAAATAGCATTGTTCGAAATGGTAGCTACTAGCCACATGCTATAATTTAAATTTAAATTAATTAACATTTTAAAGAAATTTAGCTCTTTAGTTGCTAGCTACATTCAAGTGCTCAATACCCATATGTAGCTAGTAGGTACCATATTGAACAGTACAGATTACAGTGCACTTCTATCATCACAGAAAGTTGTATTGAACAGTACTGCTCTCAATATTCTATACTAATGTTTTTCTGGTGAAATTTTAGTGAAATAATGTGAACTCCAGGAAAAAAATTGGGAAACACTTGAATTTTTTGACAATACTTGAACTAATTATCATTTGGGGTGAACTTATTTTACTGATGGCTCATCTCATTATTTTTATTATGTTTACCATAAATTTCAAGAAAGAAACATTTCTGGTCCCTTTCCTTAGTTTGGGGGATTCTCCTTAGTTTATTTATTATTATTATTCTTTTAAGAAGGAGTTTCGCTCTTGTTGCCCAGGCTGGAGTGCAATGGTGCGATCTTGGCTCATCGCAACCTCTGCCTCCTGGGTTCAAGTGATTCTCCTGCCTCAGCCTCCTGAGTAGCTGGAACTACAGGCATGCGCCACCACGCCTGGCTAATTTTTGTATTTTTAGTAGAGACGGGATTTCACCATCTTGGCCAGGCTGGTCTTGAACTCCTGACCTCGTGATCCACCCGCCTCGGCCTCCCAAAGTGTTGGGATTACAGGTATGAGCCACCGCGCCAGGATGATGATGATGATGATTATTATTATTATTATTATTATTGAGACAGTCTCACTCTGTTGCCCAGGCTGGAGTGCAGCGGTGAGATCTCGGCTCACTGCAACCTCTGCCTCCTGGGTTCAAGTAATTCTTCTGCCTCAGCCTGCCGAGTATCTGAGACTAGAGGCACGTGCCACCATGCCCAGCTAATTTTTGTATTTTTAGTAGAGACAGGGTTTCACTATATTGGCCAGGCTGGTCTCGAACTCCTGACCTCATGATCTTTCTGCCTTGGTCTCCCAAAGTGCTGGGATTACAGGCGTGAGCCACTGCGCCTGGCCTGTCTTTAGTTTATTATTTATGTATTTACTATTTTTTTTTTTTAATTGAAATGGAGTCTCACTTTGTCGCCCAGGCTGGAGTGCAGTCACGTGATCTTGGCTCACTGCAACCTCCGCCTCTTGGGTTCAAGCCATTCTCTGGCCTCAGCCTCCCCAGTAGCTGGGATTACAGGCACCCACCACCACACCCTGCTAATTTTTTGTATTTTTAGTAGAGACGGGGTTTCACCATCTTGTTCAGGCTGGTCTCAAACTCCTGACATCAAGTGATCCATCCGCCTAGGCCTCTCAAAGTGCTGGGATTACACGCGTGAGCCACTGCACCTGGCGGGATTCTCCTTATTTTCAATCTGTGACTTCCTTTGCAAGAACTACGTGACTCCTAATAACTTTCCACTTGGGACTACTGAGTGTTTAAAATATTTTCAAGGAGACAAGAGATATAAAAGAGTATTAAAAACCTACTCTAAAAATTAGAAACTTTTTCTGATACATATATTTACAGGCTTTTCTTCTAAGGAGAATAACACTGTTGAAATGAAGCAGTTCCCCCACCTTGCATTATCACTATTGTGTAGTCATTTGAAATATAATCTTCTGCACTTCCTGGGAGGAAGCTCCAAGGGGGCAAGGCAGGCTGCCATCTTGGCTGTCTCACAGCCCTTGCTGCTCTTGCCTTCAGGCTCTGGAAAGTGCTTGGTGATTAGGGACTAGCACGGACTCTAGCACAGTGCAGCCACCACATGGAAAAGTGGCCGGACTGTTTTCCACATGGGTCCCCAATACCGCTTCTCGTCACTGGTCGGGGCCTCCTGACCTGGGACTCCAGCCACCCCCTACCAGGGCTCTAGGGCTGGTACCAGCTTTGCACTCCCCTGGGACAGAGCTCCCAGAAGGAGAAGATGGCTGCCGTTTTTGCTGTCTCACAGCCCTTGCTGCTTTTGCCCTCAGGTGCTGGAGGGTGCACGGTGATTAGGAACTGGCATGGATCCCCAGTGCAGCACAACTGCTTCACAGAAAAGTGTCTGTGTGTCTGGAGTTGGTTCCTTCCCATGGGTTCATTCGTGGTCTCGCTGACTTCAAGAATGGAGCCGTGGACCTTCGCAGTGAGTGTTATAGCTCTTAAAGATGGCATGGACCCAAAGAGTGAGCAGCAGCAAGATTTATTGTGAAGAGTGAAAGGACAAAGCTTCCACAGCATGGAAGGGGACCTGAGTGGGTGCCGCTGCTGGCTGGGGTGGCCAGCTTGTATTCCCTTATTTGTCCCCGCCCTTGTCCTGCTGATTGGTCCATTTTACAGAGTGCTGATTGGTCTATTTTACAAACCTCTAGCTAGCTACAGAGCGCTGATTGGTGTATTTTACAATCCTAACTACAGAATGCAGATTGGTGCATTTTACAATCCTCTTGTAAGACAGAAAAGTTCTTCAAATCCCCACTTGACCCAGGAAGTCCAGCTGGCTTCACCTCTCATCTGGACTGTTCTTCACTTGGTCCCTGTCCCTGCTTCTCCTCACTGGGCAGGGCCTCCTGACCTGGGACTCCCGCATAACTACTCTGCCCTGCCTGGGCACTTCAGTCAGCAGCAGCTCTGCATTTGTCTAAGGAGGAAATCCTGGAGTCAACCCACAACCCCTCCACCATTGCACCTGTAGTGGTACCACCCTAACCACCCTCAGGCTAAGGAAGGAACAAAGGGCTTAGTTCCTGTGCTAGCACCTCCTGCACTGTGTAGCCCCCATACAGAGTCCTGTCTCTCTTCTCTGTGAACCCCCACCCTCAACTCTTCACCAGGTAGGGCCCCTGGGTCAGGACTGCAGATCAGTCGCCCCAACCACAGCTAAGGATGCCCACTGGGAGTGGCTCTGAGTTTCCCAGAGGAGGGGCTCCCAGAGGGAACCAACACCCCTCTGCCATAGCAATGGTTCTGCCTCTGCTGCCCTCCATCTGGGGAAGAAACAAAGAGCCTGAGGGCTTCACCTGCACTTTCAGCACACCACAGTCACCATCGGAAGAAAAGCCCAGTCTCTCCTCCCTGTGAGCCTTCCACCCCCTCTTCACCAAGTGGAGTGCCCAACTCATGCCAGCAGTGCAGCCAACCCACCCCCTGGCTGAATACTCCCATTGGCAGTGGTTCTGCTTCTCTGAGGTAGAATTCCCAGAGATAACTGAAAGGCCCTTTGCCACTGCCGCTGCTGTGGTACTTCTCTTGCTTCCCTCAGACTAAGGAAGGAGCAGAGACCCTGAGTGCTTCAACCACACCTTTGGTAAGCTGAAGTTGCCCTAAGGAGAAGAGGCCAGTCTGTATCCCTCCAGGACCCACCTGCTCTCCCTGCTCATCACTACCAGGGCCTCCCCTTGCCCTTGGGTCCAAAGTGTGGTGGCCCCATCCTGGGCTGATCACACCGATTGATAGTGGCTCCACATCAGAAAGAGGTGTGAGCCTCTTGTCAAAAGACAAGTGAAAGACACTCTGCCACAGCCACTGCTAAGGTCCCTTCACCTGCTGCCTCCAAGCTTGAGAGGGTACAGAAAGTTTGAACTCACCCCAGAATTGTAATGTGCAGCCCAGGAGTGCCAAGCCGAGATATGCAGCCAGCACTCAAGTGGGAGAGGAGACCACCCATTCACAGCACTGAGAGGGAGCCCAGCTGCAATCCTGAGGAAATACAGAGAAATCATGTGGCTAAGCAAGAGCCTACCTACCAGCCATTACACTTAAGCACCACCTATTGGATGACAGTCCAAAACTTCAACACCAATAACACTTAGCTAATATACCCTCTTGTGAAACCAGTGACAAGAATTCAGCTACAAATAAAGACCCTGCACAAAGACTTGGGCCTCTGAAAACATCCAGAAAAGAAGTCAATTGGCTGTACTCAATATACATTGCAGTTAAAGGAACACCAGTGCACACAGTTGAGAAAGAACCAGTGTAAGAACTCTGGCAACTCAAAAAGCCAGAGTGTCTTCTTTCCTCCAAATGAATGCACTAGTTCTCCAGCAAGCATTCTTAACTAGGCTTGCTGATGGAAATGATGGAAATAGAATTCAGAATATGAATAGGAAGAAAGATCATTGAGATTCAGGAAAAAGTAAAAACCCAATCCAAGAAATGTAAGGATTATAATAAAATGATACAGGAACTGATAGGTGAAATGGCCATTATAAAAAAGAACCAAATTGATCAGATAGAGCTGAAAAACACATGACAAGAATTTCATAATGCAATCACAATTATTAACAGAAGACTAGACCAAGCTGAGAAAAGCATCTCAGTGCTTGAAGACCAGCTCTCTGAAATAACTCAGTCAGACAAAAACAAGAAAAAAGAATAAAAAAGAATGAACAAAACCTTTGAGTAATATGAGATTATGTAAAGAGACCAAACCTGTGACTCATTGGCATCCCTGAAAGAGATGGGGAGAAAGCAAACAACTTGGAAAACATATTTCAGGATATCGTCTAGCTAGGCTATCCCAACCTTGTTAGAGAGGCCAACATTCAAATTCAGGGAATTCAGAAAACTCCTGTGAGCTACTACATGAGAAGACCATCCCCAAGACACATAATCATCAGATTCTCCAAGGTTGAAATGATAGAAAAAATGTTAAAGGCAGCTAGAGAGAAGGGGCAGGTCACCTACCAAAAGAATCTTGTTAAACTAACAGCAGACCTTTCAGCAGAAACCCTACACGCCAGAAGAGATTGGGGGCCTATATTCAGCATTCTTAAATAAAATAATTTTCAATGAAGAATTTGATATCCAACCAAACTAAGCTTCATAAGTGAAGGAGAAGTAAGATTCTTCTCAGACAAGCAAATGCTGAGGGAATTGGTTACCACCAGGCCTACTTTATGAGAGGTCCTAAAAGGAGTACTAAATATGGAAAGAAAAGACCATTACCAGCCACTACAAAAATACACTTAAGTACACAGACCAGTGACATTATAAAGCAACCACACAAACAAGCCTGTGTAGTAACCAGCTAACAGCACAATGACAGGATCAAATCCACATATATCAATAGTGACCTTGAATGTAAATGGGCTAAATGCCTCAATTAAAGGGCACAGAGTGGCAAGCTGGATAAAGAAGCAAGGCCCAATGATATATGGTCTCCAGGAGACCCATTTCACATGCAGACACCTATATGCTGAAAATAAAAGGATGGAGAAAAATATACTAAGCAAATGGAAAACAGAAAAAAGCAGGAGTTGCTATCCTAATTTCAGACAAAACAGACTTTAAACCAACAAAGATAAAGAAAGAAAAGAAGGGCATTACATAATGGTAAAGGGTTCAATTCTGCAAGAAGACCTAACTATCCTAAATATATATGCACCCAATACAGGAGCATACAGACTCATAAAGCAAGTTGTTAGAGACCTATGGAGAGACTTACATTCACAGACTATAATAGTGGTAGACTCCAGTTCCCCTATCACAGTATTAGACAGGTCATAAAGGCAGAAAATTAACAAAGATATTCAGGATGTGAAGTTGGCACTTGATCAAATGACCTGATAGACATCCACAGAACTCTCCACCCAAAAACAATAGACTATACATTCTCACCTGAACATGACACATACTCTAAAATAGACTACGCGATTGGAAATAAAACTATCCTCAGCAAATTAAAATAAAAACCCAAAATCATACCAACCACACACTCAGACCATAGTGCAATAAAAATAGAAATAAATACTAAGAAAATCACTCAAAAGTATACAATTACATGGAAATTGAACAATCTGCTCCTGAATGACTTTTGGATAAACAGTAAAATTAGGTCAGACATCAATAAATTTTTTAAATAAATGAGAACAGAGATACAACGTACCAGAATCTCTCAGACACAGCTAAGGCAGTGTTATGAGGGAAGTTTATAGCACTAAACACTCACATCAAAAAGTTAGAAAGATCTAAAATTAACAACGTAACATTACAACTACAGGAACTACAGAAATAAGAGCAAACCAACCCCAAAGCTAGCAAAAGACAAGAAATAACCAAAATCAGAGCTGAATTGAAGGAAATGTGAAAAACCATACAAAAAAACAATGAATCCAGGAGTTCGTTCTTTGAAAAAACTAATAAGAAAAATAGACTAGTATCCAGAATAATAATGAAAAAAAGAGCGAAGATCCAAATAAAAACAATTAGAAATGACAAAGGGGACGTTATCACTTATCCTGCAGAAATACAAAAACCCTCAGAGACCACTATAAACACCTCTATGCACACAAACTAGAAAATCCAGAAGAATCGACAAATTCCTGGACATAGACAACCTCTGAAGACTGAACCAGGAAGAAATTGAATCCCTGAACAGACCAGTAATGAGTTTCAAAATGGAAGCAGTAATAAAAAGCCTACCAACCAAAAAATGTCCAGGACCAGATGCAGCCAAATTTTACCAGATGTGTAAAGAAGAGCTAGTACTATTCCTACTGAAACTATTCCAAAAAACTCATTCTATGAGATCAGCATCATCCTGATACCAAAACCTGGCAGAGACACAACAAAAAGAGAAAACTTCACGCCAATATTCTTGATGAACATAGATGCAAAAATTCTCAATAAAACACTAGAAAACTGAATCCAACAGTACATCAAAAACCTAACCACCATTATCAAGTAGGCTTTATCCCTGGGATGCAAGGGTGATTAACATATGCAAATCAATAAATGTGACTAATCAGCATAAACAGAACAAAAACCAAAAACCATGATTATCTCAATAGATGCAGAAAAGGCTTTTGATAAAATCCAACATCGCTTTATGTTAAAAACTCTCAATAAACTAGGTGTTGAAGGAACATACTTCAAAATGCTAAGAGCCATCAACAGCAAACCCCCAACCAACATCATATTGAATGGGCAAAAGCTGGAAGCATTCCTTTTGAAAACTGGAACAAGACAAGGATGTTCTCTCTCAGTCCTCTTATTCAACATAGTACTGGAAGTTCTGGCCAGAGCAATTTAGTCAGGAGAAATAAATAAAAGGTATCCAAATAAGAAGAGAGGAAGTCAAGCTATCTCTGTTTACAGACAATATGATTTTATATCTTGAAAAGCCCCTAGTCTCTACCCAAAAGCTCCTTGATCTTAGAAACAACTTCAGCAAAGTTTCAGGATATAAAATCAATGTATAAAAGTCAGTAGCATTCTCATACACCAACAACATCCAAGCCAAGAGCCAAATCAGGAAAGCAATCCCATTTACAATTGCCACAAAAAGAATAAAATACCTAGTAATACAGCTAACCAGGGAGGTGAAAGATCTTCAAGAGGAGAATTACAAACACTGCTTGAAGAAATAAGAAATGACACAAACGAATGAATAAACATTCCATGCTGATGGATAGTGATATGGTTTGGCTGTGTCCCCACCCAAAATCTCATCTTGAATTGTAATCCGAATTGTAACCCCTATGTGTTGGGGGAGGGACCCTCATGGGAGGTGATTAGATCATGGAGGTTGTTCCCTCATGCTGTTCTCATGATAGTGAGTAAGTTCTCATGAGATCTGATCACTTTATAAGGGGTTTTTCCCCACTTCACTCTGCACTTCTCTCTCCTGCTGCCATGGGAAGAAGGAAGTGTTTGCTTCTCCTTCTGCCATGATTTTAAGTTTCCTGAGACCTCCCCAGCCATGCAGAATTGTGAGTTAATTAAACCTCTTTCCTTAATAAATTACCCAGTCACAGGGAGTTCTTTATAGCAGCATGAAAATGGACTAATACAGTAAATTGGTAGCTCAGAGAGTGGGGTGCTGCCGTAAAGATAACCCAAAATGTGGAAGAAACTTTGGAACTGGGTAACAGGCAGAGGTTGGATCAGTTTGGAGGGCTCAAAAGAAGATAGAAAGATGTAGGAAAGTTTGGAACTTCCTAAAGACTTGTTGAATGGTTTTGGCCAAAATGCTGATAGTGATATGGACAATAAAGTTCAGGCTGAGGTGGTCTCAGATGGAGATGAGGAACTTCTTGGAACTGGAGTAAAGGTCACTCTAGGTATGCCTTAGCAAAGAGACTGGTGGCATTTTGCCCCTGCCCTAAGGATCTGTGGAACTTTGAACTTGAGGGAAATGATTTAGGGTATCTAGCAAAAGAAACTTCTAAGCAGCAAAGCATTATAGAGGTGACAGAACATACAAGTTTGGAAAATTTGTAGCCTGAGGCTGCAGTAGAAAAGAAAAACCCATTTTTGGGGGGAGAAATTAAATATGACTGCAGAAATTTACGTAAGTAACTAGGAGCCAAATGTTGTTCACCAAAGACAATGGGGAAAATGTCTCCAGGGCATGTCACAGACCTTCACAGCAGCTGGAGGCCTAGGAGGGAAAAATGATTTCATGGGCCAGGGCGAGGGCCCCATTGCTGTGTGCAGCCTTGGGACTTGGTACCCTGAGTTCCAGCTGCTCCAGCCATGCCTAGAAGGCCCAAGGTACAACTCAGGCCATTGCTTTAAAAGGGTGCAAGCCCAGGCCTTGGTAGCTTCCAAGTGGTGTAGAGCCTGTGGGCACACGGAAGTCAAGAAGTGAAGTTTTGGAATCTTCACCTAGATTTCAGAGGATGTATGGAAACACCTGGATATCTAGGCAGAAGTTTGCTGTAGAGGCAGAGTCCTCAAGGAGAACCTCTGCTAGGGCAGTGCAGAAAGGAAATGTGGGATCTGAGACCCTACACAGAGTCCCCACTGGGGCACTGCCTAATGGAGCTGTGAGAAGAAGGCCACTGTCTTCCAGACCCTAGGATGGTAGATCCAACAACTTGCACCATGTGCCTGGAAAAGCTGCAGGCACTCAACACCAGCCCATGAAAGCAGCCAGGAGGCAGGCTGTGCTCTGCAAAGCCACAGGGATGGAGCTACCCAAGGCATGGGAGTCCACCTCTTGCATCAGTGACCTGGATGTGAGGCATGGAGTCAAAGGAGAACATTTTGGAACTTTAAGGTTTAGTGGCTGCCTTATTGGATTTTGGACTTGCATGGGGCCTGTAGCCCCTTGTTTTGTCCAATTTCTCCCATTTGGAATGGGTGTATTTAACCAATGCCTGTACCCCAACTGTATCTAGGAAATAACTAACTTGCTTTTGATTTTACACTCTCATAGGTGGAAGGGACTTGACTTATCTCAGATGAGACTTTGGACTTGGACTTTTGGGCTAATGCTGGAATGAGTTAAGACTTTGGGGAACTATTGGAAAGGCATGATTATTTTTTGAAATGTGAGGACATGAGATTTGGGAAGAGCCAGGCACAAAATGATATGGTTTGGCTGTGTCCCCACTCAAAATCTCACCTTGAACTGTAACCTGAATTGTAATCCCCACATGTTAGGGGAGGGATCTTGTGGGAGGTGATTAGATCACAGGGGGCGGTTCCCCCATGCTGTTCTCATGATAGTGAGTGAGTTCTCGTGATATCTGACAGTTTTATAATGGGCTTTCCCCTCCTTCACTCTGCACTTCTCTTTCCTGCTGCCATGTGAAAAACATGTTTGCTTTCCCTTCTGCCATGATTTTAAGTTTCCTAAGGCCTTGCCAGCCATGTGGAACTGTGACTCAATTAAACCTCTTTCCTTTATAAATTACCCAGTCTCCAGGAGTTCTTTATAGCAGTGTGAGAATAAACTAATACAGATAGAAAGACTCAATATTGTTAAAATGGCCACACTGCCCAAAGCAATTAACAGATTCAATGCTTTCTCTATCAAACTACCAATGACATTCTTCACAGAATTAGAAAAAACTATTTTAAAATTCATATTGAAACAAAAAAGAGCCAAAATAGCCAAGGCAATTCTTTTTGTTTGTTTGTTTGTTTGTTTGTTTGAGACAGAGTCTTGCTCTGTCACCCAGGCTGGAGTGCAATGACAGGATCTTGCCTCACTGCAACCTCCGCCTTCCAGGTTAAAGTGATTCTCCTGCCTCAGCCTCCTTAGTAGCTAGGACTACAGGTGTGAGCCACCATGCCAGGCTAATTTTTGTATTTTTAGTAGAGATGGGGTTTCACTATGTTGGTCAGGTTGGTCTTGAACTCCTGACCTCATGATCCGCCTGCCTCGGCCTCCCAAAGTACTGAGATTACAGGCATGAGCCACCACACCCAGCCTAGCCAAGGCAATTCTAAGCAAAAAGAACAAGGCTGGAGGCATCCCATTACCCAACTTCAAACTATACTACAAGGTTACAATAACTAAAACAGCATGGTACTGGTGCAAAAACAGTTACATAGACCAATGGAGCAGAATAGAGAGTCCAGAAATGATTCTGCATACCTACAACCACCTGATCTTTAACCAAGCTGACAAAAACAAGCAATGGGGAAAGGACTTCCCATCAATATATGATGCTGGGATAACTCAGTAGCCATATGCTGAAGACTGAAACTGGATCCCTTCCTTAAACCATATACAAAAATCAACTCAAGATGGATTAAAGACTTAAATGTAAAACCTAAAACTATAAAAACCCTGAAAGATAATCTAAGATATACCATTCTGGACATAGGACCTGGCAAAGATTTCATGCTGAAAACACTAAAAGCAATTGTTGCAAAAACAAAAATTAACAAGCGGGACCTAATTAAACTAGAGAGCTTCTGCATAGCAAAAGAAACTATCAACAGAGTAAACAAACAACCTACAGAATGATAGAAAATATTTGCAAAGTATGCGTCCAACAAAAGTCTAATATCCAGAATCTATTTGGAATTTATACAAAGTTACAAGCGAAAAGCAAACAACCCCATTAGAAAGTAGGCAAAGGATATGAATAGAACCTTTTCAAAAGAAGACATACATGCAACAAACAGGCACATGAAAAAAACTCAACATCACTAATTATTAGAGAAATGGAAATCAAAACCACAATGATGTACTACCTCATACTAATCAGAGTGGCTATGATAAAAAAAAAAGTAGATGCTGATGAGGTTGCAAAGAAAAGGATACTCTTATACGCTATTGTTGGGAGTGTAAATTAGTTCAGCCATTGTAGAAAGCAGTGTGGTGATTCCTCAAAGAACTTGAAACAGAATTACCATTTGGCCCAGCAATCCCATTATTGGGTGAGTACCCAAGGGGATAAAAATCCTTCTACCATAAGGACAAATGCATGCATATGTTCATCTTAGCACTATTTGCAATAGCAAAGACATGGAATCAACCTAAATGCCCATCAACTGTAGACTGGATTAAAAGAATGTGGTATATATACACCATGGAATACTACACAGCCATAAAAAAGGAGATCATGCCCTTTGCAGCAATATGGATGGAGCTGGAGGCCATTATCCTTAGCAACTAATGCAGGAAAAGAAAATTAAATACTGCACATTCTCATTTGTAAGTGGAAGCTAAACAATGAAAATACATGGACACAAAGAGGGGAACAACATACATCAGAGCCTACTTGAGGGTGAAGGGTGGGAGGAGGGAGAGGATCAGAAAAAAATACCTATTGAATATTATACTTACTATCTGCATGATAAAATAATCTGTACACCAAACCCCTGTGACATGCAGTTTGCCTATATAACAAACCTGAACACCTAGATACCCTTGAACCTAAAATAAAAGTAAAAAAAATTAAAAAAGGAAATATAACCTTGTCTTTTCTAAATGGCGTATGTTGTTCTATAATAATGTTGTTTCCAGAATAAAATAATCAATGAAGAATTTTCCTAGCTTGAATATCTTTCTATTTCCATGTACACATGGTCCTTGGCTTACAATGGTTTGACTTAGAATTTTTTTTGACTTTATGATCGTACAAAAACAATATGCATTCAGCAGAAACTGTACTTTATATATCATATAACCATTCTGTTTTTTCACTTTCAGTACAGTACTCAATAAATTACATGAGATATTCAACACTTCATCATAAAATAGGCTTTGTTTTAGATGATTTTGCCCCACGTTAGGCTAATGTAAGTGTTCAGAGCGCATTTACAGTAGGCCAGGCTAAGCTATGATGTTCTGTAGCTTAAATATATTAAATGTATTTTCAATTTAACATATTTTCAACTTATGATGGGTTTATTGGAATGGAACTGTATCACGAGTCAGGGAGCATCTGTGTATCTAAGTTGGATTCTTTGCTGTTGATTTCTTGATTTTAAAATAATTAAATAAAAGGAGAAAATGCAGCTCATTACCTAAATGCTGAAAATGCTGACATTCTGGGTATCTGTTGGATTACTTCTAATTTATGAAGATTTTCTGAATGATAATTTTAGAATTGATTGGATGTATTTCAGATGGAGAACTGTTTCTATGGCAACATATTGGGTTTACAGACTGAAAGACTATTCCAAACAGCATTAACTAAAATTGCACATAAACAGAATGAAACACATTAAAAAACAAAGAGAAATGCTAGAGCAGGCTGAACCCAAACCCAGTTGCCTGTAATGATTTTCGTCACCTATAGATCGTCCTACATATTCCTGGAAGCGATCAGTTTCATAGTCAATATGTGCTCTCTGAGGGGAGAGGCCCCCTTATCAGGGCAGTAACAGAGTCCCAGTACCAGTTAGATAAGGCAGTTGTTACTGGTAGATTATCTATGGGAGCAACCTGCCAGAGGATATGAGCTAGACACATGAGTCAGAGGCGAATCTAAGATCTGGGGCTACGAGCAAGTAGTTCAGCCACCAGAGCAAAAATGAGAGTGAGGAATGGGCTCAATACAGAGAAACTGCTGAGGAGCAAAAAAAAAAAAGAAAAAAGATAAAGGGGAAATTTGGGATTGGAATGGAAAACATGGAGTTTTGAGGTTAGTGCTGTGCTAAGCTTCAGTTGGAAATCTTTAAAGAAAGAATCATGAACCACATATCTTTGTGTGGAGTTTCACTGGTTGGTTAGTGTTGGGAGACAATTCTCCATGGGTCCTTTAAGTTTCTGCACAACTTATGCTCAGAGATACTGACTGGTTTTTTTCCAGATTATTTTTTCAAGGACGTCTGTATAGTGAACAGCCTAAGAAGGTAGCAACAGTGTCTTTATCTCGAGCAAAGTAAAATTTGTTTACTCTCCACTGTAATAAAAGTGCCTACTTCCAGAGCAAGGCCCAACAGGCTTACTCCCCATTATAAAAGATTTGGACTTGAGGTGGCTGGCAAGATGGCAGAATAAGAACAGCTCCGGTGTGCAGCTCCCAGCGAGATCGACACAGAAGGCAGGTGATTTCTGCACTTCCAACTGAGGTACCTGGCTCATCTCACTGGGACTGGTTAGACAGTGGTGCAGCCCATGGAGGGCGAGATGAAGCAGGGTCAGGTGTCGCCTCACCAGGGAAGCACAAGGGATTGGGGAACTCCTTCCCCTAGCCAAGGGAAGCCGTGAGGGACTGTGCTGTGAGGGATGGTGCATTCTGGCCCAGATACTACGCTTTTCTCGCAGTCTTCTCAACCCACAGACCAGGAGATTCCCTTGGGTGCCTACGCCACCAGGGCCCTGGGTTTCAAGCACAAAACTGGGCGGCCGTTTGGACAGACACCGAGCTAGCTGCATGAGTTTTTTTTTTCATACCCCAGTGGCACCTGGAATGCCAACAAGACAGAACCGTTCACTCCCCTGGAAAGGGGGATGAAGCCAGGGAGCCAAGTGGTCTAGCTCAGCAGATCCTACCCCCATGGAGCCCAGCAAGCTAAGATCCACTGGCTTGAAATTCTAGCTGCCAGCACAGCAGTCTGAAGTCAACCTGGGATGCTCAAGCTTGGTGGGGGGAGGGGCGTCGGCCATCACTGAGGCTTCAGTAGGTGGTTTTCCCCTCACAGAGTAAACAAAGCCATGGGAAGTTTGAGCTGGGCAGAGCCCACTGCAGCTCAGCAAAGCTGCTGTAGCCAGACTGCCTCTCTAGATTACTCCTCTCTGGGCAGGGCATCTCTGAGAGAAAGGCAGCAGCCCCAGTCAGGGGCTTATAGATGAAGCTCCCAAATTCCTGGGACACAGCACCTGGGAGAAGGGGCGGCTGTGGGTGCAGCTTCAGCAGACTTAAACGTTCCTGCCTGCTGGCTCTGACGAGAGCGGCAGATCTCCCAGCACAGTGCTCAAGCTCTACTAAGGGAAAGACTGCCTCCCCAAGTGGGTCCCTGAACCCCATGCCTTCTGACTGGGAGACACCTCCCAGCAGGGTTCGACAGGCGCCTCATACAGGAGAGCTCTGGCTGGCATCTGGCGGGTACCCTTCTGAGAGAAAGCTTCCAGAGAAAGAAACAAGCTGCAATCTTTGCTGTTCTGCAGCATCTGCTGGTGATACCCAGGCAAACGGTCTGGAGTGGACCTCCAGCAAACTCCAGCAGACCTGCAGCAGAGGGGCCTGACTCTTAGAAGGAAAACTAACAAACAGAAAGGAATAGCATCAACATCAACAAAAATGACCTCCACACAAAACTCTTTCTGAAGGTCACCAACATTAAAGACCAAAGGTAGGTAAATCCATGAAGATGGGGAAAAACCAGCGCAAAAAAGCTGAAAATTCCAAAACCCAGAACACCTCTTCTCTTCCAAAGGATCACAAATCTTCACCAGCAAGGGAACAAAACTGGACAGAGAATGAGTTTGACGAGTTGACAGAAGTAGGCTTCAGAAGGTGGGTAATAACAAACTCCTCCGAGCTAAAGGAGCATGTTCTAACCCAATGCAAAGAAGCTAAGAACCTTGAAAAAAGGTTAGAGGAAGGGCTAACTAGAATAACCAGTTTATAGAAGAACATAAATGACCCGATGGAGCTGAAAAACACAGGACTAGAACTTCATGAAGCATACACAAGTATCAATAGCTGAATCGATCAAGTGGAAGAAAGGATATCAGAGATTGAAGATCAACTTAATGAAATAAAGCATGAAGACAAGAATAGAGAAAAAAGAATGAAAAGGAGTGAACAAAGCTTCCCAGAATATGAAACTAT
This sequence comes from Homo sapiens, assembly GCF_000001405.40. Classification (NCBI taxonomy): domain Eukaryota; kingdom Metazoa; phylum Chordata; class Mammalia; order Primates; family Hominidae; genus Homo; species Homo sapiens. The sequence goes on along the minus strand of NC_000006.12, from coordinate 70,335,288 downwards.
GTGAAAAGACCAAACCTACATTTGATTGGTGTACCTGAAAGTGATGGGGAGAATGGAACCAAGTTGGAATGCACTCTTCAGGATATTATCCAGGAGAACTTCCCCAACCTAGCAAGGCAGACCAACATTCAAATTCAGGAAATATGGAGAACAGCACAAAAATACCCCTCGAGAAGAGCAACCCCAAGACACATAGTTGTCAGATTCACCAAGGTTGAAATGAAGGAAAAAATGTGAAGGGCAGCAAGAGAGAAAGGTTGGGTTACCCACAAAGGGAAGGCCAACAGACTAACAGCGGATCTCTGCAGAAACCCTACAAGCCAGAAGAGAGTGTGGGCCAATATATAACATTCTTAAAGAAAAGAATTTTCAACCAGAATTTCATATCCAGCCAAAGTAAGCTTCACAAGTGAAGGAGAAATAAAATCCTTTACAGACAAGCAAATGCTGAGAGTTTTTGTCACCACCAGGCCTGCCTAAAAAGAGCTCCTGAAGGAAGCAATAAATATGGAAAGGAAAAACTGGTACCAGCCACTGCAAAAACATACCAAATTGTAAAGACCATTGACACCAGAAAGAAACTGCATCAACTAATGGGCCAAATAACCAGCTAGCATCATAATGACAGAATCAAATTCACACTTAACAATATTAAGCTTAAATGTAAATGGACTAAATGCCCCAATGAAAAGACATAGACTGGCAAATTGGATAAAGGGTCAAGCCATCGGCGTGCTGTTTTCAGGAGACCCATCTCATGTGCGAAGACACACATAGGCTCAAAATAAAGGGATGGAGGAATATTTACCAAGCAAAAAAAAAAAAAAAAAAAAAAAAAGGCAGGGATTGTAATCCTAGTCTCTGACAAAATAGACTTTAAACCAACAAAGATCAAAAAGACAAAGAAGGGCATTACATAATGGTAAAGGGATCAATGCAACAAGAAGAGCTAACTATCCTAAATATATATGCAACCAATACAGGAGCACCCAGATTCATAAAGCAAGTTCTTAGAGACCTACAAAGAGACTTAGACTCCCACACAATAATAGTAGAAGACGTTAACACCCCACTGTCAATATTAGACAGATCAATGAGACAGAAAATTAACAAGGATATTCAGGACCTGAACTCAGCTCTGGACCAAGCAGATCTAATAAACATCTACAAAACTCTCCACCCCAAATCAACAGAATGTACATTCTTTTCAGCACCACATCACACTTATTCTAAAATTGACAACCTAATTGGTAGTAAAACACTCCTCAGCAAATGCAAAAGAATGGAAATCATAACAAACAATCTCTCAGACCACAGTGCAATCAAATTAGAACTCAGGGTTAAGAAACTCACTCAAAACCGCACAACTCATGGGAACTGAACAACCTGCTCCTGAATGACTACTGGGTAAATAACGAAATTAAGGCAGAAATAAATAAGTTATTTGAAACCAATGAGAGCAAAGACACAAAGTACCAGAATCTCCAGGACACAGCTAAAGCCATGTTTACAGGTAAATTTATAGCACTCAATGCCAACAGGAGAAAGCAGGAAAGATCTAAAATCGACACCCTAACATCACAATTAAAAGAACCACAGAAGCAGGAGGAAACAAATTCAAAAGCTAGCAGAAGACAAGGAATAACCAAGATCAGAACTGAAGGAGATAGAGACAGGAAAAACCCTTCAAAAAATCAGTGAATCCACGAGCTGATTTTTTGAAAAGATTAACAAAATAGACCACTAGCCGGACTAATAAAGAAGAAAAGAGAGAAGAATCAAAGAGACACAATAAAAAATGATAAAGAGGATATCACCACTGATCCCACAGACATACAAACTACCATCAGAGAATACTATAAACACCTTTATGCAAATAAACTAGAAAATCTAGAAGAAATGAATAAATTCCTGGAAACGTACACCCTCCCAAATCTAAACCAGAAAGAAGTCGAGTCCCTGAATAGACCAATAACAAGGTCTGAAATTGAGGCAGTAATTAATAGCCTACCAACCAAAAAAAGTCCCAGACCAGACAGATTCACAGTCGAATTTTACCAGAGGTAAAAAGAGCAGCTGGTACCATTCCTTGTGAAACTGTTCCAAACAATAGAAAAAGAAGTACTCCTCCCTCACTCGTTTTATGAAGCCAGCATCATCTTGATATCAAAACCTGGCAGAGACACAACAAAAAAAGAAAATTTCAGGCCAATATCCCTGATGAACATTGATGCGAAAATCCTCAAAAAAATACTGGCAAACTGAATCCAGCAAGACATCAAAAGGCTTGTCCTCCACGATCAAGTCAGCTTCATCTCTGGGATACGAGGCTGGTTCAACTTATGTAAATCAATAAATATAATCCATCCATCAAATAAGCAGAACAAATGACAAAAACCACATGATGATCTCAATAGATGCAGAAAAGGACTTCGATAGAATTCACACCCTTCATGCTAAAAACTCTCTATAAACTAGGTATTGACAGAATGTATCTCAAAATAATAAGAGCTATTTATGACAAACCCACAGCCGACATCACACTGAATGGTTAAAAGCTGTAAGTATTCCCTTTGAAAACTGGCACAAAACAAAGATGCCTTCTCTCACCACTCCTATTTAACCATAGTATTAGAAGTTCTGGCCAGGGCAGTCAGGCAAGGGAAAGAAATAAAAGGTATTCAAATAGGGAGAGAGGAGTTCAAATTGTCTCTGTTTGAAGATGACATGATTGTATATTTAGAAAACCCCATCTTCTCAGCCCCAAATCTCCTTAAGCTGATAAGCAACTTCAGCAACGTCTCAGGATACAAAATCAATGTGCAAATATCGCAAGCATTCCTATACACCAATAATAGACAAAAAGCCAAATCATGAGTGAATTCCCATTAACAATTGCTACAAAGAGAATAAAATACCTAGGAATACAACTTATAAGGGATGTGAAGGACCTCTTCAAGGAGAGCTACAAACCACTGCCCAAGGAAATAAGAGAGGACACAAACAAAAGAAAAAACGTTCCATGCTCATGGATAGGAAGAATCAATATTGTGAAAATGGCCATACTGCCCAAAGTAATTTATAGATTCAATGCTGTCCCCATCAAGCTACCATTGACTTTCTCCACAGAATTAGAAAAAACTACTTTAAATTTCATATAGAACCAAAAAAGAGCCCACATAGCCAAGACAATCCTAAGCAAAAAGAACAAAGCTGGAGGCATTATGCTACCTGACTTCAAACTATACTACAAGGCTACAGTAACCAAAACAGCATGGTACTGGTAACAAAACAGATATATAGACCAATGGAACAGAACAGAGGCCTGGGAAATAATGCCACATATCTACAACAATCTGATCTTCGACAAACCTGACAAAAACAAGCAATGGGGAAAGAATTCCCTATTTAATAAATGGTGTTGGGAAAAACGGGTTAGCCATATGCAGAAAACTGAAACTGGACCCCTTCCTTACACCTTTTACAAAAATTAACTCAAGATGGATTAAAGACTTAAATATAAGACCTAAAACCATAAAAACCCTACAAGAAAACCTAGGCAATACCATTCAGGACATAGGCATGGGCGAAGACTTCATAACTAAAACATGAAAAGCAATTGCAACAAAAGCCAAAACTGACAAATGGGATCTAATTAAACTAAAGAGCTTCTGCACAGCAAAAGAAACTATCATCAGAGTGAACAGGCAACCTACAGAATGGGAGAAAATTTTTGCAATCTATCCATCTGACAAAGGGCTAATATCCAGAAACTACAAGGAACTTAAACGAATTTACAAGAAATAACCCCATCAAAAAGTGGGCAAAAGATGGGGACAGACACTTCTCAAAAGAAGACATTTACGTGGCCAACAAACATATGAAAAAAAGCTCATCATCACTGGTCATCAGAGAAATGCAAATCAAAACCACAATGATATACCATCTAATGCCAGTTAGAATGGTGATCCTTAAAAAGTCAGGAAAAAAACTGATGCTGGAGAGGATGTGGCTAAATAGGAATGCTTTTACACTGTTGGTGGAAGTGTAAATTAGCTCAATCATTGTGGAAGACAGTGTGGCAATTCCTCAAGGATCTAGAACGAGAAATACCATTTGACCCAGCAATCCCATTACTGGGTATATACCCAAAGGATTATAAATCATTCTACTATAAAGACACATGCACACCTATGTTTATTGGAGCACTATTTACAATAGCAAAGACTTGGAACCAACCCAAATGCCCAAAAGTGATAGATTGGATGAAGAAAATGTGGCACATATACACCATGGAATACTATGGAGCCATGAAAAGGATGAGTTCATGTTCTTTGCAGGGACATGGATGAAACTGGAAACCATCATTGTCAGAAAACTAACACAGGAAGAGAAAACCAAATGCCATATGTTCTCACTCATAAGTGGGAGTTGAACAATGAGAACACATGTACACAGGGAGGGGATCATCACACACTGGGGTCTGTAGGGGAGTGAGGGGCTAGGGGAGGGATAGCCTTAGGAGAAATACCTAATGTAGATGATGGGTTGATGGGTGCAGCAAACCACCATGGCACGTGTATACCTATTTAACAAACCTGCACATTCTGCACATGTATTCCAGAACTTAAAGTATAATAAAAAATAAAAAATAAAATAAAATAAAATAATTAGTGTCACTAACCTAAAAAAAAAGAAAAATTGGTCTTGCTAAACTTTCCTGCAACATACCCTACTATATGTGCAAGTATAACTTGGTCTTTTTGACATCACCCTGTGGGAACTGGGGCTCAGGGTATTGGCAGGAGTGCTTATACTCTGGCTACATATATGAGTAATAAACTGTCATTTGCCTCTGATCCAGGAATCTTGTGTCTTCAGCCAGCGCCTGTAAACCTGTGGTAGGATATCATGTTAGCTTGCAAGTAGGGTAAAATCTCAGATCCTTCACAGTTCTCAACAGTCAGTATAGCTTGGAAATGATCATCTTCTTTGCTCAAGTATGGAAATATTTTAAAAGATAATATTATCACCTAAAGCCCAAGTAAAAACTGGACTTCAGGGCCAGGTGCAGTGGCTCACGTCTGTAATCCTAGCACTTTGGGAGACTGAGGTGGGTGTATTACCTGAGGTCAGGAATTTGAGACCAGTCTGGCCAACGTGGCGAAACCCGTTTCTTTTTTTTCTTTTTCCTTTTTTTTTTCTTTTTGAGATGGAGTCTCGCTCTGTCGCCCAGGCTGGAGTGCAGTGGTGCAATCTCGGCTCTCTGCAAGCTCCGCCTCCCGGGTTCACGCCATTCTCCTGCCTCAGCCTCCTGAGTAGCTGGGACTACAGGCACCCGCCACCACGCCCGGCTAATTTTTTGTATTTTTAGTAGAGACGGGGTTTCCCCATGTTAGCCAGGATGGTCTCTATCTCCTGACCTCGTGATCGGCCCGTCTCGGCCTCCCAAAGTGCTGGGATTACAGGCGTGAGCCACCGCCCCCGGCGGCGAAACCCCGTTTCTACTAAAAAAACAAAAATTAGCTGAGTGTGATGGCCTGTGCCTGTGGTCCCAGCTACACGGGAGGCTGAGGTAGGAGAATCGCTTGAACCGGGGAGACGGAGGTTGCAGTGAGCCGAGATCGAGCCACTGCACTCCAGCCTGCGTGATAGAGACTCAGTCTCAAAAAAAAAAAAAGAAGCCAAAAAACTGGACTTCAATTTCCCTAAGCTCCCGTCACTGCAGGAGAGGTGTTGGGAGTGAGTAGAGCTCTTGATCATTTTGACTAGGTTTCTAGTCCATTATAAAAGATCTCTGGCTCTCCTGTTTCCCAATTATCTCTAGTTTAAGGGGTAAAGAGACATAATATGTAATTATACATATGTGTTGGCTTGCACTGGATTTTGTATTTAGTAATAGTGCCTAGTTTTACCCTTTTTGTTGTGTTTGTATATTTATGTAAAAGCATCATATAAACATTTTGTCAGTTTGTTTAGATGGCTTCATCAGTAGGCTATACTCTGTCACATGGATACTGACATCTACTTTGAACTGGATTTTTCCATTCTTCCTTAGATTTGGCTCTTGTGAACTGCCATTCAATACATATTATGTAACTTGCCTGGGTGTAATAATGTGTTTTACAAGCCCCTCCTACAAGATTGTTATGACACATTAATATTCAGGATATGGAGAAGATATTTACATGACAACAGAGAAAGATGAGAATTTTAATTATAAAGTCAAAACTCTCTTATACAACAAGAAAGAAACATTATTAGATTCCAAAATTATTTCCTGTTTTGTCCCCTTGCAGAGGAACAAAACAGATCTGATTCACAATTTGCTGCTAGCAGATATAACATTTTGAGAATCTTTCAATGTGATTTCAACATGTTTTGCCATTGGTGAAAATTTCAAAGCACTGGATCCAAGATTCCACCAGTTTATCCCTCCTCCAACCCCATCTCACCCAACATCATCACAATTTCTAAGTTTCTAAAAAAAAAAAAATGCTTGTAAAGTTTCTAAAAAATGAAAATAGTAAAAACCAACTTCTCCACTCAGCAACTAGCTGGAGAGTTATTTGTTTTGTTCACTTTCAAGTTCCTGTGTAACAATGTGACCTTTTAAAAAACACACAAATTAGCAGTTTTAATTTGCAATTTCATTCATACTACAGAAATATGGGAATTCTAATAGCATGGGCAATTATCTTGCCCATCTTTGCCCCATCTTATCTTGCTAGTGTATAATGATTGATGTAGAAAAGAGCATAGGTAAATAGGAAACATGACCTATAACTTGTAATTACACTTGTGTTGGTTTGCACTGAATTTGTATTTAGAATTAATGCCTAGCTTTTAACAGTTTGAATTGAGTTTTTGTGCAAAAGAATTATTTTATTTCAGAGAGTCTTTTATGTTTATATGGCTTAATTTGTATCACTATTCAGAAGGTTTGTGTGTTTTTCATAAGTTCCCAGAATAAAGTGAAACTTGCATGTTATTTTTTTAAGTTGAGGATGAAGCAAAATATAGCCAAGGAAGGAATACATCTGCATATTTAATGGCCAAATAAATAAATATAATACAACCACTAAGATTTTCAGGAGTTTACAGTTACTGCAATGATAAAATTTGGTTTGTTTTTCTTTCAGGTTATTCTTTTCTACTTTTTCCTCTGATAGAGCAGTTGAAGCAGTTAAAAGGATTTCTTAAAAAATCTGACAACACTGCACATTTATGCTGAATACATACAGTATCTAATTTAAAGTAAAAGGAACTAAACTTTTTCCCCTCACTTTTGATTCTTAATATTCTTTATCAGCTGGTTGAAGAGTTCCTAGCTCTGACTGTTCATGCTTGCAAATACGAGTTAAAAATACTGTGAGAGTTCATTTAATTTCCACTTAAAATTCACAGGAAGTCATACTTGTTACCAGGAAACACTGTACTTCTTTTAGAGAATATCTAATCCAGATAGGCTAAATTATATCCATTACACTCGATCATGGCTAGTTGGTAAAAGCTGCCAAGGAATACCTTAGCTATTTTTGATGAGTACAACACTTCAGTGGTGTCTCATTTCCATACTGACATAAGGGCTAAACAGGCTTTCTTCAGAAAAACACCTTACAGAAATCTCTGAAGTGTGCTATGCCTAGATCTTCCTTGAGAAAAAGATATTATAGAGATGAAGGAAACTCCAGATATCCCAAGACATGTTACTAAACTTTTTTTCAGAAGATTTCAATAGTATTTGGTAAACTGCAATATCAGAAACTTTGGGTATAATTGAGACCCTGACAATTTTAGAGCTGATTAGTGATTCTGTCACTTGTAAATCTGGTGGTCTGACCACACCTAACAGTATTCAAAAATTTTTAAAAGTCACTGAACAACCTTAAGATGGGGTGAAGTAACAGCACACATTTAAAAAAAATAATTAAAGGTCAGTACCAAAAAGTCTGTCTCTGCTATTCTGCTGAGAGATTCATATGGAGATGGCAGTAGCTGTCACCTATTGTCAAGACTGACTCTCATGAACTCTGATGGACATCAATTCCTTTTCTTCATGTGTAGCTACTAGAAGGAAATCTCCTTTGGAATGCATCTTTCCGAGGATCCAGTGAAGGCAGCAGGCAATAGGACGAACGTGTAGGGAGACATTAGGAGCGTATAAGAAAGTCAAGTAAAAAGCAGCAGACATGAGTTTCTTTAGCAATATCCTTGAAATTATGTTGGTTCAAAAATATTAGCTGGTTTAATTCAGATTTAAATGTATGCTGAGGATCTGCATAGTTAGGATTTAAATTATAAATTGAGTTTATTGCATCTTTTAGACAGTTCTTAAATAGCAGCTTTATGATTGTATTTTTCTTTGTAAGCATATAGGATAAATTAAAATATAAAAATTTATCAACAAATTATATTTACACTAGACATTCTTACTTACTCTGAAGAGAAAAAATTAGGAACAAAATATTTCTTACACATTAATAGAAAATTCTTCTTACCTAAGGTGGCATTTTATTTGAATACTTGAAAGGATGTTATAAAGAATATTAGGAATTTGACTTTGGGAAAGTTGTAATCCATCAAATAGCTGCTGGTTTTCTTATTTCTGTGGTATACTTTGTTGAATCCATATAGATTCTGATATTTTGTTATTTTTATTCCTACTCTATATTTTATTACTTGTTTTTTCTTTAGCTTTTATAAAGTCTCCTCTATGTAGGTTTTCTTAAAATTTCTTATGGTTGATAAAATAGAATGAGTGCAATCTTTGAAGTCAGACAGAACTAGGTTTGAATTTCAGCTGTACTACTTACTACCAGTGTGGTCTTCAACAGGTCACTTAATTTACCAAAGCCTGTTTCTTTATATTATAATATGGAGACAAAAGCAGTTACCTTACACGATTGTTGCAAGCATCCTAGATAGCACATTAAAATCATGGTGAGAGATCTTACATGGTGGCTGGTGGTCTCAGCCTGGCTCACTTTGGCACGTATTATTTATTAATATCAGGGAAGAACACCTGGCCTGAAGGAGAGGTCCAACAGGTCAAAGTCAACTCCAGACTAGATTCTGATTCTTGTTGCTTTAGTGTAACCAACCATCCCAGTTTACCTAGGACAGGGGTAGGGGGGCTGTTCCCAGGATGTGAACTTTCAGTGCTAAAACTAAGAAAGTATTGAGCAAACTGAGATGAACTGGTCACCCGGGATATTTTCTTTACATATTATGAAGGATGAAATGTGAATTTTTGCAAAGGCAGTATGTGTGTCTGACTGTGACATGAATTTAAGCCTACAAGTTTTAAAGACAAGGAGCCACTCAAACTGAGTCCCATGAGATTTGTATACATTGCAGGAAAAAAGTCCTTTCCCCTAGAGGAAAGGGTCTTAATCTAGTTGCCTAACCTGAAAATGAAACCAACCAAGAATGAAATGTATCTGCAAACAACACTGAGCAATTGTAGAGATCATTGCTGCCGTTAGCTTGTAACTTAAGACTTTGAAGTGTGATTTATCTTAGTTTGCAAACTCTAAATTGGGGTGTGATTCTCCAGTTTCCACTAGTAATTAAAGAGTGAAAAGTTTTGTTATTTTAAATATGAAAAAAATATGAGTTCGCAGTACAAAATACTTGTTTTGTACAAATTTTGTACTTCAACCTCCTGAACATTGCTCTATTTTGTACTTGGAAACTAAAAATTGAAGCAAGGAATGGTTTGCAATATCCCAAAGCTCTCCATATACCCTGGTGTTCAAGGCCAAAATTATGTAACCTCTTTGACTAGATGATTTTTAAAGTACTAGGTTTTATCCTAATTACTTTCAGCAGTAATATGCTTGTTTTACTTTCTTGGCTCAGGGCCTTATTACCATGTAAAGATAATTTTCCTTCCTAAACTACTTTGCTACCTCATTAGCAAGTTTAGCAAGATGCCACATACAGGTGGTATGAAGAAAATAACTAGGTCAGGTTGCTTGGTTAGTCCCTTGAGCAGCCCTGGGAGTGCTGTTTTAGTTTAATGTTTGTGTGCATGTTTGTAGAAAAGGAAGAGACAATTTGATGAATAGCTTTGACTCTGTTTTAAACTCAGAGGCAATCCTTATCTTAATTAAAAAGGAATGAGGTCTGGAATGTATTCTAAGATCCAAAGATATATATTCAAACACCCCTAAAGTTTTTAGGCTTTTGGATTGGCCCTATACCAGTGGTTCTCAACCTGGTTACACCTTGGAATCACTAGCAGGATAAAGGAAGGGTGTGGGAGGCAAATACTGATGTCTGGGCATCCATCCCAGACCAACTAAATCTGAATCTCTGTGGATAGACCCAGGCATTTACATTTTTAAAAAAGATTTCTAGGTGATGCTAATATGCTCTTTCTTTCTTTCTTCTCTCTTTTTTTTTTTTTGTTTTTTGAGACAAAGTCTTTCTCTGTCACCCAAGCTGGACCACAGTGGCATGATCTCCGCTCACTGCAACCTCTGCCTCCCATGTCCAAGCCATTCTTTTGCCTCAGCCTACTGAGTAGCGGGGATTACAGGCGCCCGCCACCACATCTGGCTAATTTTTTTTGTATTTCTAGTAGAGACGGGGTTTCACCATGTTGGCCAGGCTGGTCTTGAACTCTTGACCTCAAGTGATCTTCCTGCCTTGGCCTCCAAAAGTGCTGGGATTATAGGCATGAGCCACCATGCCTGGCCTAATATGCTCTTTCTAACAGCTATAATGACTCTAATGGATTGAAATATTCAAGGGAAAAATAGTTCCAGAATGCCAGGCAATGTATAGTAGCTTCAAATAATTATACTGAGATTAGAACCTACATTCGATTTTAAGGAGGTTCTTGTTTCACTTTCCTGGGAACCCTCTTACCTGCACTTCCAGGGAGAAGTGTGAAGTATATGCACACTTAACAGCATATTCTTCTTTTGTGAATGTACTAAATGTAGGTCCACACAAGGGCCAGGGTATGAAGACAAGCAAGGTGTTTATCTTTATTCCTCCCCAGTGACTTTTCCCAGACAAAACTCTACTAGAACCACATTGGAACTTGAAAGGAAGTACTTATCATATATGGAAACTGGGAATCTAGGCTGCCTTCCTTGGATTTTTAATGTAGAGTAATGAGGAAGCTAAGGGGAATAGATCTCATAGGAATAAAGAGAAACATGAACCTTGGGGATGGGCTCACTACAAGGGAAGGAGGGGAAAGGGAGGAATAGAAAACATAGAAAACAATAATAAAGAAAACAATAATATAAAAAGCCACTTTTGCTTTCTCCTCCCCTAAATAAACAACATAAACAACAAACAACCAGTTTCAACAATCAGTAGCTTGAGGGAAAGCTAAATTATTTAAAGATTGAATGTAAAAGACTGCAATTTAATTGATAACTCACCTTGGCCTATGAAAATGACAAGGAAACAAAATGGCAGTATGCTCAAATTATTACTTGGCTATCTAGGTCTTATAAATCTCCAATACAGGAAAATAAGAGGCAATAAGAACAAACCTGCTATCTGGATAGCCCCAGAAGGGTTTTTCTATTTCTTTTTTTTTTAATTTTATTATTATTATACTTTAAGTTTTAGGGTACATGTGCACAACGTGCAGGTTTGTTACATATGTATACATGTGACATGTTGGTGTGCTGCGCCCATTAACTCGTCATTTAGCATTAGGTATATCTCCTAATGCTATCCCTCCCCTCTCCCCCCAACCCCACAACAGTCCCCGGTGTGTGATATTCCCCTTCCTGTGTCCATGTGTTCTCATTGTTCAATTCCCACCTATGGGTGGGAACATGCGGTGTTTGGTTTTTTGTCCTTGTGATAGTTTGCTGAGAATGATGGTTTCCAGTTTCATCCATGTCCCTACAAAGGACATGAACTCATCATTTTTTATGGCTGCATAGTATTCCATGGTGTATATGTGCCACATTTTCTTAATCCAGTCTATCGTTGTTGGACATTTGGGTTGGTTCCGAGTCTTTGCTATTGTGAATAGTACCACTATAAACATACATGTGCATGTGTCTTCATGGCAGCATGATTTATAATCCTTTGGGTATATACCCAGTAATGGGATGGCTGGGTCAAATGGTATTTCTAGTTCTAGATCCCTGAGGAATCGCCACACTGACTTCCACAATGGTTGAACTAGTTTACAGTCCCACCAACAGTGTAAAAGTGTTCCTATTTCTCCACATCCTCTCCAGCACCTGTTGTTTCCTGACATTTTAATGATCGCCATTCTAACTGGTGTGAGATGGTATCTCATTGTGGTTTTGATTTGCATTTCTCTGATGGCCAGTGATGATGAGCATTTTTTTATGTGTTTTTTGGCTGCATAAATGTCTTCTTTTGAGAAGTGTCTGTTCGTATCCTTCGCCCACTTTTTGATGGAGTTGTTTGTTTTTTTCTTGTAAATTTGTTTGAGTTCATTGTAGATTCTGGATATTAGCCCTTTGTCAGATGAGTAGATTGCAGAAATTTTCTCTGATTCTGTAGGTTGCCTGTTCACTCTGATGGCAGTTTCTTTTGCTGTGCAGAAGCTCTTTCATTTAATTAGATCCCATTTGTCAACTTTGGCTTTTGTTGCCATTGCTTTTGGTGTTTTAGACATGAAGTCCTTGCCCATGCCTATGTCCTGAATGGTATTGCCTAGGTTTTCTTGTAGGGTTTTTATGGTTTTAGGTCTAACATTTAAGTCTTTAATCCATCTTGAATTAATTTTTGAATAAGGTGTAAGGAAGGGATCCAGTTTCAGCTTTCTACATATGGCTAGCCTGTTTTCCCAGCACCATTTATTAAATAGGGAATCCTTTCCCCATTGCTTGTTTTTGTCAGTTTTGTCAAAGATCAGATAGTTGTAGATATGTGGCATTATTTCTGAGGGCTCTGTTCTGTTCCATTGGTCTATATCTCTGTTTTGGTACCAGTACCATGCTGTTTTGGTTACGGTAGCCTTGTAGTATAGTTTGAAGTCAGGTAGCGTGATGCCTCCAGCTTTGTTCTTTTGGCTTAGGATTGACTTGGCGATGCGGGCTCTTTTTTGATTCCATATGAACTTTAAAGTAGTTTTTTCCAATTCTGTGAAGAAAGTCATTGGTAGCTTGATGGGGATGGCATTGAATCTATAAATCACCTTGGGCAGTATGGCCATTTTCACGATATTGATTCTTCCTACCCATGAGCATGGAATGTTCTTCCATTTGTTTGTATCCTCTTTTATTTCATTGAGCAGTGGTTTGTAGTTCTCCTTGAAGAGGTCCTTCACATCCCTTGTAAGTTGAATTCCTAGGTATTTTATTATCTTTGAAGCAATTGTGAATGGGAATTCACTCATGATTTGGCTCTCTGTTTGTCTGTTATTGGTGTATAAGAATGCTTGTGATTTTTGTACATTGATTTCGTATCCTGAGACTTTGCTGAAGTTGCTTATCAGCTTGAGGAGATTTTGGGCTGAGACGATAGGGTTTTCTAGATATACAATCATGTCATCTGCAAACAGGGACAATTTGACTTCCTCTTTTCCTAATTGAATACCCTTTATTTCCTTCTCCTGCCTGATTGCCCTGGCCAGAACTTCCAACACTATGTTGAATAGGAGTGGTGAGAGAGGGCATCCCTGTCTTGTGCCCATTTTCAAAGGGAATGCTTCCAGTTTTTGCCCATTCAGTATGATATTGGCTGTGGGTTTGTCATAAATAGCTCTTATTATTTTGAGATACGTTCCATCAATACCTAATTTATTGAGAGTTTTTAGCATGAAGGGTTGTTGACTTTTGTCAAAGGCCTTTTCTGCATCTATTGAGATAATCATGTGGTTTTTGTCTTTGGTTCTGTTTATATGTTGGATTACATTTATTGATTTGCATATGTTGAACCAGCTTTGCATCCCAGGGATGAAGCCCACTTGATCATGGTGGATAAGCTTTTTGATGTGCTGCTGGATTCGGTTTGCCAGTATTTTATTGAGGATTTTTGCATCAATGTTCATCAAGGAGATTGGTCTAAAATTCTCTTTTTTGGTGTGTCTCTGCCAGGCTTTGGTATCAGGATGATGCTGGCCTCACAAAATAAGTTAGGGAGGATTCCATCTTTTTCTATTGATTGGAATAGTTTCAGAAGGAATGGTACCAGCTCCTCTTTGTAACTCTGGTAGAATTCGGCTGTGAATCCATCTGGTCCTGGACTTTTTTTGGTTGGTAAGCTATTGATTATTGCCTCAATTTCAGAGCCTGTTATTGGTCTATTCAGAGATTCAACTTCTTCCTGGCTTAGTCTTGGGAAGATGTATGTGTCGAGGAATTTATCCATTTCTTCTAGATTTTCTAGTTTATTCGCGTAGAGGTGTTTATAGTATTCTCTGATGGTAGTTTGTAGTTCTGTGGGATCAGTGTTGATATCCTCTTTATCATTTTTTATTGCATCTATTTGATTCTTCTCTCTTTTCTTCTTTATTAGTCTTGCTAGCAGTCTATCAATTTTGTTGAGCTTTTCAAAAAACCAGCTCCTGGATTCATTAATTTTTTGAAGGGTTTTTTGTGTCTCTATTTCCTTCAGTTCTTCTCTGATCTTAGTTATTTCTTGCCTTCTGCTAGCTTTTGAATGTGTTTGCTCTTGCTTCTCTAGTTCTTTTAATTGTGATGTTAGGGTGTCAATTTTAGACCTTTCCTGCTTTCTCTTGTGGGCATTTAGTGCTATAAATTTCCCTCTACACACTGCTTTGAATGTGTCCTAGAGATTCTGGTATGTTGTGTCTTTGTTCTCGTTGGTTTCAAAGAACATCTTTATTTCTGCCTTCATTTCATTATTTACCCAGTAGTCATTCAGGAGCAGGTTGTTCAGTTTCCATGTAGTTGAGCAGTTTTGAGTGAGTTTCTTAATCCTGAGTTCTAGTTTCATTGCACTGTGGTCTGAGAGACAGTTTTTTATAATTTCTGTTCTTTTACATTTGCTGAGGAGTGCTTTACTTCCAACTATGTGGTCAATTTTGGAGTAGGTGTGGTGGGGTGCTGAGAAGAATGTATATTCTGTTGATTTGGGGTGGAGAGTTCTGTAGATGTCTATTAGGTCCGCTTGGTGCAGAGCTGAGTTCAATTCCTGGGTATCCTTGTTAACTTTCTGTCTCATTGATCTGTCTAATGTTAACAGTGGGGTGTTAAAGTCTCCCATTATTATTGTGTGGGAGTCTAAGTCTCTTTGCAGGTCACTCAGGACTTGCTTTATGAATCTGGGTGCTCCTGTATTGGGTGCTTATATAGTTAGGATAGTTAGCTCTTCTTGTTGAATTGATCCCTTTACCATTTTGTAATGGCCTTCTTTGTCTCTTTTGATCTTTGTTGGTTTCAAGTCTGTTTTATCAGAGACTAGGATTGCAACCTCTGCTTTTTTTTGTTTTCCATTTGCTTGGTAGATCTTCCTCCATCCCTTTATTTTGAGCCTATGTGTGTCTCTGCATGTGAGATGGGTTTCCTGAATAGAGCACACTGATGGGTCTTGAGTGTTTATCCAATTTGCCATTCTGTGTCTTTTAATTGGAGCATTTAGCCCATTTACATTTAAAGTTAATATTGTTATGTGTGAATTTGATCCTGTCATTATGATGTTAGCTATTTATTTTGCTCATTAGTTGATGCAGTTTCTTCCTAGCCTTGATGGTCTTTACAATTTGGCATGTTTTTGCAGTGGCTGGTACCAGTTGATCCTTTCCATGTTTAGTGCTTCCTTCAGGAGCTCTTTTAGGGCAGGCCTGGTGGTGACAAAATCTCTCAGCATTTGCTTGTCTGTAAAGGATTTTGTTTCTCCTTCACTTATGAAGCTTAGTTTGGCTGGATATGTGATTCTGGGTTGAAAATGCTTTTCTTTAAGAATGTTGAATATTGGTCCCCACTCTCTTCTGGCTTGTAGAGTTTCTGCCGAGAGATCAGCTGTTAGTCTGATGGGCTTCCCTTTGTGGGTAACCCGACCTTTCTCTCTGGCTGCCCTTAACACCTTTTCCTTCATTTCAACTTTGGTGACTCTGACAATTATGTGTCTTGGCGTTGCTCTTCTGGAGGAGTATCTTTGTGGCGTTCTCTGTATTTCCTGAATTTGAATGTTGGCCTGCCTTGCTAGATTGGGGAAGTTCTCCTGGATAATATCCTGCAGAGTGTTTTCCAACTTGGTTCCATTCTCCCCGTCACTTTCAGGTACACCAGTCAGATGTAGATTTGGTCTTTTCACATAGTCCCATATTTCTTGGAGGCTTTGTTCGTTTCTTTTTATTCTTTTTTCTCTAAACTTCTCTTCTCACTTCATTTCATTCATTTCGTCTTCCATCACTGATACCCTTTCTTCCAGTTGATTGCATCAGCTACTGAGGCTTCTGCATTTGTCAGGTAGCTCTCGTGCCTTGGTTTTCAGCTCCATCTGGTCCTTTAAGGACTTCTCTGCAATGGTTATTCTAGTTATCCATTTGTCTAATTTTTTTTCAAAGCTTTTAACTTCTTTGCTGTTGGTTCAAATTTCCTCCTGTAGCTCGGAGTAGTTTGATCATCTGAAGCCTTCTTCTCTCAACTCGTCAAAGTCATTCTCTGTCCAGCTTTGTTCCATTGCTGGTGAGGAGCTGCGTTCCTTTGGAGGAGGAGAGGCGCTCTGCTTTTAGAGTTTTCAGTTTTTCTGCTTTGTTTTTTTCCCATCTTTGTGGTTTTATCTACCTTTGGTCTTTGATGATGGTGACGTGCAGATGGTTTTTTGGTGTGGATGTCCTTTCTCTTTGTTAGTTTTCCTTCTAACAGACAGGGCCCTCAGCTGCAGGTCTGTTGGAGTTTGCTAGAGGTCCACTCCAGACCCTGTTTGCCTGGGTATCAGCAGAGGTGGCTGCAGAACAGCGGATATTGGTGAACCGCAGATGCTGCTGCCTGATCGTTCCTCTGGAAGTTTTGTCTTAGAGGAGTACCCGGTCATGTGAGGTGTCAGTCCGCCCCTACTCGGGGGTGCCTCCCAGTTAGGCTACTCGGAGGTCAGGGACCCACTTGAGGAGGCAGTCTGCCCGTTCTCAGATCTCAAGCTGCATGCTGGGAGAACCACTACTCTCTTCAAAGCTGTCTGAGAGGGACATTTAAGTCTGTAGAGGTTACTGCTGTCTTTTTGCTTGTCTGTGCCCTGCCCCCAGAGGTGGAGCCTACAGAGTCAGGCAGGCCTCCTTGAGCTGTGGTGGGCTCCACCCAGTTCGAGCTTCCCAGCCGCTTTGTTTACCTAATCAAACAACTAACTCGGCAATGGCAGGTGCCCCTCCCCCAGCCTCGCTGCCGCCTTGCAGTTTGATCTCGGACTGCTGTGCTAGCAATGAGCAAGACTCCGTGGGCGTAGAACCCTCCGAGCCAGCTGTGGGATATAATCTCCTGGTGTGCCGTTTTTTAAGCCCATTGGAAATCACAGTATTAGGGTGGGAGTGACCTGATTTTCCAGGTGCCGTCTGTCACCGCTTTCTTTGACTAGGAAATGGAATTCCCTGACCCCTTGCCTTTCCTGGGTGAGGCGATGCCTCACCCTTCTTCGGCTCACGCACAGTGTGCTGCACCCACTGTCGTGCACCTACTGTCTGGCACTCCCCAGTGAGATGAACCCTGTACCTCAGTTGGAAATGCAGAAATCACCCATCTTCTGCATCGTTCACGCTGGGAGCTGTAGACTGGGGCTGTTCCTATTCAGCCATCATGGCTCCTCCCCCTGGGTTTTCCTATTTTCTAAGGTCCAAGAATAGTGGTGACAGAATGTGATATACTGAGAGGGGAAGTAGAGGGAAGACAAAATAATTAAAAACAGACCATAAAAAGTTTTTAAAGACAGCAACATAGGGTAGTTAGTTAAATTTTGAGCAATATTAACAAGGGTTTCGGTTTTGTTGGGCTTAATTTTGTTCCCTTTAAAACACACACACACACACACACACACACACACACACACACACACACAAAACCGGTGCCAGTTGAAGGGATGGAAGAAGAAATAAGGCACCCTTCCTACATGCAGGGAGCTAATTTCTTATTAGAAAGCATATTTTAACACAGAAGAAATATAGAATAATTTAAAAACAATATAAACTATAAGTAAGTGATCTCTTATTTTTATATTGTTTAGTTTTCTAATTATGAAAGTGATAATGCAGGCCAGGCATGGTGGCTCACACCTGTAATCCCAGCACTTTGGGAGGCCAAGGTGGGGGGATCACTTGAGGTCAGGCATTTGAAACCAGCCTGACCAACATGGTGAAATCCCGTCTCTACTAAAAATACAAAAATTAGCTGGGCATGGTGGCACATGCGTGTAATCCCAGCTACTCCGGAGGCTGAGACAGGAGAATGGCTTCAACCCGAGAGGCGGAGGTTGTAGTGAGCCAAGATCATGCCACTGTACTCCAGCCTGGGTGATAGAGTGAGACTCTTTATCAAACAAACAAACAAACAAACAAACAAACAAAAACGGAAGTGATAATTCCTATTGTGAAGAAGTTAGGAGTCAAAGAATAGTATAGAAAGGAAAATGACAATCAACCCCTCATCCCTGAGCTCTTGCTATTTTGAGTTCCAGGGCATCCTCCCTTTTGTCTTCAATCTCTCTCTGCACTGACTCCTTTTTCTCAGTCTATAAATGTCAGCTCTCCCTATCTCACCTTCACCATTACTACTGAGGGGTAATTGCACCTACAACTTATGGTTGTGCAATAAATGAATTAATATAGGTAAAATGTTTCTAGCAATACCCAGCATGTAGTAAACAGTACAAGTGTTAGTTATTTTTAAATTTATTATTTTTAAACAAATGAAGAAAAAAAATCTTGTCCTCCTTTAACCACTGTTATATCTTTTCCTATCCCTTAGTTCCTTAACCTCTGCTTACACCATACTCTTCTTACCCCATTGCTGTTTGATTTCTGCTGTGGCCTTGTAGAAGTTCCTAACCCACAATTAATATCTTACTTGAGTGTTTTTCCAGCTCAGCTGAATCTCCACAGTCACCTCCACATCTTCCCAGCATCCACCTGCCTCACAGAGCTGGTCAATCTGATGTCAGATCTGGTCCTTTTTTATCTTGTTTGGAAGTAAAAACTCAATCTTTAGAAACAGTTGCTAAGCTCTGTTATCGCCCATCAAACTTTACCACTGAACTAGACAAAAACCTTTCTGTGTGTCTATCTACCCAGACCTAATCAATTCCCAGTATGTATGCACTTACTCTACAGTGTTTATCATTATCTGCCTGGTATTACCATAATTATTGTGTATCTGTCCTCCCCACCAGATAAGTGACAGTGACCCATGATGTTTTCCTTTGTATCTCAAGAGCCTGTTTCATGAATATTTGTCAAATTGACTTGAAGTTCTGGGGATATGGCTTAAAGCACTTACTATTTAATACCCTGTGTTTTAATTATTAAGGTAAATGTTTTCACTTCTCTACTATATTTTAAGGTCCATGAGAGTTGGGAATCTGCCTTCTTCAGCTTTGATTACTATGCAGTGCTCAAAACTGTGTCCTGCATATACTGATGCTCCCTAAATATTAATTCTGAAATAACAATTACCTTTGTAGAGCACTTTACATTTTATCCAGCTCTCCTGCATGGATTAACTCACTGAGCCTCACAATGAGCCCCTAAGATAAGTCCCTATTGGGCAAAAAAGGAAACAGGCTCAGTAGTGTTACAAGGCTAATGAAAGGAACAAGGGCTCAAGTCTAAGTTTCCTGATTTTAGATGCCCCCTGCTTTCTCTACTGTACCCTTCTGCCTATAGAACAGAATGTAATGTCATTTCATGTAAATAGTTCTTCCTATGATTGAGCAGAACGGAGAATATCTGGCTGGAGGTACCAGATCAGCTTTGTGGAAGAGGTGGGGGCTTGTTTGAGAAGGGCTTGGAAACATTGGGCATGCAGCATGCTAGAGAGAAGATAAGTGATCTTTTGTAACTATAGTACACGGAGAGACAAGTCTTGCATTAAAATT
This sequence comes from Homo sapiens, assembly GCF_000001405.40. NCBI lineage: Eukaryota > Metazoa > Chordata > Mammalia > Primates > Hominidae > Homo > Homo sapiens. The sequence continues at coordinate 70,315,287 of NC_000006.12, read as the reverse complement.
AGTTTCACTATTTCTCATTTGAGAAAACAGTAGTACTTGGGTTTCACATAAAGTGTTTATTTTTAAAGGTAACACATGAATTGCAACTGTACAAATTACAGTTGAATTCACAGCCAGTGTAATTCTGGACACAGAGTAATAGGAATGAACATGGAGGGCTCTTTAGGCAACACAGCAAAGCCTGGAGGCTTTTTGAAATCCCTCAATTGCTTTAAAAAAAGGTCTTTTTATGGTTATTTATAATCCAACCAGGGTCAACTAACTTGTTTTTTTCTTTTCTTTTCAAATAACTACTCACAATAACATACCAACAATCTATTATTTAGCCTCTGGATATAATATTAAAGTTATTTATTTCTTGTTTCCTGTGTTTATGGTGTGTGTTTATGGACGACTTTATTATGGTACAAATCCATAGCCAAATGACATTTTCCAATATTGTACCAAGAGACAGATTTCTACTGATTACTCCTGTGATTCTTGTAATAACATTTTACACGTTCAACAGTGTCCTATCAGATAACAAAGCTTAAAAGAACATCTATAGTGATGGAAGCCTTGTGGGGCTGCAATTTCTCTACATCTGCTTCTGAAACCAGTGCTACATAGTAGGTTATGCTTGGCAAGGCCAATAATTCTAGGTCATTTATTCTTTTATTGCTTTTTCACTATTTTGTTCTACTTGACTGAAGAGGTTTTAGGAAATTCACCACGGGCATGCTGATTTCCACTGGAGTTGCTGCAGCTACATTCTGCATTTTTCCCTGTCTCCCTTTGGCTCCACTTGAGAGCTCATTTCACTGTTCAGAGCAACTTCAATTTCAAATCTTTTCCCTGCACATAACGCATCTCCCATTCTTGGCACTATGCCCTCGTTCTTGCAGCTTGAAGCCCTCTCTTAGTATATACCCAAGATTCTCCTCGATCTTTATTTTTTTTTTAAAGTAATGTGTACTTTATTTACCCATCAGCTTTCCTCCAAGGAAATGAAAGCATTGCTCTCTGCCTATGCCATTAACCCTTCCTAGCACCAAACTTCAGCAAGCTTAGTAGCCTGTTACTAGTATTAACAGAAAAAAAGAATGGTAATTTAAGTGACAGCAAATGACTTTTTACATCCTAATGAAGACATCTTGCCTCTTTTCCCTTGACATTGACATCAGGGCACCTGGTGTTCTTTATGTCTTGATGGAATCTCTAAATAGAGAATCCGTTGTGGGCCAAAATAAGGGTTCTCCTAGAACTGTGTTGTTCTGTAATCAAAATCCAAATTTTCAGATTTTCCACTGTAGCAGATGAATTGTTGATTTAATTTTCAGTAGCAAAATATTAATATGAAAGGTAGGCTAATGTAAGAAAGTCATAAACATTTTTGGCATATTATTTGCTTACTAAATATTGTTTAATAACATGCATTTTCTCAACTTCTGGGTTGATGGCACGCAATATTTTCAAAAAAGCTAAGTTATGTTTGAAACGTAATTAATTACACTCCATGCATTTTCAAGCCTCTGAGCTTTTGTTCACATTATTCCAACTGCCTTGTAAAACTTTCTATCTTTTTTTGCCTGTAAAATAGGATTCATTCTTTAGGGTCAAGCTAAGGTTACTTCCTCTGTGAAACACTTTTGAATCCTTCTGGAGAGTATCAGTCATTTTGCCTTTCTGTCTCTAGAGTACTGTTTATGGTTCTACTTTCTTTTGGGGAGTCCTTTTAGGCCAAAGTGTGTTCCATAGTTTTGGGGTGTGTGGGTGTCCCGCCTACTTCCTTGAGGACAGAGAAGACATTATTTGGCTCTGAAAGTCTCCTTAGTAGCCAGCACTGTGCTTTAAATACGATGTTTGTTGAAGTTTGACTGCCTAGGAATATACAAAATGATTGACTGCGGTAGGTAATAAATGAAGCATGGGAGAGATTGTAATCAAGATCCCTAATGTGTGAGAATTTAGAAGCTGAGACAAATTTACATACGGATAGAACCTCAGGGAAATATAGAAAAAAATACCAGAAATACATAAAAAATTCACAAATGCTCTATAAATCGAGTCAATAATAAAGAGTTTATATAAAGTCCAGGACACTCACACAGGAATGATCACTCTCCATGAGATATTTTGTATGAGAGAATTTTAGCACTACTTTTTTGTAGCTTTTAGCAAAGCATTAGTAGGGTAAGCCCTTGGACAATTACAGCACCAAGTTGGTGATTAGTACAAGGGCAAGTCTTCTTAGTAAGTCTTGAAGTTTTCCAGCTTGAGAGTTTATGAAGAAAAGACAGTAATAGTGAACAATTAGATGCAGAGTGAAGCGGGGACTGTCCTTAAACACATGTATGTGTGTGCATGTGTGTGTGTGTGTGCATGTGCATGTATGCATACTCAGAATATGACAAATTATAGGAAGAACATCAGCTTTGATGTTAGAGAAACCAACGTTTGGTTTTGGCCTGCCATTTGGAATTTCCCTTAGCAAGTTATTTAACGTCTTTGAACCTTACTTGCCTCACCTGTAAAATAGCAAAAATAATGAATGATATACATAAAAAATATATATATTTTAAAAAGTATGAAGTATAGTTTCTGACATTTCCTCCTTACACTGCACTTCTAGAAAAAGTCCTGAGAGCCCTGGCGAGGCCCTTGGCCAGGACAGGCTGAAATAATATGAATCGTGATTCTGTTCCTCCTCTGTCACTATCCTGGTACTGCCTGTCTGCCTTTCCATCTCTGCTGCTCCACCCTGGACTGACCACTCTCTGGAATCACTATAAGTATGCTAATGCTAGAGCCTTTCAGTTTGTCGTGGCTCTAAGTCGAGTCTTTAAGAACAAAGGCTCTTTCTCACCTGCCCACATGTCAGTTGCTACTGCTATTCCTGGAGTTAGTCATGGTTTCAGAGATATTTGGATTTAAGAAACGATAGGAGGCAGGACTCTCCTGTGGTTGCCCTTTGGTGCCACTGGAATGTCTACACATGCCTTTGTGGTTTTGTGGTTAGGTGGTTGGCTTCAAATTTATAGTCCCACATGGCTTTGGGTGAGAAAAAGAATGTCTTTCAAAAACCAAGACCTGCTGGAAGAACCTCTCCCAGTTACTCAGTGTCTCTTTCTCTATAGTTGTTTTCTCTCTCAAGGTTACAGCAGTTAGAATTAAAAGCTATAATCTTGACTTCAAGGCAAAGTTCTTACATCTGGGTTTTGCTATCTTTTTATATGTGCTATATGATTGCATTTAAATTTTGTGAAAGCACGTGCATGAGTGTTTTAAGTAGTGTGCATTTAAGGAAGTTGTAAAACTGTGTAGAGTATGACCACAGCTTGTATGTAGAAAAGGGACTGGAAGAAAACATCTTAAAATGTTAATAGCGAGTTGTCTCTGGGTGGTGAGACTATGTTTTTTTCTCTTTCTTCTATTTCTGTATTTTCCACTTTTCCAAAATGTTCGTATATTACTTCTTTAACATTTAATTTTTGTGGGTATGTAATAGGTATATATATTTATGGGGTATATGAGATATTTTGATACATGCATACAATAAGTACTAATCATAGGGTAAATGGGGTATCCATAATTTCAAGCACTTATCCTTTGTGTTACAAACAATCCAGTTGTACTCTTTTAGTTATTTTAAAATGTGCAATTAAATTATTATTGACTATAGTCATCCTGTTTTATTACCAAATATATATCTTACTTTTAAATACAATACATGTTACCAAATACATATATTACTTTTCCATATAATATTTTAAAATGAAGAAACCAATTATATACATGTATACACACATTTATGTATATATACACATATGTATACATATACATATGTGTGGTGTGTATGTGTGTGTGTGTATATACATATATATATATATATGTATATACACATATGTCCCCAAAAGGGGACTAATCAGTAGGCATCGGTCCTCCTGTATGCAGTGTTTTGTAAATAGCTGTTTGACTGGTTCACCAGTGATTACTGGAGTTGCCTTTTATTTGTATCTGTTCAGGAGTCAGTCAGTAGATTTGTCACATATAACCATGAACTCATACAGGTCTCTTCACCTGTTTCTTCACCAGGAAAACAGGAGAGTCACATCTGTCCTGCTGGATTGTTGCGAGGTACAAATGAGACTGTGATGAGAAATGTTCTTGAAAAACCATATAGTATTATGAGAGGGAAAGTATTATTGATGAGAAGAGCTTGAAGGACTTATCAAGGGCAGTATTACAGGAGGAAGAATCATAAAAGTGTAGCAAACAGACAAAGATGTGCATATGGAAGGGAGAAGGGGGCTTTCAATTGATTTACCTTGCTATCTATAATGGGTTTTTTGAGTAGTTGTATATTGTCTAGGATAGTTTTTAGTATTTAGCACAGCCACACTCTTCTAAGATCTAAATGAACCACCATTTACTGGACAGATTGGGGTTGAATCAAAGAAGAAAGCAGAGGAGAGTGAGTTATAAGAAAAATTGTAGCTAAAATTTATTGAGTGCCAGGTACTGTTTTTGGCTCTAGTTTGATCCTTATAGTATACCTATAAGGTAAGTGCTTTCATTACTCATTTTTACAGATAAATAAGATGAGTCAGAAAGGTTAATTACCTCTCCATGGTCTCCCAGCTAGAAAGTGGTAGAGCTGAGATTTGAACCTAAGCAATCTGGTTCCAGAGCCCACATTCTTAACCTTGAGTTTGGCTCTGTTTAGTTATAAGGCTGAAATTGGTGGTGGTTAGTGAGGTCAGAGTGGATGGCTCATCTATGAAGGCAGAGTTAATTTTAATCTTTCGTTTAGTGTCTTTCTCCTTCAGTAGGCTCTCATGAACCTCAGGGTGCATTGTATTTGCACATTTTTTTGAGAGGAACCCTAAAAAGAAGTCAATTACAATACTTCAATTTATACATATGGAAAATAACCAAGAATGAAATATTTTCTTAAAATCAAAGTTATCTACTTGAAGACTGGAAATCAAATTCGTCTTTGATGCCTTAGCTTAGGTTTCAAATTTCAGGATTATACTGCCACCTAGTGCAGAGAAAACATTTTCCCAGCATGTGAAAGCTAGTAAATGCATATGAAACTTCATAGATGCAACCTAAAACAAGGTATATTTAAAGTTTATTTCATAAAAGAGAACGAGGTATTTGAGAAGCAATGACCTTTTTACATTTTATTGGTAAAGGTTAACGTGCAATTCAGGTACACACTTTTATTAGTAGTAGTAGGTTGTTAAAGGACAATAGTGCAGAAGAGAAGGCTTAGGTTTCTATACTTCATTCTGCCATGTAAATTTCCTTAATTAATGTCTAGTAAGGAAATCAATACAATTTCCTTTCATGAGATCAAAAGTTCTCAGTAGGAGTTATGGGTTCAACTGATAATTATTTTAAAATTTTATTAAACAAATACTCATACACTTACAGTCTACAAGTCAATGCCAATTGTAACAAAGGAGAGGTAGCCTAACGGTGTTGAAAACATGACCTATATGGGCAGCACTTCTCAGTGGATCAGCAGGAGATTGGCATCACCTGGGAGCTTGCTAGAAATGCAAATTCTCAGACTGATCTTCAATATCCTGAACCAGAACCTCTGGGGGTAATGCCCAGGAGTATGTTTTTAACAAGCCATGAAATTGTGGTAAGAAATGGTCTTGGAAAACCATAGAGCATTATGAAAGGGAAGGTATTATTGATGAGACAAGATTCAGGGCTTTACAGTAGGTAAAGAAACATACTGATTGGGCCAATAAGTGTGTTTCATTGAAGGGAGCAAAAGAGGCTTAGGACATGAATCAGCTGCTGTAGACCTAAGACTCACAAGGCAGCAAATGCAGCAACAGCTCCTGGAAGCACGTGTGCTATGGAGGGGAATTGATTTTTCTCCTCCTTGGGGAGATGGAAATGCTCATACTTTAGAGAGAGCAAAAGTAATATGCTGAAAAGCTTAGGAGTGGGGGAATTTTACATTAAATGACCTGTTTTTGTATTAATGTTCTATGGTGAGAACACATTTGTTTGTGAGTGATTTCAGAGAAAAAACGGCCATGGGCTCTATGTGCTTGCTATAGATGATTAGGCTACAATTACAAGTATTGGGCCAAAATAAGAAGATTAAAAATAGAGCTTTGATTATGGTGAAATTTCTTTACAGTAAAACTGAACCCAATGTAAAACTGTGGGAGTCCTAGTTTTAGCAACTCTAATTGTTAATCAGCCTCTCAGCCAGAGATTTCTGTGATAAATTTCAGGCTCTAGCTGTGACTAATTTGCAGCATCCTCACACAACTGGTAGGTGCCATTAGGCATCTTGGGTCTTTTATTTTAAAGTAAAGATAGATGGAATAAAGCTTAAAATTAAATACCATTAGGAAGCTAGTTTTAAAAATACTTCTTCTTTAATTTAACCTATGAACTCATTAAATATGGGGGTTGTGGTATGTTTAATTAAAACTCTCAATTTACAGCTACTTCAAAAGAATGTTTTAAAAAATATATATAGTCATGTTAAAACTAAGGAACTTGCCCTACTATTCTATGAGTTTCATGGGGCATCCCAACTATTGTGCCCATACCAGGAAACAAGGGGAAAGAGATCCTTTGGCACTTCTAGTGTCTACTCTTTTCTAATCGAATGTTTTTTAAGCCATGAGTTGTAACCCATCAGTTGGTCCTGAAATGTACTCACTGATTTGGTTATCATCACTCAAAAATGAAATATAATAAAACAGAAAATAGAATATATTACATTTATTTATTTATTTTTTAACTAAGAAAACATAATTTTAATCATGGTAAACTTTGTTCAATTCCTGTGTCCACTGTGCACATTCTTCAAAACTGTTTTGGTTTTGTTATTAATTTCCTTTGAAATTTTTCTCATGCAAGACTTTCAGAATCTTGTTTACACACATGCACACACACACATAATTAGGATAGCAAAATGTTCATAGATGCTGTAAAGTTGTGTGAATTCTATTTTTAAAATAAAAAAATGTACATATTACTATAAAAATAACTTCTCCCCCTTGTGGCAAAAATTGAAAATACATTCTACTGGAGAACTGTAAGAGAGGCACTTAGGTATTATTCCTTATAAAATATTTTCACATAACTTCATGTGAATCCCCCATGTTATCCTCTAAATGGTACACAGTATTTACAAACAATATGCTTAGAGGTAGCTTCACAGTTTTCTTTACATCCAGCATTGTCCAGACTCTATTTGGATATTTTCTATAGCAAAAAGCTAAAGGTTATTTATTTTTCTAAAAACAGGGACTCACTATGTTGCCCAGAGTGGTCTTGAACTCCTAGGTTCAAGTGTTCTTCCCACCTCAGCCTCCCAAGTAGCTGGGAAGCTGCAGACTTGATAAAAGTGCTACAATAAAAGGCCAGAGTTGAAAGGAACCAGTTACAGTATAAAGATTAAAATGATAGGCAGGCAAAGAGGGATGGCCTCACTTAGAGACACCTGCCAATTTAAGATTACAGGGGCATCAGGAAGGCTTCTCACCTCTCAAAGTTTAATCTCAAAACTCTGGAAGTCCACCATTGGAGACTAATTCCTTTGTTAGTTCTGTCCAATCTTCACTTAGTTTATTAACATAAAGATAACTGGAAGGGATACGACACTTTCCTCATTTAAGATTCCCAATGGTGAAAACAAAGAAAGTCACTCATCGGAGCTATAAATGAAACTTAGCTTTCTTATTCCAGGTTCCTACTTCCTTCCTTAACCTTCCATATTTCCTCCTATTAAGTCACTAGGCACTTATAATTCTACATTTTACTGACCTTTCACTGATTATAAAGTAATTTAATACATTTATATGAGTAACTATTGCTTTCTGAAACTTTTGTTCTGGTTGTGTATCTGTATACGTAGTAATAAAGCCCATTCAATCCATCCTCCAAGCAACACCAGAACTGTCTTTCTAAAGACACATCCAAAAAAGTCATTATTGGCCTCAAACTCTTCTCTCAGTTCCTATAACAGCCAGAATAATGTCTATGCTTTCTTTTGATGTCATTCAAGATCCTTTACCCAACTCCTCCCCCGTGGTCCTCCTACTTGTGATTTCAGAAAGTGACATCACCATCTACTCAGTTGCTCAAGCTCAAAACCAGGTAGTTTTCCTGTCCCCCACCCCTTTTCCAATCTACCCACCAATCTTATCTCTTTATTCTCATCTGGTCTGAGTCAAAATTAACGACTTCAAAGCAGCCTTCCCTAACCCCTCAACCTAGACCAGCTTCTAAACCTTCTACAGACTCTATGACACATTGTCTTCTTTTATATTTTTCATAATGTTTCCACCTGAAATTATTTTGTCTATTCTTGTAAATGTGTTTAGTACCTCTCTTCCCACCAGTGTGTAAGCTGCATAGGGGCAGGGACCTGATCTTTCTCTGGTTGTCTCTCTGGTGTTAAGGTCACTCAGGGAGCATGGTAGAAGAGGCATCAATAGATATTTACCAAATGAAAGGATTCTTTGCTTCCCAAATGTCCTCTTTTACCTTTTTGTTATAGTATCTTCTGTTTTCTCTGTCTAAAACATACTGCACCCACTTATTCTCTTAGTAGCCTTAGTATCCTTCACGATTTCATCTCTTGTATTAAAAATTTCCCGATGCCCTTGGATTATGCTAATACTTGTTCTCAGTGACACTACAGCCTTCTTATTCTCTGAATTGTGGTCGCTTTCATATTGGTCCTCCATGCTGGATTGTCAGCTTCCTCAGGGCAAGGCTGTGTTTATTCACACTTTTTGCTTCCTCACCTCCCAGCACATACTTGATACATATACTACTGTATATAGTTACTCAATACATGATTGAATAAACAAAGGGAAGAAAGCAGATGATCAAGAAAGATGATTATTTGTGATGATGTTCCCCGATTTAAGCTTTAAGTAAATAATATTCTTGATTTATAAGAAGAAGGAGATTAGTGTGTGTGCATTCTGTGAAAAAGTATGTGGGGGAGGGATGAGAGGAGGTACAAAGAAAAGTATAACTGTTCTATACAAAACACTTCTATTTATAAAATGGATCATTTTAAATATTAAGCTGTCTTAGTTCATTTATAATCTGATATGATTGACCACATTTCATTTCTACATGGTTTTTCAGAACCAAACTGTTAGGTAAGGTGAGGAAATAATGCTAAGGGTGAAAAAGCTTATGCGTCTATGACCTTAGGGTGCAACTGACCCAGACCAGAATAGTGTGGCATTTGCACTGCTGTCTGTGAGATTCTAATGTCGCGTTAGGAAACAAGATTAATAGAAAATGGGAGTGGAGGGAGGAAAAAAAATTTCCTTAAATAATATTGTATATATCTTTGTTCTCTCTGGATCGACTTTCTTTTTTGTTTTTTGTTTTTTCTTTTCTTTTTTTTTTGACATAGGGCCTCACTGTCTTGCCTAGGCTGGAGTGCAGTAGTGCAATCACTGCTCACTACAGCCTCAAGCTCCTTAGGCCCAAGAGATCCTCCTGCCTCAGCCTCCTGAGTAGCTGGGACTGGAGGTGTGCATCACTGTGCCCGGCTAATTTTTGTATTTTTTGTAGAGATGGGGTTTCACCATGATGCCCAGGCTTGTCTCCAATTCCTGAGTGCAAGTCATCCGCCTGCCTTTGTCCTCCCAAAGTGCTGGGACTACAGGCATGAGCCACCCTGCCTGGCCTGGATTTACTTTCTTTCTTTTTATTAGTATTATTATTTTTGAGATGGAGTCTCACTCTGTCACCCAGGCTGGAGTGCGGTGGTGTGATCTCGGCTCACTGCAACTTCCGCCTCCTGGGTTCAAACGATTCTCCTGCCTCAGCCTCCCGAGTAGCTGGGACTACAGGCGCGTGCCACCAGGCCTGGCTAATTTTTGTATTTTAGTAGAGATGGGGTTTCACCATGTTGGCCAGGCTGGTCTCGAACTCCTGACCTCAGGTGATCTACCCACCTTGGCCTCCCAAAGTGCTGGGATTACAGGCGTGAGCCACTGTGCCCAGCCTACTTTCTTTCTTAAAATAGCTCTTGCTTGCTCCTACCATCTTAAATAAAACTGCCAAGCTAGAAAAAAGCCACACCACCTATAAGCAAACCTATTTTTCTCTCTATCCTTTCATTTTTAATTAAAAGGCACCCTCACTTGATTTCAAATTCTACTTGAAGAGGATTCATTACAGTGGGAAGGAGAGGGGCAAATGCGGAATTGAGATCTCTAAAGCAATGAAAGGATTTCCCAAACACTTCATTATAATGAAAAATCCCTCTCTCCTTTCTTACCAGAGTAAGTAATATGAGAGGATCAATCATGCAAATAAATAGCTTCAATGGACAGTCCCTTTGGAAAATGCCTTTTCCCCTGTGAATCTCTGGCTGGCTTACCTCCTGTGACTTCAGGATGTCAGGAAGGTCCCCAGCTGCAGTTTCTCCTCTGAGGTTAATAGACCGCTTCTTTCTCATGAGCCCTGACTGACTTAAACAAATAAGCTAAGATCTGGTCATTTGTAGTTCTGTCACAGAGCCAGGATGGCTGCACTAGGGAATGGGAATTTTGATAGACAGAAGGCAAATGACAGGGACTTGTAGAAAGCCCCAAACAGCATGAGGAAATGGGTGTCCCTCTGGGAAAGAGAGACAGGACTCCAACAGGTGGGCTATGAGTAGAAAATAAAAGGGCAAAAGCATGGATATTAAGTTTGCCTGATTTACATTTCATCAGTGAGCTGGGGGAGGCAGAAACTGAAAGGACTTTTTTGGAAAAGAAATAAACAAATGAAAAATAAGAAGCAACGCTATTGTTTTGTAATTAAATAAAAATTAAATCAATTAGAAAACGAAATTTAAAAATTTCAAGAAGCCAGGTGCAGTGGTGCATGACTATCATCCCAGTTACTCAGGAGGCTGAGGTGGGAGAATCCCCTGAGCCCAGAAGTTCAAGGCTGTAGTGAGCTATGATTATGCCACTGTACTCCAGCTTGGGGGACAGAGCGAGACCTGAGACCCTGTCTCTTAAAAAAAAAAAGTTCACCTAAAAATTACTTTGCTTGTACTGTGATTTTTGAGATCATTGGATCTTCTGACCTTTAGAGTCTTGGTTTTTGGAGTAACCACCCGTGTCCCTCAAGACAAGGCCAGAGGTTGGCCATGCTGAGTGGGTGGTAACGGGGGTGATGTGGGGGCTATAGGGAATTCTCTTTAGGTGCTCAGGTTCTGGAGAGACGGCATGGCATGTGTGGTAGCGATGCTGATAACATGCCTCTCTCTAGGTTTGTGCTCCTTGTAATTTGCTCTCACCTTGTTAACGGAGGATAATATGTTGCTTCTTTCCAGATACAGTGTCCTCTGCTCAACTCTGGTAGTCTCAGAGTTTAAGAATAAACAACAAGTAGGGGGCTTGATGTTACATTTTATCAGGATTTCTATCCATGAGGTAGAGAGAGGGAATGTGTATTTAGTAATAGGCATGGCACTTTGAAAAAGTTACTTCATTTTCTGCTTCCTCAACTTTCTTATTTGGAGAATAAGGGTAACTTCAGTCTTACCTTATAATGTTGTTGTGAGAATTAAATGGCATTAAGCTTTGAGCATTTTCAACAGACGGAGGTGCATAATGAAGCGTTAGCTATGAAGACGATGACAAATAATGATTGTTGGGTGTTAGACCCTCTGCCTTTGATACCTCATTTAATTCTCAAAACCATTGTTTTAATGTAAGCATTTTCAATCTGTTTTACAGTTAGGGCATCTAGTTACAGAAAGGTGAAGTAACTCTCTCAAGGACACACAGCTAGTAAGCTTCAGAATAAACAGGGATTGAAACTTAGGTTGATCGGGCACCAAGGCTCCCACGAGTTTCCACACCTCTGCCTCCCAGTGGGCACATTTTTACTGGAACCTCAGCCCTCTGAAAGCTTCCACTGTATTCCTATAGCAGTTCTGAAAGCTGCCATTGTACTCCTATAGCAGATCTAAAAGCATCTACTGTGTTCCTATAGCACCTTGCCTGGATCTTTCTGGTGAATTTCCCCACATCCTGATTTTATTTTTTTCTTTTCAGCAAACTTTCCCCTGTAAATCCCTCCTTCAGTATAACCTTGTTAGCTTTGAGGACACACCCCTAGGCCTGGGCTCAGAGCGCTGCTTCTCCCCACCCCTTTCCTTTGCTTCAGTTTAAAGTGTCACGAGATGCCTCTGGTTCTCTCCCTTTGCTTTTAGCCCTCACCGGGGGCAGGAGGGACCAAGGCTGGGCCCAGAACACATAGTCCTAGGGTAACAGTGAAGGGGTCGTGAGGGGACAGTGACTCCCTTCCAACCCCTTCTTCATAGGGACTGTTGGCAAACAAAGAAAATCAACTGGGAAAATGAAGACCTGCTGGTAAGACAATAACCCTGGAAAGAGTGGTGGGGAGATGGAGCTGGGGGTCCTCAGAACCAAGGGTCTGTATTTTTGCAGCAGTGGTAAGATGAGAGTAGGTGAGCCTCAAGGTGAGAGACAGAAAGAGAGACGGATGAGAGAGTAAGACAAGAGGGCAAGCGTGAGAAACCGAAGACAGACACAAAAAACCGAAGACAGACAGAGGAAGGGAGAGAAAGTGACGGCCACAGAAAAAGAGAGGAAGGAAATCAAAGGTGAAAGAAACCAGAGACAAAGAAATAGGTACCAAAACAGTGAGATAGGTAGATACCGAGAAGGTGAGATCAATAAAACAACAACGACAGTGGGGTCTGGAAACATGAGTTCCTTACATCTCTCAGTAGGGTTTCAAAGTAAAAATGAAGGCTGGGTGCGGTGGCTTATGCTTGTAATCCCAGCACTTTGGGAGGCCGAGGCGGGCGAATCACGAGGTCAGGAGTTCAAGACCAGACTGACCACCATGGTGAAACCCTGTCTCCACTAAAAATAGAAAAAGTAACTGGGTGTGGTGGCACGTGCCTGTAATCCCAGTTACTCAGGAGGCTGAGGCAGGAGAATCGTTTGAACCCAGGAGGTGGAGGTTGCAAAGAGCCGAGATCGCGCCATTGCACTCCAGCCTGGGTGACAGAGCGAGACTCCGTCTCAAAAAAAAAAAAAAAAAAAAAAAGAAATGAAAAAAAAACTATACTGTGATTTGATCACCTTACATTAATTAGGTTTACTAGGTTTGAAAATATGGAAGTGTTTTCCATCTGCGGGGACTCCTGTTTCAGTCATTTTTCTTCTCTCTTCTTCAGGAAAATTCCAGTTTTCTTCTTTGTGTGCAGTTTCCTGGAACCCTGGGCATCTGCAGCTGTCAAGCGTCGCCCCAGTAAGGGCCATAGTTTCTAGACTTTCAAAGATCACTTATTCCCAGAAATGATCAGGCAGGGCTGTGGCTGACTGAAGACTGAGTGAGGCATTCATAGTCCTTCACACCCTCACTCTTCAATCCAGCTTTGGGGCACAGGGATACATTAGGTTCTGGTTTTCCATGGTCAATGCTGGGTATGGAAAGTAAGTCCTGTCAGTAATCACAGTTGGTAGGAAGGCCAATCTGTGAGCTGCAGTGCCTAGTGCAGTGCCTAGTACAGATGGTGATTGGTAAATGTTGGGTGAATACATGGATGAATGAATAAATAGACTGATGGATGGATGGACCTCAACAATTTGGGGTGAGGAGAGTATAAAGAGCATGTTTGATGTACCATTATGGTTAGGCCCATGCTTTTTTATATTTATATTTTTATTTTTTTGAGATGAAGTCTCACTCTGTCACCTAGGCTGGAATGCAATGACACAATCTCGGCTCACTGCAACCTCCGCCTCCCAGGTTCAAGTGATTCTTCTGCCTCAGCCTCCGAAGTAGCTGGGACTACAGGCATGTGCCAGCATGCCTGGCTAATTTTTTATATTTTTAGTAGAGACGGGCTTTCACCATGTTGGTCAGGCTGGTCTTGAACACCTGACCTCAGGTGATCTACCTGCCTCAGCCTCCCAAAGTGCTGGGATTACAGGCGTGAGCCACAGCGCCGGGCCTATGCTTTGTAACTGAATAATACTTTTTTTGAAGTCTAGAGAGTCTCTGTTGTCAGATGAATCTTAGCAAGGCACTGAGGTTGGATATTTCCAAGAAGCCTTCTGTGGTGGTGAAAAATCTCTCTTCCCTTTGACCTTCCATTTGTGTAAGGAGAACACAATTCCATTCTATGATTTCTTATCAAATTGAGGATTTAATCCTTCTCATGATTATTTTCTTCTTCTTTTTACTCTTCCCAGTTCTAAGATGTTAGGATTAATCTAGTCGGGACTTTTATTTGATCTCTTAGAACGAATTTATGAAATCAAATCCATCCTCTATATTTTATTTAGGATTAGTGAATCTCAAGACTTCCCCAGGCCCCTATATCTGACAAAGATTCCTAAGAACTCTACTCTCCAGAAGCCCCACTGAACTGGACCAAGGTTGGCTCTGGAATCTCACTGGAATCCTAAAATTTGTGGTGTTTAAGGAACATTTTCTAGCCCAAACCACCAGGAATTTTCCAAACAGATTTCTGACCCTGTGCCATTCAGGACACCATTCAGCTTTGGTTTCAAAAGGAACAAATGCCTAACCTCTTCAAAACGAACATTTTCCCAGCCAGATTATTAGAGCAACTTTGTGCCTTGCATCCACCCCTTCCAGGATGAGTTGCAGGTGGACAGATTATAATCGTAGAGGCATGGAGGTAAAGCCAAACACTTTACCTCTAAGCAAGCTGGTATAATATTGAATTTTAAATATTTATTATTATTGATACATCCTGAAATCTTTTTTTTGTGGTCAATTGCTATTTTCTGGTTCTAAATTTTATTATTATTATTATTATTTTATTTTATTTTATTATTATTATACTTTAAGTTAGAGTGGATGAAGTAGAATGACATGCTATCTCTTTTGCAGGATTCCCTGTCAATTCCAATTCTAATGGTGGAAATGAACTCTGTCCAAAGATCAGGATTGGCCAAGATGACTTACCAGGTGAGTAGCAATGTACCCTATTGAAAATGCATGCTTTCTATAAACCTGATTTTTTTTTTTATTTGGGAAAGTTGTGGAAAGAAATAAAACCAATCTCATTTTAGACTTTTCATTTTGTATTCCCATTCTATAGGGTTTGATCTGATCTCTCAGTTCCAGGTAGATAAAGCAGCATCTAGAAGAGCTATCCAGAGAGTAGTGGGATCAGCTACATTGCAGGTGGCTTACAAGTTGGGAAATAATGTAGACTTCAGGATTCCAACTAGGTAATCTATCAAAAATATTTTAATCTAATTATCTGACTCAAATGCATTAAAAATGGATAGCTATCCAATGTTAGAGTTTTCTTATGATCAATGTTTCTTGGATTATAATTGTATTTAAAGATGAAGAAATTTATTTACCTGCCTATCTTCAGTACCTTAATACTGCATTTCATGTTTTCAGTATGTAATTTACTTTCCATTCCAGGAAAAAGCATCACTGAGACTATTATACATTGATTCAGGACATGTTCTTATTACCTTGCTTTCTGTTTTTCTATAATTTGTCTGGTTTTGACTGAAAGGACCCTCTGTGAAAAGTGCCAGAGGGTAAGCATAAATTTAACTAGGAGCCACAGAGTGGTTAGAAGACTCACAATGGTGCTGTTCAAGTGTCCTGGTGCTGAAATGGAGCCACACGTCCACTGCTTGGCTTCTGGCAGACATCAAACCAAAGCAAAACTAAAATAATTATAATAGAAACAATGATAGTAATACTAACGACATCAAATCCTCCACTTCACTGATTTCTTTCTCTGGAACTAAGCCTTTTGCTCTTTATTTAAAACTGAGGTACTTTAGTGTGTAAGTGTTGAGTCCTGTCATCATTATGAATGAATCTCAGCAATTTAGTTTTGATATCACCTAAATACCTTATTTATGATTATGATAATTATTATATGCTTTAGCACACTATAAAAAAACTAGAATTAAAATTCCTTTAGTAGATAAATGAGACAATTAGGACTTCAATAGAAATTAAGTTATAAAGATAAATAATGATTAATTAGAACAATAAGATAATATAGAAACTCAATGTATATAAAAATAAAAATTTTGAACAAATTAGAAGAATCTGATATAATAGTACCAGATTACAGCTAGAAATTCATATTTTGAACCTACTATATATTATTGTATAATACAACAATAGTACATTATATGAGCTCTTTCTATAAATTTACTAATTAACATTAATTTCATTCTCATCACAACCCTGTGATATAGGGTCATTATTAACCTTTTTTTTCTTAAATCAGGGATCCCCAAAAGTTTAATTTACTTGCATAAGGTGAGTGGGTTGGAATGTGCTGGAAGGACTGAATCCCAGGCAGAATGGTTGCAAAGGTTTTACTTCTAACCACTACTCCATACTGACTCTGGAAAACCATTCACATCTGGAAAGATTAAAACCATGATAACAGTGAATTCACTTTTTTTTCCTCATAATTTCTTTTCATGTATGGAAGTGCCAGTCGTGTTGCTAAATAAGCTTTAAAAATTCAGTTTTTTCTTTCTTAAATAATTAAGCAAAACATGAGGTCCTCAGTGCTGACCTGATTTTCTCTTCTAAGGTTTGAGGTACTGTCATTAACTCTTAAGTTCAGAGATTGATTAATTTGATGCCACGTGGCTTCCTTACCTCCTGCTCATCTTCGTTGTTGTCTAGAGCTGTCACTAAATAATGTACCCAGGCTATATTTAATGTCTCACATTTGCTACCCTTGACTCCCTGCCCCCATAAGGACTAAAAAATCTTGTTTTACTGTCAAGGCTTGTTAAAAGATAAGGAAAGAAGGAGGAAGAAATTAGGAAAAGAAAGTAGGAGAATAAAAAGAGAAGGAGGAAAGTTAGAGACTCAGACATGTGGAATTCCAAGTAAACAGTAAAGTTTATTCTTGGGAAAGTACTTAGACTATCTTTACTTCAGTTCCCTCAGTTTAAAATTAGGAATAGTAACTCTGTCATGAGGTTGCTATGTAGAGTAGGTGTTCATAACTGGAGAGTGCTTCAAGAGCCCAGTCCACACTGGTATTGGGTAAGTGTTTATTATTAGTGGTGAAGAGCACTAGAAGGAGAAAATGCATGTATATGAAAGTCTTTTCTCCTTAGAGGATCCTTTCTTTATAATCTGCCTCCCAAGTCCTGCCAATTCAAAAGCTGGTTGACAAGGAGACTAGGGATGGGAATTGCTCTCGGCCATACGAGGTGTAGACAATGTTCCTATAAAGGGACTTTCTGTGCTACAGAACATAGGCTCTGAGACAGTGAAAGAAACTATTAGCAGGATCTTTGTGGGAGGAAAATATTACGGTATATGGAACTAATGTGACAGAGTCACAGTTTATCCTTATTTATCTTTTCTATTTTTTTTTTGAAAGACTTAAGAGACACATACTTTTTTTTTGCTGTTTTTTATTCCTTATTTTAAGCATAATCGTTTTACACTCTCAACTCCCACTAACAAACGTGTTATGTTTATTTTCCTTAAAAACACGGTCTTTTTTGGGTTAAGGTCACAAACAAATGTTTCAAGGTCCAAAGACTATTTAATCTTTCATTCAAACCCTTATGATTCTTCACTTAAGGTACTCTTTGAAGGCTGTAATATAATAAAATAAATCATTTATAGATACAGCTCCTTTTAAATTATGTATGCTGTCAAGTTTACTTATTGATGTGCATAGCATATTTGCAAGAACCGAATTTCGGGTATTCCAAGAAAAGACAATGGAGCTGACTGTTCTATAAATTAGACTTGTGAGACTTTTAAGTGGTCTTAGGTATATACAACTACATATATATTTTATTAGTATGAATACCAAAATAAATTTTCTCTTCTTACCATATTGACTACTATACTAGCCTAGTTTAAAGGATCAAAGATCAATAACATGATAATCTAAATTATTTCTACATATATTCACACACATATATTATCTTCATATATACGGAGAGAAAGAGACAGCTACCATTAGTTTAACGATGTATCTGTAATTGAGGTATTCATTTAGCAATCTCAAACCTACCCTCCATCATTTTAAATTAATTATTTTCTTTTTTAGTTTTTGGCATTACATACACCAAGTCAGAGATAAATTAAGACATTATGTTCTTTCCTACCTTTAACATAATCTCTTCATTGAGTGGGAAAGATTGAATGAAACACAAATTGGGAGAACTCCCTCAGTTAACTTCAGGTTGTATTTTCACAAGAGTCACCTAAACACATTACTGTGACTTCCAGAACTGAAACAAAATAGACTTTTTAAAGGAAACTGATTAAATTCTACAGTTTTGCTCAGTATATCTATAGTTGAAGCCTGGAAAAATAATGCTTAAGGAAGAGAAGAAGCAGCATTAGATTTTTATCTTCCTTTTAAAAAATCTCATGCTTCAACAATAACTATCTTGGACAAAAATAAAATAAATTATTTAAGCATCTGGTTAAATCCAAATCATTAATTAAAAATAAAAATCAAAATAATCTATTTATAATTTAAATGGACACTTGCCCAATTTCACAATTGAGTAAAACTTTGAAAATGTATCTCCCAGCTCCAAATTTATTGAGGTAAGTTAGGTAAGATGTACAAACTTCCATAAGGTTTTATAATTATACAATAGGCAGTGCATTTTATTGTGAATAGTGAATCTTAGCTTCTCTTCTAGAGGTTATTCCAGAATAGATATAATTCTGAAAAATATAAAGTCAAAGAAAATATGACAAACTGATTGATAAACAGGAAGTATATTAAAAACAAATATCTGGAGTCATGTAGTAGACAGTTTCATATGGGGAAAATAGGTCAGTCAATGGTTCTTGTATAATTTTTTTCTGTAGCTCCATATTGAATATTTTAAAATGTACACTTGAGGGATATAAAACATAGGTAGTGAACTGAAAACTTTGCAGTAAGATTAATACATGTCACCAGTGAAAAAAAGATGTATGGATAAAATAATTCATCCCATACCCTAAATACAAACCAGTCATATTACAAAGTAATGGTTAAAAAAAATACTTCTATGATGAAAGAGTATTCAGATGAAAAGTTAACCTTTTTGTTATCTTTAGAAAACTAACAAAGTGATAAAATTTGTTGAGATAGTTGACTTATTTTATTGAGGGCTTGTAAAAATATTTGTATAAAAGAAGTTAAAGATTTGTTTATGTTGTTATAAGACATAATAAAGTTTTATAATTAAAATCAAAGTAAAGATAGAAGATCTTAGCAAATTAAAGAGGGCTACATAACAAGAATTTGACTTGAAGGAAGGTTATTTGGGATTCTGGGTCCTGGTCCATAACTGTTCTCAGAAATATAAAATTTTTATTGTTTAGCACAGAAAATTCATTAGCATTTAGTTTGCCTAGCATTTCTTCCTTGCTTAGGAATTTTTCTACGCTTAGAAGGAGAAATGTAAAAAGACATAATGTTCAAGTCCTTGAAAGATGATGCTTACATTTAACATGCTGATTTTTAAAGTTCAGTCTTCAGCTTTTAGCAGCTTGGCTTCAGCAAAAGAATATCCAGGTAGCTGGTGCAGCTCCAGACCACAGTCTCTGTATAGGGTAGAGATGCCTCAGGGACACTACTGGTTTTATTCTGCCATTTAAAGCAGTAAAGGAGTTAGCAATGATACAGACTTAGTTGGCAGATTAAGGAACAACTGGGCCGGATGCAGTAGCTCACACCTGTAATCCCAGCACTATGGGAGACTGAGGCAGGAGGATCACCTGAGGTCAGGAGTTCGAGACCAGCCTGACTGACATGGCGAAACACCATCTCTACTAAAAATACAAAAAATTAGCCAGGCATAATGGTGGGCGCCTGTAATCCCACCTACTTGGAAGGCTGAGGCAGGAGAATCACTTGAACCCAGGAGGTGGAGGTTGCAGTGAGCTGAGATGGCGCCATTGCACTCCAGCCTGGGCAACAAAGTGAGACTCCATAAAAAAAAAAAAAAAAAAAAAAAAAAGAAGCAACAACAGAGTTGCAGTAGAGAAGTAAGAATTGGTCACTTTTCCCTTGCCACATATCCAGTGTCAAACTGCTACTTTAACATCATAATTTGAACTCCCTAAAAAAAGACAAACATCCTCAGTGTGAAGAAGCTCCTGAAGTCCTCAGTTACTGGTTCTCAAAATACTTATATGGGTCTGGGATATAATTGTGGAGTGGAATACCCAAGCAATTATGGAAATAACAAATAATCTTAACATGCTACTTTAAAATAAAACAATTAGAAGCTGCTAGCTGCTTTAATTAAATTGTTTCATAAGCTAGTACAGCTGATTTACATTCCTAATGATCTCCTCTCTCACTTGTGAATGAAATATTGCCAAGAACTTTGCAAGAATGTATTTTTTGGCTGAGATGAAATTGCTGAACAGTAGCTCTTTGGGTAGTATAAATAGTAATATTGTTGGGATTATGTGGCATTGGGAACCTTCCTTAGCCATGAGGGAGGGTGTTTTTAAAATGTGTAATTTAAGACGGACCATGAATGTACAGGAATGATTGAACTTCTGTAAAGGTCTTTATGAACAGTCATGAAAGAACAAACGGTACATAGGTTTTTACACTGTAGCTTTTCTATAGGTCTGGCATCTAAAATGGCCTCAAAAGGGAATGTGGTAAATACATATGGGTACAGGAAACAAGATGCATGTTTACTATTTAAAAATTTTACTCAGGAATTTATATCCCAGTGGACTGCCTGAAGAATACTCCTTCTTGACGACGTTTCGAATGACTGGAAGCACTCTCAAAAAGAACTGGAACATTTGGCAGATTCAGGATTCCTCTGGGAAGGAGCAAGTTGGCATAAAGATTAATGGCCAAACACAATCTGTTGTATTTTCATACAAGGGACTGGATGGAAGTCTCCAAACAGCAGCCTTTTCGAATTTGTCCTCCTTGTTTGATTCCCAGTGGCATAAGATCATGATTGGCGTGGAGAGGAGTAGTGCTACTCTTTTTGTTGACTGCAACAGGATTGAATCTTTACCTATAAAGCCAAGAGGCCCAATTGACATTGATGGCTTTGCTGTGCTGGGAAAACTTGCAGATAATCCTCAAGTTTCTGTTCCAGTAAGTATAAAACCACACACTATGGCAGATTAAAGCAAAACTAGATTGGTAAAAATGAACATCTCAAGCATCTTTGATAATCAGCTGAGTGCAGCATGTCCCAGATGGAATTTGGAATCAGAGGAAGTTAAGTAGATAGCTTCTGGTCTTGAGGAGCTTAAAGTTGGAAAGTGTTACATGCCCACCTAGTGCACCCAGAGTCTTTCTGAGGCAACTTAGAAAGAAAGCCATACTGATGTGGCACATATTGTGTACACATAACTAATAAAAATATTCAAAGTAAGGTTGAGGTAGGTGACAGATTCAGTTAGTCAAGAATCCCATGCTTCTTGGAAGCAATGCACTTTGAAATGAAAGGATTTGGATTGGCAAAAAGAGAGGAGAAAGTACATTATAGCTGAGGGAAACACCATTAAGGGAAAAAGTTAATAAGTAGATCACATTCAAAGGCCTAGGGACTCGCTGATTTGGATGATATATGTATATGAAAATGTGTGTGTGTGTGTGTGTGTGTGTGTGTGTGTGTGTGTGTGTGAAAGAGAGAGAGAGAGGAGGGTGAGACATACTATCTTCAGAGTGGTGAGAGATGAGGTTAGAAAGCCATATGATGTCTGGTCAACAAGAATGAAAGTTATATAGATGCATAATATTGATTTATTTAGAAGTAGGTCTTGCACGACGTATTGTAGAAGTGAAGGATTTTAGAGCTCTGTTCATGATTTTACTGCAGAGATCCCCAGATATAAAGGTAAGGAATTACATGTTGACACAATAATTGTGCCAACTAGTACAAGATAGTTCTATCATTTTGAATTGTTATACTTTGAGCAATGCTTTAAAAGGATGTTTTATAATATTATGATAGGAATTTAGAAAATATGTCTTAGAGGACAAGTGTTCTTTTGAAGGAAACAAAGGAATTTAGAGCTCAACAAATAAATCTTGAGGCCAACCTCTCTTTCTCTCTCTCTTTCTCTCATACTAGCACGGAGCTGTTAAATTCTAGTCACAAAACCCATATCACGGAGTGTAGCAGGGTGATACAATGATTTCAAATTGTTTCTGTGCATGTCTCCAAAGAAGAAAAGGTTATCAGGGATTTCAGTAATGGAATTGTTCAAATAACTTGTTTTCAAGGGAAGAATTGTGATTAGTGTGAAGGGTAGTGTGAAATTTCTATATTCTGTGATGGACGGGAAGCAATTTGTAACTGCCGTGTTACTGCTCTGGCTTGTAGACTCTTGAAAAAGTATTTCTTCATTTAATGAGTTATCACACCTCAAGTGGCTGAGTTAGAAAGCCGATTGGACTACTGTTATGCCATCTTGAAATTCTGTGCAGCAAGATCTTTGCAATGACACTGGAAAGGTTCTCAGACAACACTGAACTTCTGCAAATAGCTGTTCATTTCTGGGCCACGGGTGAAGGGGAAGATACTTTAGGTTACTTCCTCACTGTTACAAACATCAGTCAAGTATTTTAAACATTTATTTATTTATTCATTGGATTAAAAATACTTGTCTTTATAACACTAAATTCTGTGAGCTAAGATGCTATTAAATTGTCTTATTGCCAGAGCAGTAAGCTAAAGTCTCACTATTACTTCATTATACTATAGCCTTGCCAATAATGTCAGAGCTGATTGTAGATTTTTCTGCCAACTCTATTCTCACATCACAGTGGAGACCGGTTAGTACCAATTACTTTCTATTTTATTCTACCACATGCAGGAGTGTAACCAGAAACCTGGCAGCTGGTTTTACATTCTGATTCTGGTCCACCAAGGAGCTTTTCTAAATCAGTATACCATAGCCAATGTGAAAAATATTTGAAATCATCATGTACAAGTGTCTTCCTTCAGACTGAATTCTGACTCCCTTATCAGGAAACACAAAAAAGACTTGAGCCTAACAGCCCATTAACATTCCTCATTGGCTGATGATGGTGGAGGTGTGACAGTGACAATGATAGCTAAACTAGATCAAGGTTATAGGCCAAAACAATCCTATCCACATTTAACAACTGGAAGTGACAATGTGAAATTCAAACTTCTCACCAAAATGTATTTCTCAAACTTCATTTTAAGAATTAGAACACTATGTAAGGAAAGCCAACTTACACTTTTTTAAAACATCATCTTAATATGCTTAATATACCAATTCAAAGTTTTTGAAATGCTTTTATTCCCATTAACTTATTTGATTCTTGCAACAACCTTGTAAGATGGAAAGTAGAGATAGCATTATCTCCATTTCTCAGCTGAGGAAGTGAACTCATACAGATCTATTAACTTGTAAGAAATAGTGTTAGGCACAACATTTCTAATCTACCTTATCTTCTGCTATGCCAACTAGCTTTCCTTTGGGAAAAAGAAAAATATATGCAACCACATATTTTTCCTTATAAAGAATCTCATTATTCTTACTTCGAAAGGCATTTGTGATTTTCCTTCAGAATTTACTTTGCAGGAAAAACCAAATAAATTTTTAAAAAGTGAGAAGTTTGTACAGTATAAAACATGTCTTCAGACATTAATCCAACTTGCTTATTTACCTAGTAAACTTTCATTGAGTATGTAAATATTGGGCATACAAAGAGAAATAAATCACAGACTTTTTCTTCAGTCTGTTGAGAACAAGGAGTTGAGACAAGTAAACAATCATCACAATATAGCATGATAAGGACCATGATAGTGGCCAGTGCTGCATGCTAAGAAGCACATAGAAAAAAATCTCCTCACTCAGATAAGAGCAGGGAGGCATGAGAGTGGGGGCCAGGGATGTTTCCTAAGGGATTTGATGTCTGAAAGGAGTCCTGGGGATGAAAACATCATCTAGGAGAAGACAAGGTACAATGTTTCAGACAGATGGACTCTCATTTGGAAATTCCCAGATGGGTCAGTTCTTCCCTTTTCAAGCTTTGTTAGTGTTCCCATTTTGTTCCTCATTTTTGAAAACTGAAGGTAGTCAAACACTCATAGAAACCCATAGACAAAGCCTGTGTGTCCATGAGTTGTCCTTAGTCCCTTGTTTTAATTTTATGGCCTATTTTCTTAGAATTCTCACCAGTTTGGTTGAAATCTGAAGTTGCTGACAATTGCTGAAGATGAACAATGACTACCTGTCCCTTAGAAGACTTAGAGAGTGATGGGTAGTGATATGGACATATTCTGAGAGGCAGAAGAACTATACTGATAGATCACCCTTCTCTCAATTTGGAGATGGCAAATATTCAATATTACTATGTTAGAAATTTTAAATGAAAATGAAATAGCATAAAAATACCATAAAAACAATAAGAAAAAGTGTGGTTTTACATTTTCCTTCATGCAATTGCATTCATTCTAATCTTTGACACTCTACATTAATTGAATACTTTTTTCAGAGTCGAATCTTGCTTTTCTTTAGTAAATAAATCAAAAGCAAAATATCCCTTCTAAAGGGATTATCAGATGTCAAAAAGTAACCCTAGGAACTTCATAATAAGAAATGCAATTGGAAACCACATTTGATAGATCACTGATGCTAAGAGTCACTTATATGGTACTTGTTTGCTATTTTCCCCCTGCCTATCCTATCTTTCATCCCCTTTCCTTTTCTAAGTTGAAAAAGGAAGCCAATTTCAAAGGGTTTTCATAGGCTTGTGATATAGCTGTTCACATGGTCTACCACTCAAACATCTTCTCATCATTCATGGTTACTTAGTGGGCTCAGAGCATTTTATATTTTTTCCCAATGCACTGCTGTAATATGTTGTTAGTTTGATTTTAAAGCAATAAATCCCATATATTTTATTCTCCTTTGTGCCAATATTTTAGGATGGTGCCATTTATCCCACTGCAAAGCTTGGTTTCCTGGCAGCATACCATAAAAACATGTTATTTTATGACAGATTCTTTATTGTTTGTTGTCAGCATGATAGCCTAGGAGAATTATTTTGTACAGCTCTATTAGAAAACAAAGTTGGCCTTTCTCCCTTTTCAGAGATATATGCTGGGAGTTTGGGCTTGTTTGAGGGGTGATTAAAGTTTATGTGGCTTAACAAACATATGATTCAAACCATCCTTCTTTTTACCTGAGCATATTCCAAAGAAGCCAACATGGAACGTGATTAATCGGACAGACTTACTGGTTTAAAAAGTATATTATCAAATGCGTGGCTCTGTGTTTATTTTCACTAGATTCAGAGAAAATGTGAGAGCTGGTAAAACCGTTGTTGGAAAAGCTATATGTACTTTTCTCCATCCACAGAATTGAATCACGCTAACTTCCAAATGTAAAAACAATATAAGTTTCATGAATTATAACATGGGAAAAATAAATTATGAGGCTGTGATTAATATTATTTCTGATATTTGAGAATTACTATTGGAAAGTTGTGTTTCTGGTGATTTAGGAAATGCATACTATCTATTATGCATAAAACTATTAAGTCTGCTTATTAAGTTGTTTTTGACAAGTACATCTTTTACAAATACTCTTTCAGTTGGAAGTAAAAATTAAATTAAAAAGAAAAATGGGAATATTTTCTATACATATCGTTAGGAAATATTTTTATAAAATTTTGATTTGATTAAAACAGTTTTGAGTGCTGTCAGAACAATTTTATTTTATATTTTGGAGATGAAACTCAGCCTGCTGCGTTGTAGACCACATTAACAACCTCAGCTGGATTTTCCACTAGGTGGCAATGAAATGAGGAAACACAGAACTAGAGCTGGTGACACAGCAGAAGCCATGATTGGAAGTAGGGGCTGTGGATAGCTAGAATAAAAACTGAATAATGATCAAACTTTCTTTTAATAGAAAACTAAAAACACTGAATTTTTTTATTGGCCTCAGCTGTGCCCATAGTGTTGCAATAAAAAAAATCAGTGTGCTATTAGATTTTTATTTCTATAAAAATATACATGGGCTAAGACCATAAAGAAATCTTTGTTCATGTTAATCTCTGCTTGGTTAGTTTCTTTGGTTCCAGTGTGGTGTCAGTAGAATCATGGGCTTTCAGAGCTGGAGGAAACTTTGCATCTAATCCAAACCTCTCAGTTTATCATGAAGAAACTGGAACCCACACAGGGGAAGGGAATTGCCACAAATAATGATCAAACCAGAAAGGCAAATACTATCAGTTCTTTCTTCACTATATTTCTTATCCATCTCTATATACTCATTCATTAATATTCAGTAACTATTAAACATCTGCTAAGTTACAGGCCTTATTTTAGGTGGTGGTGAAAGCAGAAAAAATTAATGCTCCAATGTCGCTTACATTCTGTGTAAAGAAGACAGATACTGTAAATACATAAGTATATGTGGAGGATGCCAGGTGGTCATAAATGCTATGGGGAAAAATGAAGCAGGATATTGGAGTGCCTTGAGTGAGGGCCTCATGGAGAAGAAAATATTTTGGCAGAAACCTGAAGAAGTTGAGAGAATTAGCATCTGGATATCTGGGGGAGGAGGATTCCAGGAAAAGAGAACAGTGAGTGGAAAAGGGTCTGGTGTAGGTGTGTGATGTCTGAGAACTCCCTGGCAGCCAGTGTGGCTGGAATGAGACTAAGAAAGGAAGTATTGAGGTTGGAGAGGTAACATGATGGAGATGTGGTTGAGAAATTGTGTTAGTACTTTGGCTTTCACACTGTGTGAGATGGGTGGCTACCAGGTGGTTTTGAACAGATAAGCAACATGTTCTCATCTTTCAAAAGGATCTCCTTGGCTGCTATTTTGATAATATATTGTAGGAGAAGGGAGAGAAGGACATAAGAGTGTAGGAGCAAGGGCTACTTAAGAGCTACTGCAATAATTCAGGCAGAGACAGCCTTGGTTTAGACCAGGGTGGTAGTGGTGGAGGTGATGCAAAGTGATCCAAACCTAATATATTTTGAGGTAAGGAAAACAGGATTTGGAGTATGAGAGAAAAAGAGGAATCAAAGATGACACCATTACTTTAGGCGCGAGTAATTGGAAGTATAGACGTGCCATTTACTGACATGAGAAACGCTGTGGGAAGAGCAGGTGTCAGGGAGAGTATCAGGAGTTAGTTTGGGTTTTGGAGTTAGTTTGATCGTTACTAGACATCTAGATGAAGTTGGTAAATAGGCAGATATATGCTTTCGGAGTTCAACAGATAGGTCCATCTGGGAATAGAACTCTGGGAATTGTCAACATACATATGGTATTTAAAGTCAGGAAATCACCAAGAGACAAGTGTAATATAGAAGTCCAAGAACTGAGTCCTGAAATATCTCTAAATGAAAACACTTAGAGATTGCTGAGATGAGGAACATTTGTCAAAAGAGATTAAGAAGGAGGGATCTGTAATATAGGAGAGGACCAGGAGATTGTGGTGCCCTGAAAGTCAAGGGAAAATAGTATTTCAAAAAGGATAGAATAAGAAACTGACTCATATGCTGTAGATAAGTCAAGTAGTTGACCATTGGATTTAGAAATCAAAGAGAGTGATCTTGAGAAAAGACCCATTGGAGTGTTGGGAGTGAAAGCCCAACTGGAATGGGTTCAAGAGAAAATGAGGAGAAGAATTGGAGACAGTAGTTGTAGACATCTTTTTTGAATTTTGTGTAAAGAGGAACAGAGGATGGCAGCTGAAGTGGTATGTAAAATGTGGGGAGGATTTTTCTTTTTATCTGACAGATAACTTAGGATGCCTCATCATAGTTCAGAGTGTAACACTTCTTGTTGCTTTACTGCGGTAGCCTCCTTCTGCCTCAAAGGATTAGGCATTTATGACCAAATGAATTTCCTCAAAATGCCCTCTAAATCAAGGAAGCTTTCCCCATCCTTATCTTTTGCAAAAAAAGTCTTTCAATGACAATTTAATAATAATATACCAAATAATATTTAAATTCCTTAGCCCTGAAGTCAAGGTGAAAAAAAAATCGGATGTCTACTCTGCCCCAGCAAATTTGGTCTCTTCTCTATATACCACTTCCTACCCTTGGGACTTGTTGTTGTAACCCCTCTATGTAAACCCTAATCTTTACCCTCCGTGTCTCTGCTTATAATAACAGAAGTGGGGCTTCAGGGCCCCACCCATATATGTGCATGCACATATATGCGCGTGTTATATGATCCCTTCATTGATGACCTGAGCCAGAAAAATATTTCTGTCATCTCCACTGCTATAGTATTTATCATCAAATCATTTTCTGCTTAGATACTGCCTTATATGGTAGACATTTTTGTGTCTTTCATGGTGTCTATCCCAAAGCACATGAATGTGTTATATGAAAATACGTTGAATAAATAAATGAGCATGTCTCCGGTCTACTAACTCCAAGTTTACTGCTTTCTCCTTTCACCATTCTGCTGTAGCCTTTGGTACAGTATTGCGTTAAATATGAGTGCTGCCTACATCCCTAGCACTATGTCTGGAACAGCCGGGTTTAGTCTACATAGAATTAGGAAATTTTCTAATTTTGAGGCAGCTCAGAGCCTCCTGCTCAGTAATCAGGAAGCTTCACTTGGAGGAGGTCTTTCATGATGGTATAAACTAACATTTGGTCATAAACTGAAAGGAAAGATGAGATCTGAGGATTCAAGTATTCTTTTAAATCTTTGTTGTCACTGAAGACAAAAGCTTAATGAAACATCTGTCCTATTAAAGAGCTAGTTTTTTGGTGTTTTATAGTTGTAAAATTTAATCATAATTCAGTTTGCAGAAATCAAACCTTGTGCCAATCTCATTAACACTGAGCCAAGTTTCATAGCCATTAACATTCTCTCTCAGGAGGAAAAGATAGTTGTCTGCAGTTAGTTTTTGTTTAGTTCTTATGAAGGACTTAAATACCTTATTAATCTTTCTTAACAACCTGGCAAAATAAGTAGAAATCGTTAACCTTGGTAAAAGAATAGAGAGTTGGGGCCAAAATTCCTTGCTTAAATGTATTGTCAGCTGGGCATTACTGTAACCTTGAGGATTGAATTATACCTTTACATTGTCCTATAGAAAATAATTGAATAGGCCAGATTCGGTGGCTCACACCTTATAATCCCAGAACTTTGGGAGGCCGAGGCAGGCGGATCAAGATGTCAAGAGATCGAGACCATCCTGGCCAACATGGTGAAATCCCGTCTCTACTAAATATACAAAAATTAGCTGGGTGTGGTGGTGGGCGCCTGTTGTCCCAGCTACTCGGGAGGCTGAGGCAGGAGAATCGCCTGAACCCAGGAGGTGGAGGCTGCAGTGAGCCAAGATTGTGCTACTGCACTCCAGCCTGGCAACAGAGCGAGACTTCATCTAAAAAAAATAAAAAAGAAAGAAAGAAAGAAAAGAAAATAATTGAATAATCCTAAATCTGGGCAGATGTGAGGAACCTTACATTCACACACTACTCATTTCTCCTTGAGACAATGGAGAAATATTTTATGTTGAGAAGGATGGCTTTTGCTAGGGCATTTTATATTCTGTTTAGTAGATTTAAAACAAACTTATTTATTTATTTACTTGTATTTTTCTTGTCTTGCAAATTATAAACCCAGTGTGGAGAGGGGAATATCTTTGGTTTCACCAGAATGTTTCCTTAGTGTTTGGCTTCTATTGGGACATCACAAATGTTGACTAAAGGACTAAATTAGTTGTAAACATCACTGTACTCACACCAGCCAAAAGGACTAAATTATTTTTCACATATACTTTGTCAGTGAGTATTCAAAGAGAAGAATGATTCCAGGTATGAAAATGAGAAATGTGTGAAAATCAGCATTTTACATGTATAACGCAAGTGACTTTTACCAAGGCACTCTGCCAATCTTCCTTCAAAATAATCAGCATGCAAATTGGAATTCATATTTCATGCCAAAAAACGGTTGTTGTATAGATGATTATTAGCGTGTAGGTGATGTTTATGTGGATGCGCAGATGTGTTCAGAAACTCTTGATCTATGTGGCACTCTGAACAACCCAGCCTGTATTCACAGATGAATTACATTTCATTCCCCCATTATCCTGTGCCACAATTGCAGCTTGCATATTTAAACAGGTGTACCAGTTTATCCAGAGAGAATTACATATTTGAGAAAACAGTTTAATGAATTACCTCACATTTGCAATAAGTAACTTTAATGAACTATTGAAACAAAAGATATAGGTTTTCTGGTTAGCCAAAACTTCCTTTTGTTAAACTTTCCCTTCCTCTGTGGGTAGGAAGGAAAGACTTCATTCTTCATTGTCTCTCCAATTTTGATCTTCTGTCCAGTGATCTCAACTGTGGATGATTCCAAAACAGTGAAAAAAATTATGTAATTTCCCATTCTAGGTTTAGGAGCTCTAGAATCCATTTGGCAGGTGGGATGACATGGAAATCTCTATTGCATGAAAGAAAAGAAGTAATGCTTAGATCTAGGACCTGGATGCTTACCCAGACATTTGCATAACATCAATGACAAAGAAATATGGATCCAATTTGAAATGCCTAGCAGAAAGCTCCTTAATTAAGAGATACCAGCATGGTTTGTGGCTATAGGCTTCCTATGGGATATGACATTTTAATTTTTTTTGCCTTGTCACCTGAGGATCTTTTCAGATTCAGACCTGGCAACATTTTCCTTGCTCTGTTTGTTTCCTGCTACCCTCTTTTTTATCCTGTAACACCTGCTAACAATGTAAGAAGTTGTCAGAACACATTTGGATTTCAAGTGTCTAGAAAGTTACATCTTTTCAACCAATGAATAAGATTATAAAAAATTAAATATTTTATATCTTTTTCTCCTGAGTCTTATATTTCCTTCTCACTGCCTTCATCTTCAGTCCTTACATTTCCATTTTAAGCTGTGACCACTCCACGGAGAATATCTTCTCCAGTGTGCAAATTTTTTCCAAGACTAGATTTTCTTTCTTCTACTTGTCCTTCTGATTGCCACTTTTTTTTTCTGTCTCTAATCTCCCATCTAAAATCTTACAGCATATATTCCCTGTAGAGTTCAATAGCCCTGGGTTTCAACCCAGACTCTGACACTTATTGGTTTGTGACTTGGACCGTTTCTGTTCTCTCTGAACCTCATTTTAGTAGGATCTACATCTTGAGATTGTCATCAGAACAGAAATAGAAAGTCAGTGCTGGTGGTCTGTTTCCAGGCTAGGGGTATGCTGAAATAATTCAAAGCTAAAGACATCTATACCTAATAATCAGAGAAACTTGTGAAAGCTTCCAACCCATTTCCATTAGAAAACTTGTATTCAAGGAAAAGCAAGAGTCCTGGTCCAGTGTGCTCAACCAGTTCAAGTTGATTTCCAATTATTTAACAATTAGACGCAACTCATCTCTCTCTTGAATGACCAGCTTCAGTCGTCCAAAAAACCTTACCTGACTGTCTACTACCTTTCTCCAGTTTGAACTTCAATGGATGCTGATCCATTGTGACCCCCTGCGGCCCAGGAGAGAAACTTGCCATGAGCTGCCAGCCAGAATAACGGTGAGTCCCCTGACTACCTGCAAAGGCCACTTCTACCCAGCTCAACCCTCTCCACCTCACCACTTTCCCATCTTGCCACCTCCCCAGCACCCCTCCTCCCCACTCTCTTTCGCTAAGAGAGCCTGTGCTTTGCTGTACTGACTAGAGAAATATTAGGGAAGTACACTTCATACTTTCGACCTGGCGGGTAGAAACCACCTGCAGCCTGGCAGGTAGAAACCACCTGCGGGTGTGTGGTTGTCCCTTTGGTAGCTTATGGACCCTCCTCCCTTACTCTCAAACATGTCCAAGAACACTTGAGTTCTACTGGCCAGCACTGGCACAGGCCACCCGGGAAGTCTCCGAGGACAGCCAGAAGCTGCACTGGGGTGGATGGGATGGAGGCAGAGCTGCGTGCTCAGTCCTCGCCTGTGCGGCGGCAGGGAAGGGGTTAAGGGCGACTGTTGTCATTCTATCCGTCCTCCCCTGCCCCCTAGCTCTCCTCCAATCCCAGGACCCTCTCCGGGGCCATTCATAAACAGGGGGAACGCGCGCCTCCCGGGCCTGGACGCTTTGGCAACCGCTACTCCCGGGGGTGCTTTTTCTGCAGGGACGAAGTGCCACCTATGCTAGTGGCGGGTCTGGAAGCCTAGAGGGGAACCAGGCTGCAGAGCCGGGCCAAGGGATTAGCGGCGGGCGGCGGGCATGGCCTGGACTGCGCGGGACCGCGGGGCCCTGGGGCTGCTGCTGTTGGGGCTCTGCTTGTGCGCGGCTCAAGTAAGTTGCGATCGAGTTTGAGGGGTGCTTTTCTCACTTTCTCCCCATCTTTTCTTCTCCAGCCCAGCCAGACCACCGACGAGGTAAGTTGGGGGCAGGGAGTGTTTGCATTTTTCAAGCGCACACGAGGACAGGTCGGGGCGCAGCGGTCGAGGGAGCTGTGAGAAAGGCGCGGAGCATCCCCAGGGCTCTCAGACCCGCGCTTCCTCCAGCCTCGAGCACCTGCCGCGAGTCCTATCGAAGTCCAGAGCCGTAGATGACCCCTTGGTCTAGGAAGGGGGGCTCCTCCCCAATCTGGGTCCTCCCTACTGCAGGCTCTGGCGCTGAAGGTAATAGGTGACTGGAGACCGAGGTTTAATTCTTAGCCTGTTATTGCTTCTTACTTCCCGCACCTCACCCCCTCCCCCGCCCCACCTCCTGGTCACTGTCAACAGCAGGCCTTGCTGGAAAAGGCGGGAATCCAGGCACGCTCCCTCTCCCGCTCCTCCAGCCCGCCGTAGCTGCACTAACCCCGAGTCCAGCTAGCGGTGCTGGCGGCTCCGGGACGGAACTTGGCGGCCCTGGCTTCCATCAGCATTTCAGCAGTTTCCCAAAGGCTCCAGCGCCTCCCGCCTCCTGCGCGAGGGAGGACCCGGCGGGGGCGCATAAGCCCAGCTGAGGTTTGAGGTTTCACTTACAAAGACCCCATTGTAACCTGTTTGGTCGTTGGAGTTTAGAAAAACAAAGTTTTCCTTGATGAAAGAGTCTCTTCTTTTTCTTTTTTTAATTCAGAAGGGTAAAAACAGCCCCACATTCCCTAAGCAACACGTTTATACTATTTCAGACGCCAGCATTCCCTCTAGCACCATCAAAACGCAGCTGTTTGCAAGCGATAAAAGGGGTCACGCCCCAGGGTCAGTCTGAAATTTGGTGTAATTTTGAAGTGAGATGCAAAGACCTAATTCAAGGGACTGAGGGAGTGTCACTGCAGGTAAAACTGAAATGAGGCCAGGCACTGGTCTCAAGGCTGCCCTGCCCTACTCCTCCCAAATCTTTTCCTCAAGTGTACGCCCCGCCTCCCCATTCTACTGGACAAAGATCCTGGTGTGGAGTCTCTGTTCTTGGCTGTTCCATTCTGGCCAAAACACTGACCTGCAATGACTGATAAATCGAGGTATCGAATGAGCCCCATTTTCATTTTTGTATCCTTTTGAGGATACAAAGGCGTTAGACCCTTCCTTTTCCACAACTCCTCCTGGGTTTAATGCACTCTGCAGAGGTGAGAACCAGTGAAGCCTCCCCCAACCTTGGGGGCGTCAATCCTGCTCTAGCCCCACAGTTTAGCTCATTAGAATATGGCGGAGACCAAAGCTGCGCTTGCTTGGAGGTCTGAGACATTTTTGCGTTGGGTTGCAAAACCCGGCCTCCTCTGGAAGGTAACTTTTACCCCACGGAGGCGGGGGCTTCAGGGCACCGCGCTCAGTTGCTCCCTGTTGCCCGATGTGCTCCACTAACCTATGTCTGCTATTTTTGCCAGAGAGGTCCCCCGGGTGAGCAGGGTCCTCCCGGGCCTCCGGGCCCCCCTGGAGTTCCAGGCATCGATGGCATCGACGTAAGTTTCTATCTCCAGGCCACCTCTGTTCCCCAGTCCTGCCCTTTCCTATTCTTTTCCCAGGGCTCCTGTGGGGTTTTTTTTTTTTTCAGAGAGGACCAGGGTCTCCCCTTCCTGCCACCCCACTTAAAGGCAGGATCAGACATGGGCGAGAGTTGGGGGTAGGATCCTAGGAACCCGGGGATTTTTGGAGGGAGAGGTGTCTCTGTTGTCCTTGTTGGTCATGAACCTCCACGTTTGACCCTTACACCATCCCCATCTGTGAAGTGAGCTCTCCTGGGATTGTCCCAGTGGGGTCCTCAGCCTATCCCGCTCATAGACTGCTCTCTCTTTTTCTCCTACCCCTCCAGGGTGACCGAGGTCCTAAGGGCCCCCCGGGCCCCCCGGTAAGTTGATTGGAGCATATGGCGCTCCACTTCCTTCCTTTAGACGTGTTTTGCAGCCCCCTGTTTCTGAAGGGTCTCAACTTTGCACCTTTTTCTCTCCTGCCCCCGCACCCTTCTGCCCCTGCTCAGGGTCCTGCAGGTGAACCGGGAAAGCCAGGAGCTCCAGGCAAGCCTGGCACACCTGGCGCTGATGTGAGTAGGCGAGTGCTGGGAGGGCGCCCAGCCTGGGGTGTGTGGTGGGTACGAGTAAGTGTGTGTTTTGTGGGGGGGGAGGGAGAGAGAGAAAGAGAGAGAGAGAACGCGCTGTGGCTCTAAACTTGGCCTCCTGCCAGCGCCTGATTGATCGTGGAACTGGCAGCTTTTGCAAAAGGACTTGTGAAGGTGAGGATACCTCTCTCTAGGAGGCGTTGGCATTTCCTCCTCCTAGAAAACAGCAGCGGGTACTGGCTTCCTGTCTCTAACCGTGACCTCACAGTGCACGCTGTGAACTCTCAGCCCCACTGGGGCCAGAGGGGGTACGGATGGCAATAGATTGTACTGGCTTCGGCTTACCTGCTGTGAGCCCACTGGCAGGCTCCTGGAAGCTAGCCTTCGCCCTTGCTCTTTCACCGGCACTCCCTGCATTAATTTAGAAAAAGATCCTGCAGGTAGGCAAAGGGCCAGAGCACTCCTAAATCCCAAGGAATGTGAAAAAGAAAGATGCACTTGAAGTGAGTGGGGATGTGCGGGGAATTTAGAAATTCAAAACTAGATTTTCGTCTTTCCATGGAGTTTTTCTGGCTGGCATTACTGGCAGAAATGAGCTGGCTAGGACTGTATGAAGATTGAGAACCAGCAGGCTTTCTCCAGTTTACCCACATCTCCATCAAATGCTGACTTATATGGTAAACCTAACACTAAATAATACTTCTTCAGAGTAAAATGACTTCAGGATTCTCAGCTTCTCCTCTTTCCATGCATTCTAACAATATGTAATAATGACCCACTACAGACCAGTCCTTGATTTTGTCCCTGGAATATGAAGTGAAGTAAGAAATGGCGTCTGTTCTTAGCATACCATGGTGCATCACTCAAGTTACTCTTCAAGTTACCACTTTATGTGTTTTCCAAAAACTAAAGACTTTTCTAAATGAAAGAAAGCACTCGAAA
The DNA here is from genome assembly GCF_000001405.40 of Homo sapiens. NCBI lineage: Eukaryota > Metazoa > Chordata > Mammalia > Primates > Hominidae > Homo > Homo sapiens. The sequence continues at coordinate 70,279,854 of NC_000006.12, read as the reverse complement.
ACCTATAATTATGATTTCCAAGAATTTTTGACTACAGTTTAAGACATATCCTTCATTTTGAAAGAAAAATAAATAACTGGATTTTTACTGTTATTAAGGTGTGCTTTCTTTGTCGGGATTCCCATAATGAATGTGTTTGTTTATACTGTGTCTATACTATTTAGCGTTTTTGTATGTGTATGTGTTTTTTTTTTTTTTTTTTTTTTGAGACGAAGTTTCGCTCTTGTTGCCCAGGCTGGAGTGCAATGGCACGATCTCGGCTCACTGCAACCTCTGCCTCCCGGGTTCAAGCGATTCTCCTGCCTCAGCCTCCAGCTTCCCGAGTAGCTGGGATTACAGGTGCCCTCCACCATGCCCTGCTAAGTTTTGTATTTTTAGTAGAGATGGGGTTTCACCCATAGTATTTTAGGAAATAGATCTTGGTTTACATTTCAAAGCCCCTAGTTTGAACTTTCTGTGTATGCAAATTAGCAGTACAGGAGGCACCTAAGGACTAATATTTAGATAGTAAAAACTGAATCTCAAACAAGCGTTTGTATTAATGTAATATGAACTGAAATAATATAACTTGTTGGCAATCAAACTCTTTGGAACATCTATAATTAATCGAAATTGTCATACCATAATAAAAAGAGTCTGACAAATTCAAGGCTACTGAACAAACTGGTAGCCTAATGTAGCTTGAATTTATTTCTATATTCCTTTGAAATTTCAATCAGCCTTTAGTTTTGGATGAAAAGAAAATTTCTGACTAAATTAAAAAAATTATTTTGGTAAATAAAATATTTATTTTGTATTTCAAAAATTTATTTTGGTATTTGAAGCGTAAATGGGTCATCTGAATCCTTGTCTTGCTATTAATTAAACTGCAATATAATGTCAGACAGAAAGCTGGACTTATCTGTCCCCCAATTTAATAGTGCTTTTGTAGCTTACTCAACAAATTCTTCTCTTTACCTTATACCATGGTGTCATAAAGACAATCCTTGGTTTTGCTTATAAAGTAATTTCCCCACTCTAACAGAAACTTTGGATAAACAAATGAAAGTGCTTTGAAATTTTTAGAAGTACAACATAGAAAGCAATTTCAAGTAAATTTTTCTTTGTCTATATTTGCAGACCCACAGTGCAGCATAAACCAGATTTCAAATATTAAAAGACATAAAAGAATAAGCTGCCTTAAATTATTGAACTTTGACCTCAAGGAAAAAATGATGAGCACATTTAGTCTGCTGAGACAGGAGAGGAAAGCAAAAGAGAAAGAGAGGAAAGGGGAGAAAAAAGGAAATCCCTGTATCTGCCAGTATTTTAGGCATTTTCTAGATCTTGGGGAAAAATCAACTATACTATTTGCATTTACACAGAACTTTTTCCTCAAGCACTGCCACAAACATTTCTTTTAACCAACAATAACCTGGAAAGTAGATTAGTCTAATATTACTTTCCATAAATAAGGAAACAATAATTATGAAGACAAGTGGTTTCCTCAGAGAGCTATTTAGTAGCTAAGATAACAAAATAGTCCAGATTTCTTGATTTTTAGACTCCCCAGGCAATTCTGCCTCATGCGAATACAAGTGACGATCTTAATAGATGAGAGAGAATAGCGAGAACAGAGAGAAAAAGTGATAGTGAATTTTTAGTACCTAAGTCACCGATCAAGAAGAATGATATGGATAATAACAGCCATTTGTAATAGATATTTTATAATTACTTATAAATATTGGTTTGTTTTATATTCCCTGACTTTTGAATTTAAGCCACATGAGGCATCTGGAACTGTAAAGTTTTCTTATTCCACTCTTTGACTGATTTGACATTAAAAAAATCTTTTATTCTAAATTGAGAATGGATATCTTTGAGAATAATGAAATGCAGTAACTGGGTCAGAATTTGCTGTTTGTTTGTCCTTGGCCATAGGGGAGCTAAGTAAGTAGGAGAGCTTCAACAGTCCTTTCTTGGTAGGTGAACCTGAGTGTGCTGGTAGGACCTTAAACCTCGAATCATTTCGTCTTCTGCTCTTTGGGTCATTACAAGGCTTATTTTTTGATAATGTTAAAAAATGGTTAATTGGATGATGGTTGAAAGAATCAGAAAGGAACCCTGTTCAGTGTTCATTATCCTATGTTGAATGGATTTTTGGCAGAAAATGTAAATGAGTCATAGCAGTCATGCTTGTAGAAGTAAGCCTTGAGTCCTACCAGCTGAGCTGTCAGAATACTGGAAGGAAATCTCCATTGAGGACTGGTTTTCTCTGCCAAACAGTAACATGAAGTTCAGAACACAGTCAGCTTCAATGTTATAATGTATAGAAGTTTGTCTGTATGAATATTCATATGAAGGCACTTTTTTCTGCTCTGGTAATGTTTTCTTCTTTTATTTCTTTGAAATAAGAATTAGGAGGTCTTACTGCAAACTGGATTTTGAAAATTATGTATGTATTATGTGTGTGGTCTGTATATTTCAACTCAAATCTGCCCTTTTTTCAGGTTAAGTTGATTTTTTTTTTTTGGCTTATGGACATGTAAAATTAGATAAGACAGAACTTGGTCCTAACCTTAGGACAACTGTGCTGTTCTCAGCAATTATATTAATAGAGATATTTTTATATGTACTATTTGTTGTGACATGCTCAGAGAGACCTTTAAAAACAGTATTTTATTCTTTCTTATAACACCCATATGAGATAAGCAGAAGAGGAATTAGAATAAAGTATAAGAATTATAGCTAAACTGTGATAATTTTTACAGGCAGAGGTTAGGTGCTATGTATTTTCTGAATGTATACAACTATTATCTGTGGCAGATGCTTTATAACTAGAATTGTGAGTTATTAAGAAATTATTCTAAAAGATCAGTGTAGGTGCAAATATTCAGGCATTGAAGAAATGTGATGAGGATAAGAAATACAGTGCTGTGGTTAATACCTAGATTTGGTTTGTTTGTTTGTAGGACCTTTTCTCAATGAGGAACAGCGTCTAGAACACTGTGCAGTTAGGGACCTTGCCCATGATTCCACAGCTGCTAAGTAGTAGGATCAGGATTTGAGCTGAATATAAAGATGTTGTGGAGGAACAAGTGTAATATCCTGCCACCTGGAAGGCCTCCTTAAACTTATTGTAGGCAGTAATCACATCTTGAGTGGTTAGATGCCAGGACAACATGTTAGGACTGTAATGGACATATGACTCTTGTCCTCATGGAGCTTACGGTTTTCTGCATAGTTATTTCATAACAGGTGTTACTGTAACATCTGACACCAGAATCCATTTTCAACTTAGTTCAAAGAACTTTCCAGTGATTGACATAATTTAGCATGTCTTATGGAGGATATTTTTAATATGAAGTAACCGAAAAACAGCTTCCAGGTTATCCAACTATTTACTTGGTTCTGCTTTATAGTTACTGTCCTCCAATCTTGTCAGTTATTCCAGTCACAGGTTGAAGAGTGTTAGTTGACTGTGTGTATGAAAATTGAACAGAATTGGTCTTGGAGGGTTTATGCATTAAGTGAGAATTAGAGGATCAGTTAGTTAAATATGCCCAGAGGTTTATAAAATTTACATGCCATATGTGCATCCAGAGAGTGCTCCTGGATGTATAGTTTGTTTGTGAAATGCCAAAGCAAACATTTCATTACCATAGGTGCTTAGCAACTAATCATGTTGAGGTTTGTTCCCAAATTACGGTGTTGTAATTAGACTAGGGCTATTGAAAATCAAAGGCAGTCTGTCAAAAGTTCTTTTGTGTGTGTTTAATATTTTTCTTCTTTGGTAAATTTCCAGTAATTAACATTTCAACTCATTTTTTTCTATTTGATTCACTCTGTGACATTGTTAGGAAAATTAATTAAGGTAGAGAAATGTAAAAATGGTGGCCACTGAACTAGTTTTCTATATGAATTATGTGAAGGAATTTTATGGATGTTTATTCAGACCATGACAGACTAAATATGAATTTTGGTGATCCATTTTTAAGTAGGGCTTTCATATTTTTCAAGAGATCCCTCTGTCAATATTGTTTGGGTCTTCTTCAAAATCTTGATAATAGAAAGGGTTTATAAGATACTTATATAGGCATGTATGTATATGTACACACATATATATCATATTTATCTTTAGGAAGGTATACTTTCAAGATTACATTGTAAATGACAGCATCTGAAAGTGTCAAAGAGCAAAGAAAAAAATTAAAAATAGAAATGTATCTTTACCAAATATGGAAATTCTTGTATATATGTGATATTATCATTCTTTAATACGTGTTTTATATTGAGGATGATGATAAAGTAAGTAGTAGTAGGGAAAATGAGAATGTTTAGAATATGTATTTAATAACTGCTTTAGTATTAAATATGATAATTATAAATGTGGTTTATAATAATAGGCTTAAATTTTACATACCGAGTGGCATACATGAACATATATACTTAATCACAGCTATTTTTACTAAGAAAAATAATGTAGAAACATGCATGCTTTCAAATGTTTCTACTTTAAGAATTAATATTCTTTGATAAGCAATTGTCATTGCTAGAAGATGGCTAGGGGGCTGTTAGTGGCTATAAGGCAATAATGAGATTGTTTGTGTTTAATTCTTATTGAGGAAATATTTTATTGACTTCCAAGACATTGTTGTCATGTAGAAAGAGATTATTGTCCTGTAGAGAGATACATAGTATTTTTGTTTCATAAATGAAGTAAAGGAGGTAAATAAACCTGAGTAAATGGCAGAACCAAGACCCACCAGTCTTAGCTATTACAACATTGTAATTGCTATGTTGCATTTTTTTCCAAAGCAGAGACAAAAAACACTGAATTATTGAACCCTGTGATAAACAATGCAGTTAGCAGGAAGTTAGGAGTATGATACAACTTATCAAGAAGAAATAATCACAACAGGCAGATCTTCTGTTAATCTTTACTTTTGAGTAAGACTATAGTAAGGTATTTCTTTATAAATATTTGCATCATACTTATGTAACCATCCTGTAGACAATTAATAAATAAAATGAAAGTTTTCTACTTAGTGGTTTGCCTAAGGATGTTATGATAGTTCTAACATCATTGTCTTGCTCTATTAGGGATTAACAGGACCTGATGGATCCCCTGGCTCCATTGGGTCAAAGGGACAAAAAGTAAGTTAGCCATCTGGCATTAATTGCTAGTACGAAAATGCTGAAGTATAATTTTATTGCAGTGTTTGCAAGCCAACTAACATTAAGTTATGAAGTATCTAAAATGCACTCGTTCAACTAAAATTGTGTTTAAAAACACCATGATGTGGAATACTATGCAGCCATAAAAAGGAACAAGATCATGTCCTTTGCAGGGACGTGGATGGAGCTGGAAGCCATTATTTTCAGCAAACTAACGCAGGAACAGAAAACCAAATACTGCATGTTCTCACTTATAAGTGGGAGCTGAATAAAAAGAACACATGGACACATGAAGGGGAACAACACACACAGGGGCCTGTCAGAAAATAGGGGGTGGGAGGAGGGAGAGCATCAGGAAGAATAGCTAGTGGATGCCAGGCTTAATAGCTGGGTGATGGGATGATCTGTGCAGCAAACTACCATGGAACATGTTTACCTATGTAACAAACCTGCACATCCTGCACATGTACCCCTGAACTTAAAATAAAAGTTGGAAATTTAAAAAAAAAAAACACCATAATGGGGTGTTTTAATGCTTTCAATATTTATGCAGTTTTCACATTTACATATTCATGATATGAAAGGTCAGTACAATGAAACTATTTTTATTTTTAGGGAGAACCTGGTGTGCCTGGATCGCGTGGATTTCCAGTAAGTAAATGTAAAGCTACAGAATTGAAAATTTCCTATCTTTAGGTAAAATTCTGCCATTGTGAAATCTTTTTATTTATTTATTTATTTATTTATTTATTTATTATTATACTTTAAGTTTTAGGGTACATGTGCAGTTTTCTGCATAATATACATGAGAAATAAGTTGATGACATCTGGTATGGTAAGCATTTCTACTATGAGTGGAAAAATTTTAGAGAAGTTTGAATGTACAGTAGAAAATATATATTCTATTTGCAGGTGGTATTTCCCAGCAGACAATTCCCTCTTTACCTGCCATGATAGAAAACACTTCTTGCATAACAACAGCATATCTAAGTATTCAATGTTTAGACCATGGTGTCACACCACATTCTTCACAACTGGTTTTATCTCTAATGAAATATCGACTAATCAGATATTATCACTTGCCTGATTCCTTGGCTAGTCTTTTTCTGCATTTGCACAATATGGCAGGTGTGTGTTATTTGTATATATGAGGACCAGGTTCTTAGGCTGCTTTTCCTATCTATTTTGCTCTTTGTTCCACTTTTACTCTTGTCATTAATCTGTATTTTTTCTTCTTTTTTCCTATTTGTGCTATTTTCTTTGCCATATTTCAGCATGTCAACTTTTCCATTATAAGCCTATTTTCAGAAGTGAACAGCTTGCTGGCCTTTCTCCCATATTTTTCAACTCAACTCTTAATCTCAACAATTTATAGAGATGCCTTTTTGTTTAGTGAAATTTGTTGAACATCTAGGTTTCTGACAATGAAAGAACTTATTGATTACTTTGGTGTTTTCAAACACAACACTTACTTCCTGAATTGACCTATGTATTAAAGTGTTCAAACTGGAGTCCTTTTTCCAGGAATGCCTTTTAAAATCCCACTGATTATTAAAACATACTGTCCATGTGAAGTTCTTGCTTGTTTTTCCTGTCCAACTAATTAGAAATAATAATATCATTATCAGTGCATTGATTCCATGGGATGCTTGGTATATTCATATTTTAGAAAAGCCAGTCTGGAGTGAAAAGCTATCATGAATATCATATCACAGACAGCTGTGAATAAAAACCATTCTAACCAATGTAGGAGAGAAAAGAATAATGAGAAATCCCAAGGGGAAAAAATTGAACTTGGAAATTAAAGAGAGAGAATAGAGATCTAGGCAGCTGATATTCAGTTTTAATTTCAACGAGCATATTATTAGGTTTTGTTATATGCTAGGCCCCGTGCTAGGAGTTGGGGCTAGGAAGATGAATAAGATGTGGTTCAATCCTTGATTATGTAAAGTTTGGTGTTGCTAACGAGATATAAATGTAAAGAAGAAAATAGAATGACTATCTTAAAAATCAAATATAACATATTAAATTAGCGTCCCATTGTAGGTTACTTCAGGAGTGACACCATTTTATTTTCAATATCTACTGGATTCAGTGTCTGAAAATATAGCCCAACCTTTCAAAAGGGAGGTGTGTTTCTGACCCTTTTTTGTCCCTGCCTCTCTGTGCTGAATGTTTGGGGAACTTCTAAACATAATTTATTATAGATTGTAAAACTAGAATGCTTTTAATGTAGGTTTCCTATAAAATGCTACAAATGAATAAAATCTGTAAACTCTCCAGTTGTGATGCACCTCTTTGTGAGTTATGGTAAGTTCTCCTGAGGGCAAGCATGGAAGGCTTCTTTACTTTGATTTCCTTAAAAAAAAAAAGTTTGGAAAAATCCCAGTTAGCATAGACAGCAAAGGAATGTTAGAGGAGCTGAAATAAGCTTCTGCTTCCTGTAGAAGCAGAGCCGTGTTTGCTTTTCTTTATTCAGTGCTTTCTTTAGAATGAGCATCATTTTTAGTAATAGAGTTTATGGTTTATTTTAGCTGAGTTATGTCTACATTCATATTTATACTAAGTATAAACCTCAAGCTATAACCATTTTTATTGTACTCTTTTAGGGCCGTGGTATTCCTGGACCCCCTGTAAGTATCACTTCATCATTTATTTTTATGCAGTCTATAAAAATGTCCTATTTCTCAAATCCCCACCTTATTCTCCTACTAACGGTCTACTCAGTGGTGTTTACAGTGTTCTACCTGCAAGATCTTAGGTGGCTACTAAGGATAACACCCTTATTCTGCTAAACAAAATATTTATTAATTTAGGAAATTTCTGCTGTATCTTAAGTAATTAAAGTTTGGTCAAATGAGTTATTGTGTCATTGGAAACCAAAGCTAATACAGAAATGTAAATCTAATATTTATCATATTTGATATAATGTATGATAGATTGTAAAAATATTCATAAATGACCATTTGCTTTGATTTGTTGACTTCAGGGTCCTCCTGGGACAGCAGGACTCCCTGGAGAGCTTGGCCGTGTAGGACCTGTTGTGAGTACCACAGTGCACTTTGATAGACGTTTGCTGATTTAATAGAAGATGTTATTTGGGAAAGCAAATTACCCTAACTGTACATTTCCACTTGCAAACCAAAACATGGCAGATGAATTTCATTCCAGTTTATAATATTGATGTGAACCAGGAATAATAATAATTTTTGCAGAGTGATTTTAATTTTTTCCTAAATTTTTCAGCTAAACTTTTCTTCCCAACTTCCAGATTGTCAAGTAAGAGAGTGTCGTCCTCATTTTACAGACTCTCAGCCAGGACTGGAGTCTAGTGGCTTTTGTATTAGGCTCCCTGCATGAAATAAAAGTGAATAGCCTAAAATTATTACCATGTGTATTTATGTTAGGATCATTAAATTATAATTCAGCCAACAAAATTTAACTTTTAACATTAAAGAGCTGGGCTTCATAAAAAATGTCTCATATAAAATGCTTCATATTGATATTAAGTAAACATTTCAAAAACGTTGACATAGTGATGTTATGTGAAGGCGCGTAATTGTAAACTCACTGTGGGAAGGAGCCATGTATCATATACCTTGTTTGTTCCTCTACATGTGCTTACTGTTTGCAAATTTATTTAGTGAACAAGTGAATGAATATGAAATGATTGTAAAGTTAAAATAATTGGGAGGTGCTTCCGACTCTTTATGGCAGAACATCAAGAAGGAAAATGTGCCAAGAGTAAACATTGGATGTTAAGAGTAATTGGAACCCATTTTCATCTGAACGGTTTACTTCGATGTAGCTTTCTTTGATTTTCTGACTCATTGCAAGAGGTGCAGTGACAGACCAAGTGATAGATTGTGGGTGAACAGCACTTGCAAGAGTCAGGCACTGCAGAGATTAACCTTCCATTCCACAGTTTCAGACTGAGTGCAAACCTTCTTTTGCACTGGTTAGCAGAATGGCACTAGCAGTATAGGTTGCTCTAGGTCCTCTGTAAATCAACCAGAAAAATAAGTAGTGTTTCCAATTTGCTTTCAGAGTAGATAAAATGTTTGTCTGATAGAGAAGAATTGGCTTTGCTTTTTCCCCTAGCTTCTCTCTGACTTGTTTTATTACCTCGGTGAGACTGGAATGCCTTTATTACTCTCATTTTGTAGAACTAATTGGATTACGGGCCACCCATCGATTTTGGTGGCAGGTCTATGCATGGCTGAGCTCGGTGGGGGTTTCCAGTAATACCATTCTCTTATGCCTCACTGGTTTTATGTACTGTGTTTTGACACATGTATAACCACTGTGTCGCAATTTTCAAATAACTTAGGGTGACCCTGGGAGAAGAGGACCACCTGGCCCCCCTGGCCCCCCAGGACCCAGAGTAAGTTATTTGCAGCTTGAATTTCTGTTTGTGTCTGAGAGTCAGGGTTGAAAAAAATCTAAGAATCCAAAATGGAAGTTCCTATTAATTGAGTCATTGTCCCAAATTTCCAAAACGGCTATCAATTTTTCCATGCACTCAAGGGCATGGTTCTGTTTAGGGCAAGAAGTAGAAGAATCACAATAATTTAAAAGGTGGTTTTTATAGGGTATATCTTACTCATTACTTTTGAAGTCTTTTGACAGTTGTGATGTCTCAAATGCTCAAAACTTAGATATATAAATGAAGCATTTTCAAATGAACTAGTTTTTACAAAGGTTTTCATAGTAAGAAAAATTTAAAGAATATGAGTTTAAATGGAAGGTAATTCATATTTTTATTTGTAATTCAGAGTTCCCCACATTTTCTATTTTGCCTCTTATTTCGTTTCCCTTCAATGTCTTCCCAAAATAATCTACTGCAATTCATGGCTCTCCAAAGAGAACATGCCCATGAGTCAGGATTTTAGAATATTAGCATATTATCTGGTTTCTTATATTTTATTAAACAAATATATTTTATACTTTTGCCTGATGAGCTTTCTAGTATTAGTATGTTTGAATTCATTATTTAATTGTATTCTGAACCTTAATATTTTGTTTACTTTAGGGAACAATTGGCTTTCATGATGGAGATCCATTGGTAAGATGCTTTCCTTTGAACAAAATATAGTTTTAATTCAAAGACCATATAGCCTGCAGATGAGTTTTCTTTAAAAGATTTCCCTGGAATATTCTATGTGTCTGTGTTTTCCTTTCACTCAAATGGCAGAGCAGTCTGTAACGCTAGTGGACTAGTGGCTTGCATCTACTCAGACTAATAATTTTTCATTATAGATGTATCTTTGTTCTTTTATGATCTTTTTACTTTATGACTAAGACATGCTTTTCACTAGAGCATCCAGGTTTTAAAGAGATAGAGTTCAAATAACTTCCTCTAGGATTTGTTTTACTCACAGATTAACAGTCCAATGATGGTGGTAATGTACACTAAATGCAATGTTGGCCCATTTGATTGGAGACACGAACCTCAGGATGGGGCTAGTCTAGTGGAATGGGAAGGGGAAATGAATCCTGTCATGGTACAATAGGTTATCTGTAAACATATTTTCCTTAATAAATTAGATTTGAAATAAATTTTGCAAAATATTAACATTTATTAAATCTGGATGGTACATTCATGGGGGAGGGTATTATATTCTCTACACTTTTCTGTTAGCTAGAAATATTTCTGGCTTTAAATGTGAAATAATAATAATAAAAAGGAAAGGGGTGTTTAGAATTATTCAATGAATATTATTGCAATGGAGTTCTGTAACTGGAATCCCTTAAAAAAGATACTGTCACAAAGCGGGAGTCCTAGTTTATGCACTCTGTCTGTCTTTCTTTCTCTTTGTTCCCTCTCTCCCTGGCAGTGTCCCAATGCCTGTCCACCAGGTCGCTCAGGATATCCAGGCCTACCAGGCATGAGGGTAAGAGAATAACTTCCAGTATTTTAAGAGTATTATCCACAGATAAAATGGAGCCTTTACTTTAAGCATTAGCCTTCCTGGTGCAGAGACCCCACTTGGATGATCAGGCAAGTAGTGCTTATTCAGTCCTAGCAATTCCAGTTGCCCTTGACATGTATTCCTGTATTCCTACCAAGACATGGAGGTTTAATCATAGGATGGCTTTCTAGTTCAGGGAAGAAATACCAATAAAATACATTGGATTGAGAGACTTTAGAACACCAAAGTAAGATTCAGAAGTTTGCTTCCTGGCTGAGTGTAGTGGTTCATGCCTGTAATCCTAGAACTTTGGGAGGCCAAGGTGGGAGGATTGCTTAAACCCAGGAGTTTGAGACCAACCTGGACAACAGAGGGAGACCCCTGTCTCTACAAGAAATAAAAAATTAGCTAGGCATGGTGGCATGCACTTGTAGTCCTGGCTACTCGGGAGGCTGAGGTGGGAGGATCACTTGAGCTCGAGAAGTCAAGGTTGCAATGAGCTATGATTGTGCCACTGCAGTCCAGCCTGGGTGGTGGAGGGAGACCTTGTCTCAAAAAAAAAAAGTGCTTCCTATTAAGGAAGATAGTGAGTGGTGGGGGCAGTTGGAGGGGGTTGTGTACATAATGTATTTGAAAACTTTCAGTTAAAAAAATTTTGAAAAACTGTGCAAAATAGTCAGGAAAAGAGACTTTCCCAAAGTATTTTTCTCTGTCTGCCACCGTAATTACTTGAAAGTTTTCCATACAAACAAAAAATAAATACCAAATTCTGGGGATAAATAGCTTTCTCTCTCTCTAGTCTCTCAGTCTAAAGTGATTTTGGGACATTCCAGACCAATGGAGCTCTGCTGTGATCTGAAAGGCCCGAAGGCACTGATTTTCCATTAGAGTTTTTCTAAGGGTAGTTTTGGTGGGTTCCCTCAACTGCAGAAGATTCAGCCTGGACTGGTGTCCTATTTTTCAAAAAGATTTCTTTGAGGGGTGAAAGTTCCGACAGTTTTCATTTTGGAACGCTTGTCTCACAGTTTTGTCTCCTGTTACAAAGCACACACGTGCTTAGGACAAGTGGCCTGACAAGAAAAGATAGGGATATTTTCATCCAATGCAGCTTTCACCCACTGCCCTTTATTGCTTTCCCTTTGCACTTAAAAACTGTACACAGTAGGCCGGGCGCGGTGGCTCACGCCTGTAATCCCAGCACTTTGGGAGGCCGAGGTGGGTGGATCACCTGACGTTGGGAGTTCGAGACCAGCCTGACTAACATGGAGAAACGCTGTCTCTACTAAAAATACAAAATTAGCCGGGCATAGTGGCACACGCCTGTAATCCCAGCTACTCGGGAAGCTGAGAGAAGAGAATTGCTTGAACCCAGGAGGTGGAGGTTGCGGTGAGCAGAGGTCGCGCCATTGCACTCCAGCCTGAGCAACAAGAGCGAAGCTCCATCTCAAAAAAAAAAAACAAAAAAACCAAACAAACAACAACAAAAAATGTACAGAGAAAGAGGCAGAAAGTTGTGCATCCGAGAAAGTCCACTTACACCAGGCCTTCCTCCACCATCAGGAAGGAGGTGGGAATGGAGGAGGCCGAAGGGTTTTCAGAGCAGCCTTCAGAGGGCAGGGGATAGCCAGCTGAGCTTGGTCAAGGCTGTCACTTCTGAAAGGTTAAGTTACCGGAACTAGAGAAGACTTAATGCTCCTAACCCGTGTGAGGAAGTTGGAGAAATAGGGAATAGGGATCTAGGAAATAGCAGGCAAGTATCAATGAATCACATTGCTGAACTAGGTAATGAAGTGTATTATTCTAGAGCAGTGTTTTTCTATTAAGTAAAACTGATATTAATTATATATGGCAGTCATGGTGCTGTTAAGGTCATTTAAGGCATTAATTTTCTTTGTGACATAACTCATTTCTTAGTAATACATTGGCACTGATTTAGGGAAGCAGGATCACTTTATGAGCCTTCTGATCACTTTCTGTACCAAACTCAAGACAATTACTTATTTTGCATTTGTTAGGGTCATAAAGGGGCTAAAGGAGAAATTGGTGAACCAGGAAGACAAGGACACAAGGTAAGGAAAATGGGTATTTAGTGGATAAATTGTGATTAGGAGTTATTGGTCACTTTCATTATAAGAAATTAGGAATTATAGGAAATAATGAACCTCGATATTTTACCATTCTTTTTTAAATAATGATTGATAAGTTCTAAGCAGATGCATCAATATTTGACTAAATATCATATTCTGAAGTTGTTCATTTACAATAAAACACTTACAAATAAGGCACCAGACATTTTCATTTTTTTCTGTCACTACCTTTTCTTTTCTTTTCAAATCAATCACACTCAGCTTTTTTCCTTGATGCTATGATAGTCCAACATTATTCAGACGGTTGTTCCACTTCACCAGACAAAATTTTATGACATTTGTAAAATTTTATGACAAGTGTTGCTGAGACTAGCAAACAGAGAAGTTGGTAATTGGCTTATAGCTTCTCATCTCAAGTTCTGAAACAATTTATCTATTTATTTCTGACCTCATTTCAATATAACCTAGATTCTGAGTAAGCTGGAGGTTAGTAATAACTTACGTTATTATCTGCATAGAAATAGAATCCACAGCACAATTTGCATTGCAGCTGGCATGCCCTGCAGAAAAACTAAGGCTGGGATTTAAAGCAAGGTAACATATTTGCCCTCTTTTCATCCACTAGTGTAAGAGTATCTAAGAATTTGACTTCCTGCATAGTAGGTTTTCTCTTGGTAAATTTGATAATATTTTACAAAGTTAAGTTGTTCTTATTAATGCAGGTCCTCTTGACTTTGTTGACTATGTCCTTCTACCCCTTTATTGGGTAGTGATAGAAGGTTAGTCTATTCTTTGGAAGTCAAGAACTCAAGAGGCAATTTATCAGTGTCTTCAGGCATTAATACCCTTGAACTTCTTAGCTAAAAATCAGTTTGTTAAATAGCCTCAAGCAATCAGGATAAATAGACCAATTTTCTGTAACCTATTACAGTTTGGACATTTATTTTAAAAGTCTCTTATTACATAGGCTGTGATAGTTAAGGCATTTTATTTATCTGAAATATAACAGCTGGGTTCCTAATGTCAAATTGGAGAAAATAGGAAAAAAACCCAAGTGCTTTGGAAATTTCTCTGTATGATCATTCTTCCATTGAATCTTAAAAATTGTCATTAAAAGTTTTGACAAATATAAAGTACCTGCTATGTGCTAGGGTTATTCTGAGCACTGGGGGCACAGAAGCCAAAAAAAAAAAAAAAAGTACAAGCACAGGGGACTAAATTAAATATGTCATAGCCATATAATAATAGAGTAGTAGTTAACTACAAAAAACAAGTGTGTACGAATATTAAATTACATCAAAAGATATTCATGAGGTATTCTATGCAGTAAAGCAGATGTAGTAGACTTCTGTTATTTTTGATGTTTGTATCCCTTTCTCCTTCTTTTGATGATGCTTTCCTTTGGGGAATTTTCACTCCCCCATCCCACAGGATTTGGAGATGGAGCTGTTAATCCAGATGCCTCTCCACTTTTCCCATGAAAGTAGTCTTTTTAATATTTAAACAAGTTAATTATCTAGATTCTCAAATTTGGTTTGATGTTCAGTGGAAAACCTACAATTTTTTTTGGCATGTCAAGTAATTGGCCAAAATTTACTTTGAAGGTTGTTGAAAATTTCTTTGATTTATTTTACATTTTAGTGTCACTTAAAAGTGTAAGTGATGTCTTTGAAAATCGATAGGATGGCCATAGCTCATTGCAGAATGAACCTTGAAAGGCTGAGCAGATAGACTGAACTGAAACTGAAAACAGAATGGTAAGAGCTTGGAGGCCTGAGGTTTGGATTCAAATTCACAAATTTGCCTTGAATTTTACCCAAATTAGTTAATGAAGATCTTTAAAACTGTTTATGAATATAGGAATTAATAGTAAAATTTCAATAATCAAAATGTTGTGGTATTTGTAACATCATACAGCAGGTCAATACTTATGCAAAAATCATAGTGAAATGATAATAAATTGCTACTCCTAAACTTCATAATTATGGATTAGTTGTTTGGTTTTCACCTGTAGGTGAAACAATTCAAATATATTACTCCAAAGTTTATGGAGAATCTATGGAAAATACCCTGTACCTTGTTATGGAAAAATTTCAGTGGACATATCAATCACTGCTGTTTTGTATCTAGTTTTATATTTTTGTAGGGAAATAGAAGTAGAATTTAATTAGGCACACATGATGATTATCTGTGCCAAGAACTAGCTAATTCTCTGGCTTTCCTATTGGGACTGCCTCTTCCCACTGTCAGTCATAGATTCTAGTGAAATATAATCTGAATATAATTATGAGGCTAAAACCAATATGTATGACTCTCATAATTTGTTTAAAAAATCAAGATAAATGATTCAATATTGTCAAGGTTTTAACTCTTGCCATATTAATTTATTAATTTAATGCAGTCCTAGTACAAAGCAAGTAGACTCTGTGAAGATTTGTCCAATGATTCTAAAGTTTATTTGGAAGAGTAAACATTTAGGAAATCTAAAAAATAAGAGTAACTATAAATGAAAAATAAAGATAAGGGAATTCTCCTTACCTGAGATTAAAATGTATTATAGAATTTCAGTAATTAACATGTTGTGGCATTGGCAACATCATATAGTAGATCGGTAGAGCAGAATCAAAGTTTAGAGCCAGTAACAATTTAGTATATGTTAAGGATGAATTTTGAAAACTGTGTGGAGAGAATCTATTATTGGAAGAGTGGCCCGTTACTAAGAAAAAAGAAAAAAGATGTATACGTTTTGCTTTACATCCAAACAAATTACGGGTAATTACAGATTTCTATGTAAGAAGAAATAGAGCAAAAATATAAATAAATGTATATTTTTAGAGTGGAAAAGGCTTTTCTATGAGTGACATCAGGAGGTATAACCCATGAAAGAAATGGCTGATTTACATTAAAATATTGTATATGGTGCAAAAATTATAATAAGAAAAGCTAAAATAAAAATCACGATGAAAAATATTGTAGCTTACAAAAAAGTTTTCATAGTATAATTACATTTTTCTAATAATAAATCCCCCCCATTTGACACACACTTGGAACATAAATGAGTAACTTTACTCTCTCTATCTCTCTTTATTTTTCTTGATATCTTTGTCTCTCTTCCTCTTTCCCCCACTTTAGAAAAACTTTGAAAGAATAACATCTAAATGTTACTGGTATTTTATAGTTAAATGGTGGTATTTTGGTGACTTTTTATATGTAGGCTTCTCTGTATTTTCTGAATGTTCTACAATTAATTTGGACTACCCATATAAATAATTTAAGAAAGTAGAATAATTCAGGAGTCACCAAGTTAACTTAAAACATAATGAGTTAGACCAAGCCTATTTCTATGTTCGTTTGCTAGAATAACATTTGGTGTGCTTTTCTTTTTTCTTTTTTTTCTTTAGGGTGAAGAAGGTGACCAGGGAGAACTCGGAGAAGTTGGAGCTCAAGGACCTCCAGTAAAGTATTTTTTAAAAAATATTTAACTAGGATATGTAAATATTCTTTTTTTTCATGACTGTTGGAATATTTTCTATTTAGCAGTTGGATGAATAGCATTACATGAACTTGGTGTCCTCTATTTTCCACCACGCCAGCACTGGGGGATAACTACTTCTTCAAAATAGGAGAGGGTCTTCATTATATATTCTAGCACTTTTTTAACAGAAAAATTCTACCTATAATTTACATACATTCATTTACCAGATTTCAGGGCCAGGCAATTGAAAAGCAAATACTAAGCACAAAAGGATGATACTCATCTTTTATGTTCTATCGTATTATCACATGATATAATGAGAAAATTTTGTGTGTTCTAAATATGCAGTAGGTATATCATTTATTGGATTAATGTAGCTTATTCCAGTATGCAATCATTATAATTAATTAAAACATTCTTAATTGCTCATATCATGTCTTTTAATAAAAAATTGGTCCCTCGTGCTTTAGCAGATTTCTGCAATAATATTCACAGTAAGGTGATTTGGGGCATCATCAAACTTCAATTTCAAATGTTGTTAAATCAGAATTTGCCTTATTTTGTATTACATTAAAATGGAGTTGTTACACTTTTTTTCCTGTTAAAATGAGTAATGACAATTTTGGAAATAATAATTGAAGAATATTAGTTAAACATTGCAGCTAGCCAGGTTATAGACTCTATAGAAGACGAGCTCAGGTACTATTCTTAGAAACTGATGAATTGAAGACAAACACAGGAACACCATTCACCTGCTCTGCTCTTCTCCACAGGACTGGCTGTTTAAAAAGGGTTCAGCGAGCTGTGCAGATTAATGTGTAAGGGAATTTAAAGTGTAAGGGAAATTAAGTTAAAGGAAGTAAGTCAGAGGATCTGGAAGAAATGGTCTCTGCTTTCAAGCCACATGAGAACTTTCAGGGAATCTGTGGTGTCTAGGGTGTTTATTTCAGAAGTTTGCCCTCCCCTGAGTGTTTGCCATATGAGACACTAGGAGCTGGACTCTTTCGCAGGTAGGAGATAAGGATACATGGTGTAAGAGACATATGCTTTTTTTTTTTGATCTGATGAAAATTTGGTAGGGATTTAAAGTTTTTTAAAAAAATTTTATAAAAGCCATTCCCAAAGATTCTCAAAACAGGGTTTTGCAAACAACATTCTAAAACAGTATTTTCAGGGATTAAGGATCTATGTTGGGTACTGCGTGGCTCAAGTGGTCCATTGGGGGATATCCGTTAGTGCTTGATTACCTCCTGCTATTTGGGAATAGGTATGCCAAATTTAAAAAGCATGTACTTTTTAAATGTACATGCACAAATATAAAGTAATGCACAACTTAAACAAATATGCTTCTTGGAATATTTAGAAAAAGCTCTGTTCTTCAAAGTAGACACCTCAAGAGAAAATATGTGGT
The DNA here is from genome assembly GCF_000001405.40 of Homo sapiens. Classification (NCBI taxonomy): domain Eukaryota; kingdom Metazoa; phylum Chordata; class Mammalia; order Primates; family Hominidae; genus Homo; species Homo sapiens. The sequence goes on along the minus strand of NC_000006.12, from coordinate 70,261,812 downwards.
ATTCTCGTGTCATTGCTATTGACCCAAATATTTCTTTTTGTAGAAATAACTTTAGAGTCAGTAAATGAGCTACACAAGAAAGAGCAGCTTTCATCTGATATGGCCACATCTCACTCGATATTCTAAATGGATATCCTAAACTGGATCATCCTGCATATTTGAATTGGAGGTCATTCCTGACTGATCTACATAGAATTTGTGACTGGTCTGAATGAAGAGTTGGTCATGGACTTGCCCCATTTTCTCTAAGTGAGAAGAAGAGGGAAATGCTGGCCTAGAGCTCCTTTATCTTAAGCCAATGGGGACAGTTAGCAGGTTGTCCAGAAGTAGCTACCCCCACTTTCCTAATGGAGCATCCACCCTCCTCTGCTTCCAAGGGTATTCCCAAGCTCACTCCTTCCAGGATCCATTTCTGGATCCCTCCTAGTATGGGGGCCAGAGAGTCCAGAATGGTAACATTTCAGTATTGAAAGAGATCCTAGAAATCACACCCCGCCCCTCATTTTTAGGATTATCCACTCTTATGACTAAGATGGGTTCCTATTGCCCCGAGTTGGAATTCAGAATGCCTTTCATCATAAGAATGGTATAATGAATAGTGACTACAAGGGATTGATGGAGGCTCCAGCTCCTTTCTAGGTTATAGGCTTTCGTGGGCTAGCCTGGGAACCTACTGCTTTTGATGGTGTCCATTGGTGAGAAAAAAATTATTTCAAGGTTTAAAATCATGTTACATGTAACCAGGTTACATGCCATGAAGGAAGTGGGAATGATAGTGTAAGTTCTACATACAAGTTAAAAGGTAAGTCAAACATATTATCACAATTTCTCTTATGCTGGTATTTACTTTTTTTGTCATAAGTGATTTTGTCAACTCCAGTTTTGTGTAAGACTTCAGAATTTTATAAAAAGGTTTACCATCAGAAGAATTCTCCTTGGACTTTCTAAACTAGAAATGTTTGTCTATATATATATAGTTACTATTTCTTGGTATTACCTTTGGTTATGATAATATCCATTGTCTAGATCAGCTTTTGTGATGAGATTTTTAAAAATCTTTGCTTCAACTAAAATAATTCACTTCTCTTTTTCACATTTCCAGGGAGCCCAGGGTTTGCGAGGCATCACCGGCATAGTTGGGGACAAAGGGGAAAAAGTAAGATGGTGATGACAATAATATAATACCAAAATGTGTTAAATATTTAAAATTTTGGCCGTTTAAACATAACTTTTTATCTTCAACAACTTTTTTTTTTTTTTTTTTGAGATGGAGTTTCACTCTTGTTGCCCAGGCTGGAGTGCAATGGCGCGATCTTGGCTCACTGCAACCTCTGCCTCCTGGGTTCAAGCGATTCTCCTGTCTCAGCATCACGAGTAGAGCAGCTGGGATTACAGGCGCCTGCCACCACGCCCGGCTAATTTTTGTATTTTTTAGTAGAGACGGGGTTTCACCATGTTGGCCAGGCAGGTCCTGAACTCCGGACCTCAGGTAATCCACCTGGCTCGGCCTCCCAAAGTACTGGGATTACAGGTGTGAGCCACCGCGCCCAGCCTAACAACATGATATTTTATGATGCTTTGTAGATGTGTGATTAGGTTTTCACAATTCTGTTGTAAGCACAGATAATAGGAATGAGCAGTATGCATGATATTTGCCATGTCTTAATTTATTTTAAATTATATTGAGTAAATCAGAGTAAACAAGGTTGTTACATTTTAACTCATTGTCATGATCAGTGGTTAGCTTTGATAACACTGGCACAGTGCCTGGAGCGCTTCTGGTCAGGCAAGGCAAAGACAGGGAGGATGGAAAAGGAGAGGTAAGCCAAGGCAGGACATCCCCAAAGACACTGGAGCCTCCAGTGACCCACCTGCAAGCTGATCCATGAGCCCTGCCCTTAGCATGGGTTATACACTTATGGCTGGAGGACACTAGCCTGCCCTTAGCCCAGTCTCAGAAACCAGATTCCCCCAGCACTTCCATACCAAGGCACTCCGCAGGCTGCTGGGGAGATTCCAAGGGGAATAAGACCTTTATCAAGTCAGTTATTTATTGGGCAAGACAAATAAGTAGTTAGTTAACTACAATGCAAGCAAAAGAGACATGAATCTGAGAGCCAGTGGTATGATGGAGTGGAGCGGAAGCAGGGCTAATCTTGATAGGGAAACTGAGAGGGCCCATGAAGGAGGTGGCATTAGAAGGATGTGGAGCCTGGAAGGATGAGGTGTTGCCGTTGGTGGAGGATGAAGGACAGGCTATGTTTAGCTGAGTGATTATCATCACAGCATCATCATGATGCGTTCAGAAGTGTTTTCCTTGGCGTGTGTGTAGGGTGTGTAGGGGTGTGTTTAGCCTCTCTATCAGATTTTAAGAAAATGGTTACCACTTCTTGGATGTTAGGAAAGTTAATTTATAGGCTCCAGAAAATACAAAAGGCATCTTTGCCCACTGTCACTTCTGACCCTGACCTCATTCTCTTTATAACTTCTATGGTTAATTGGTGTCAGTTCCCCCAGCAGCACAGAGCCTTTTATTAACAGTTAATTAACAATACGTTGTACGTTGTACATGCTCAATAAATGAAATTAAATTTTTCTTTTTAAAAAAGAGATGCACAGCTTGGTGAATGAAGGATGAAGCTTATTTATCATTTTTTTGTCAATTTAATGTTTTTTTTCCAGGCTGTTTGTCACTTCTAGGTATTTTCATTCTGCTTGCTTTCCTTATCCATCTTTTCAATCAATATTTCTTTTCTGAAAACTTTGTATTTGTTAAACATATTAGATGCATTCATATTTCTATATTTATGTCACCTTAAGTAACATTCACTGTGTGTCTTTTCTTTTATCAGACAATAGATCCCATTTATTTTCAAGTTGCTGATACCTTCATTTTTTTCTGGATTTAAATCATCCCCTAGAATATGTGACCCCTCACTTTGAAACCAATTACTGTTCTTGATATGGTCTTCATTTGAGATATTTTTCCATTTGGTATTTTTCAAAACTTCTCATTTCCTCTAAGTTCTGTCAAATTGCTTTAAAAAAGAAAGAAAAAAAAGCTCTTCTTGTGAACTCAGACCCATGGAGTGGTTACCTAGTAACAGCAGTTTGGGTCTAAGCTCATGCTGAACAGCAATAAGAGAGAGAGAGAGAGTGCATCAAAGCCACGTCTATAATGCAAAGGCTGGGTTCTGCTCTTGTAATGCAAGGTGAATGATAAATTCAAGGTCTTTTTCAGGTCTTCAAAATCTCTTCTTCTCTGGTGAGTGTAGAATGCTTTTTGCTCTGTCCTACTTTTTAGGGATCAAAGAATTTCAGGGCTCTCTGGTACCTCTGCTTCAGTTGAGTTCCTTCTTTGATTCTACCTATGTCTGAACCTTCTATCATGGATTTTCTAATTTTTAATTCTTACTACACATGCCGTCCACCTGGTTTTCTTGATTTGACACTTGATTCAAATTTGACATTTGATTTCTTGGCCTGACATCTATCCAGTACTCTTGATTGTTTTTCATTTATTTTATCATCTTCTCATCTCAACTTGGTTCATTAGAAGGCTGCCTCATTATGCCTTTTTATTCACTTAGTAGATAAGAAAAATAAAGATAGGGGTTATATTTTGTCAGATAGCATATGTAGAGAGCACTAAAAACACTTTTTAAGATCTTAATATCACATTTTGATTCTCATGATGAAAATAAAGAGGTGATAGTGTACAATATGTTAGCCACATCAGAGATTATTTCAAGATAATTAGATTTATAAAGCTCTGAGTCATTCTTATGTCATCACTTGGTAGACTGGATCTGCTCTTGAGAAAATAGGCCGGTTACTTTATATAAATTGAACCTAATATCTGTCCAGGATGGAAGAGGGTATGCTCAGGTCCTTCCAGTAATTCATTCTTCTGAATCATGTGGCTGGACTTCTTATTCCAGATCTTGATGGGAGATCCAGAGTCCCAGAAATCCCTCTCACAGTTGTGGCAGCAACAGAGTATAGCAGCTGTTCTTAGAGTGGCTCCATGGCCTTCATCGTTAATAAATTTTTTGTGTGTGTTTTTGAGACAGGGTCTCACACTGTCGCCCATGCTGGAGTGCAGTGGTGCTCTCTCCACTCAACGCAATCTCCTCCTCTCGGGCCCAAGTGATTCTCTTGCTCTAGCCTCCTGAGTAGCTGGGATTACAGGCATGTGCCAACAGACCCGGCTAATTTTTGTATTTTTGTAGAGACTGGGTTTCTCCATGTTGGCCAGGCTGTCTGGAACTCCTGGTCTCATGTGATCCCCCCACCTGGCGGTTAATTAATTTCTATAGAAATGTTAAGAACCCTGGAGAGTGGCTACCAAACTTCTTCTAATAGATTTACCAATCTATTAATAAGCACCTGTGTTTTTAGCTCATGTCAGCAACTGAGGATGGGTGCAGTGTTAACTTAAAACATACAGACTGGGCTGGGTGCAGTGGCTCACGCCTGTAATCTCAGCACTTTGGGAGGCCAAGGTGGGCAGATCATGAGGTCAAGAGATTGGGACCATCCTGGCCAACATGGTGAAATCCCATCTCTACTAAAAATACAAAAATTAGCTGGGCATGACGGCGTGCGCCTGTAGTCCCAGCTACTCAGGAGGCTGAAGCAGGAGAATTGCTTGAACCCAGGGGGCGGAGGTTGCAGTGAGCCAAGATGGCGCCACTGCACTCCAGCCTGGGCAACAAGAGCGAAACCCTGTCTACAAAAAAAAAAAAAAAAAAAAAAAAAAAATTACAGAGTGGCATCAAAGATTGTGTTTAAGTACAATTGGTATGCTGAGTAGATGTAAACAAGTTTACCTGAGGTGCCTGAGTAATTACTCCTCAGGGATCACTGTGTGTATTACAGGCACAAAACCTCCTTTTCATCTGGCTATTAAATTTCTTTAGAAAGATGGATGCTTCCTTTAACATACATGACTGATCTCAGTTTTTTTCCATTGTCTTGTTTTTTTGCAGGGTGCTCGGGGCTTAGATGGTGAACCTGGGCCTCAGGGTCTTCCTGGTGCACCTGTAAGTGATTTTCCTTCCACAAAACCCAATGATAGATTTTTTTTTTTTTGCTATGTATGCATGTGTGTGCAGTATTGTTTATGTGTGAATAATTAAAGTGGAAAAGTGGACAATTTATATATATATGTTTAAATTTAAATTTAATTAAGACAGGTATCTTTCTCGGGTACATAGAAATGTTCTTCTGACTTGACATGATTTTTTTCTTCATAGATTAAGCCAAATTATTAAGTATTTATGTTTGCGTGTTTTCCTTTTCTTTGGTTATTAGGACGCCTTGAGTCTCAGTAACTATCTTGTTTCTACTTTCTTGCCCATTTGATATTTTTTGTTTTCTATGGTTTCTGACTCCATTATTCCACATTTTGATTGCCATATGTCCATGTGTCATTATTTTAGGTTTCCTCAAGCCTGTTTTTGGGAGGGAAATAGACAAAAAAGCCATCCATTGATAATTGAATATGCCACATAAAAAGTAGAAAAGATATAAGAAAGATAGAATTTCCAACTGTCAAAGTCCTGTGTTCCAATGGGAAAGACAGAAAGTAACTCAATGATAAACTATACAAGATCAAATGCTAGAGCACAGGATAGATGTAATCCATGTAAGAGGACCTGAGGGGGAGGTTGGTTTGAAAGCCTACGGGCAGGAAAGACAGCAAAGTACAGGGGTGGCACTGTTGGTGGTGATGGGGTTATGTGTGCTGTCATAGGGGCTGTCACTGCCTGGAGTGGAAAGTTTGGTTGAAAAGATGAGATTGGAAGGATAAGGTAGAGATACATAATGGAGAATGTTTAATGCCAACCTGAGTCATTTGAACAGATCCAGTAGCAATAGGGAGCCATTTGAGGTTTTAGAGTTAAGCAACTCAACAAAAGCTATATTTTAGGAAGACACAGCCTCTTATCTATTACCACCTGTAGCGTATATCACGTATATCAACATTAGCTAGATCACTTCGACAGAAATTACTAATATTGACTGGGGGATTAAATAATATGAGGGAAAGATTGGCAACTAATCCAAACCTCAAACCTCTATAACAGTCAATGAAGTTAGCTGATATGTACATGCAGTTACTGATGTCGAAATCCACTGCATGGATCCATTATATGTTACACACAAGAACACAGAGGCATAGTGCATTTAAGGGGAAAACAAAAGACCATCAAGTGTCAGTTATCTCTATGGCAATATCCATTTTTAAGACAATTCCGTTTTTATAAAAAGACTTCTTCATCTAGGCTTCCTTGATAGAGCAAAGCCATTGTGGTGGAAGACTAATAGTTTGGTGACGTGGATGATACTTTCTAATTTTTAAAAGTTGATTAATAAGTAACTTTTTCTTGTATTAACAAAATTTTATTTTCATACAGGGTGATCAAGGACAGCGAGGACCTCCAGGAGAAGCAGGTCCCAAAGGAGATAGAGTGAGTTTAAATTCAGTCACTCCAAGCCTCCTGCTTTTCAGTGTCATCTGCTGATTATGCTGATCTCTTTGACAAGTCTAAGTATTATGTTAACTGAACATGTCTTGTCTATTCTTTCTCTTCCTCCCTGCAGGGGGCTGAAGGTGCTAGAGGAATTCCTGGTCTCCCTGGGCCCAAAGGAGACACGGTATGTCCTGAGCTGTAGTCATCAAGCACATTTTTCAGTGATCATTGACTTGCAATGAAACTTTAGAAAATAATGAAGGGAAAAAGAATGTGACTGTGTGTAAGAGACAGTATGTTTCTTTGTGTGTGTTTAGGGTTTGCCAGGTGTGGATGGCCGTGATGGGATCCCTGGAATGCCTGGAACAAAGGTAGGCTGTGTAATTTACTCCAAGAGTGAGTGGGGCTGTCTCTGCCCTGGCCAACTGAGTGTGGCATTTCCATTACTAAATCACCAAAAGATTTATTTAGCTAGCTTTGGCTTTTTCCCTTCCTTTAATTTTTGAATCAAGTGTCAAATATGAAATACTTACTAGAATAGTATAATTATTTGCTTGGTTTCAGGAACTCAGTAAAATTGCCCTGTTGATGAAAGTAAGTTGAGAGAGACTGTGCATTTTGGTTGAATTATGTCCTATTTCCCACCCTACTCCCCCACCCTAAATTAAGTCACTTTATAAAAGTGCATGTAAAGTCAGCTGTTGGGACAATCCTTTTACTTAAAACGTCTGTGCTCCTCCGTTTCTTAAAAGAAATACAGCAGCTCATACAGGTTCAATCATGTGATAAAAGCTTTTTTTGCAGGGTGAACCAGGAAAACCTGGGCCTCCTGGTGATGCAGGATTGCAGGGGTTACCAGTAAGTATTTGATTCTTTACATGTTAATTGGTTTATATACATGTTTTAAAGATATACATTTTGGGGAGAGACATGCTACCTAATCTGATAAGTTCTGGGGAAGATATGATGTTTTACTTTTACATTTTTACAATTTACATTTGTATTTTATATTTTATACTTTTTCTCTGAATAGCTATTTGTGTAATAACTGTAAATAATAGGCTTTAATTTTATGCTTTGGATTCCTTTTCTCTCTTTAGTTTACTCAGTCTTTTTTTACATATTTTTTAACTAACCCTAAGCTGTAGGCCAGTGTGATATATTTCATTCCACTTTAAACCGGTTCTAAAGCTCTTGTTAGTAGGATTAAGCAACAAGAGTGCTGAGAGTATACTCAGGTGACCCCTTAGATTATGTACTATTTTTAATCATTCAAATTGGTGTTTCCCTGCATTAATGTGTCTGGAAGTTCGTGTGGATTGTACCACGTGTATTCTTGGCTCTTTTGCAGGCAAATCTTTCTAATTAATAAAGAATACTTGGTAATATCAAAGCCTGGCCCCCAATCTTTTAAATAATCAGATAATATTAGCACTCCCAATAATATCAAACCTGAGTCAGATCCAGCATCCTCCTACCATTTCCTTTTTCTCCTATAAAGCTCAGCATTTCTGAGAGGTCTTCATTTTATTACTCTGTACATGAAACCATGTCACATCCCTGTAGCCTCTGTCCTGCCTAGTAGAGCTCCTCTTGACCTGAAAGTGGTACTGGATTCTAATTTGGGAAGTTTGTCCTTGAAAAGTAACTTTAGTTTAAAGACAAGATTTGCTTTAAGGGTACTTAGCTTTAACAAGCCAGATATAGTAAAGTCATGCCCTCTAAACTGTGGGTAATTCTATAAATGACTGTGCAGAATTTGGGAACTAGGAAGCATCTTCCTTACATTAAAGCTTTGAGGTTATCATGATTCCCTCAGCCTCCCTGCAGTGTGCAGTGGGCTTGGCATCTCATGGATTCTCAGAGGAGGTGATTAAACTAGGATTGTGTATGTATTCTTTTAGGGTGTACCTGGAATTCCTGGTGCAAAGGGTGTTGCTGGTGAAAAGGTAAAATATTTTAAAATTTAAGTTAATATCTTTCTTAATTTCTTTATTATTTACTAACGTATTTGTAATTTTTAATATTTTCAGCATGTGTTTTATTTTATATTTGGCCCTAGGGAGAAATAAAAAGGTAAATGTGTTAAGGCTTCAAATACTAATCTTTTTCCTAGCTACAGAAAGCATACTTTGACAAAATGCTGCTAATTAGATTTCCTTAATGAAAATGTCATCCTTTGCCAGTATAAAACAGAAAATTTTATTGTTCCTTACTACTAAAATAAGGAAGATATTATTAAGCCACAGAACTTATGTCAGAGACTATTATTAGGATGATTCAGCTAAACTAAAAAGATATTAGGCATTTTTTTTTTCACATACTGATCGACCAGTGCTTATATTCTACATAAAACAAAAATGTAAGCAGTTAAAAACAATAGGTGGAAAAAATGTTAAGGGATAAAATATAGCTTTGCTTGAGAAGAAAAGAGATAAAAGGTGAATAACATAGAGATTGGTGGCTATTAGAGTACCAGGCTGCAGCTCCCCAGTCACAGTGGTCTGCAGCGTCTTGAGCTGCACATGAGATTGATGGTGGAGAGGGCATCTCCAGACATGTGCTTTCCCTAGAGCTTGCTGACGGGGCTTTCTCAGCAGCATATCCTATTTCCCCATGTTGGTTGGATTCTTAATAGTTTCAATAGTTTAATGTGAGGTAGAAAGACTCAAATAATTATATTGGAGGTGGAAATGGTAAAGGAAAGACATATATTATTAATATTGTGAAGAAAGAAAAATCCTCTAATTGAAGAGGATCCCCTTAACTGAAGGCTAAAACCCCTCATTGTTTGACATTTGACCTTTAATATATTTCCCAGACTCACAGACAATATCTTGAATCTAAAGGATTTCGATGTATCTAACAAGAAAGAGATTCTGCACATTCCCAGATTCTCAGTGTGAAAGCAGGGAATTAATGCTATTCAAATGTAAGAGATCCCAGTCTGGGTAAGGCAGATTGATGATTATGCTTACTTCAGCATGAGTTATTTTGGATGTTGCATTTTACCCTTAGGGTAGCACAGGTGCTCCAGGGAAGCCTGGTCAGATGGGAAATTCAGGCAAACCGGTAAGACACCATTTTACCTCTCCTGAAGTTCTAACCTGTTGTAATCAGTAGGTGTTAACTTTTTTTCTACCTTCCTTCCTGATAACAGGGCCAACAGGGGCCTCCAGGAGAGGTGGGACCCCGAGGACCCCAGGGGCTTCCTGTGAGTATTCCTTGCTGTTCTTTCCTAAAGCACCTTCTCAGGACTTTGCTGGATGTTCTTCCATTCATTCATCCATCTATCCATGAATGCTGTCTGATGTTTGAGCCCATGCTAGTCCAAGACACACAAGGAGATGAAATGCTATTTAGATGCACAGCATGCCTTTTCAGAAAATGGAAACAAAAATAAAGTGCTTCAAAAACCATGGTGACCCTTTCTGCCCTCACCCCATGTTTAAGGAAATATTTTAGTGTGATTTAAAAAGACCCAACGTTGAGATACAATTCACATACTATATAATTCACCTATCTTTATTGATTTTTAGCATATTGATGGAATTGTGCAACCATCACCCCAATCAAGTTTAGAATATTTCCATCACCTAAAAAAAGAATCTTATACCCACCTCCCACCTGCAGTCATCCATCATTTCCTCTTAATTCCTTCAGTTTTAGACAACCACTAATCCACTTTATGTCTCTATAGATTTGCCAATTCTGGAAGTTTCATAAAAATGGAATCATACAATATGTGAGCTTTTTGTTTTTTAAAAATAAATAGTTAATTTTTTAAGAGATATGGTGTCTCTCAATCACCCAGGTTGGGGTGCAGTGGCGCAATCGTAGCTCACAGCAACCTTGAACTCCTGGGCTCATGCAGTCCTCCTGCCTAAGCCTCCCGAGTGGCTGGGACTGAAGGGGTGCATCACCACACCTGGCTAACTTTTAATTTTTTTTTGTAGAGATGGGGTCTTGCTATGTTGACCAGGCTGGTCTTGAACTCCCGGCTTCAAGAGATCCTTCTGCCTCAGCTTCCCAAAATGTTGGGATTACAGACATGAGCTACCATGCCCGACTGTATTTTATTTTTTTTCCTAATGATTGGCTTCTGTCACTTAGCATAATGTTTCAAGGTTTATCTATGCTGTAGCATGTATCAGTACTTCATTTCTTTTTATTCTTGAATATATTTAATTGTGGGGATTAATTATGTGGCTATATCACATTTTATTGATCCATGCATTGGGTGATGGACATTTGAATTGTTTCCATTTTTTGGCCGTTATGAAAAGTGCTGCTATGAACATTCGTATACAGGTTTTTGTGTGGACATGTGTTTTAATTTTTCTTGAGTGCCTACCTAGGAGTGGAATTGCTGGGTGATAGGGTAGCTCTGCTTTGGAGAAACCACCAGACTTTTCTTAGTGTGAGTTTGTAAACTTGTCTATTTTATAGCAGCCATAGCAATGACCATTTTCTCACTATACACAGTTTAACCCTAGAGAGAAATTGATTAGGAAATTAAATATTATACACTTAAATTTGACTTTAAAACATTCTCTCTGGCCTTCAGTTTCAGTTCTTATTTTCAAAGGCTGCGGAATAGCCAAAAGAACTCCAAGTGAGAACACAGAAACATTTCCAAATATCATTATTACTTTTTTTGAAGCATTTCTTGGGCTTGTTGAATGAAGATTTTTATACTTGAGAAAAGCAATGTATTCCAGGTGTCTTGTGCCATGAGAATGGAATTTCTCCACTTCTCACAGACATTTGTCAGCCGACTTCCACCAGGTGGTTTCCTGAGGTTTCTGCAGCCAAAACAACCAGCTCATAATGCCCCTCACTCACTTGCTCTGTGCTTATTTTATTCTTTTCTTTTGCTTGAAGCTTGTGAATTTCTAATTAAAATACTTTCCACAAGTTAACTGTCGAAGCAATGACATTATAGCCAGATCACATTTCTAAAACAATGAAGATGCTATATGACTAGCCCAGGAAGATTGAGCAGTGTGTGGCCATTAGAGCTTTGCGAGTGTTTACTATTACATCTCTTATTCATCTTATTTTATTTTATTTTAAACAGAGTCTCACTCTGTTGCCCAGGCTGGAGTGCAGTGGTAGGATCTTGGCTCACTGCAATCTCCACCTCCTGGGTTCAAGTGATCCTCCCACCTTAGCCTCCAGAATAGCTGGAACTACAGGTGCACACCACCATGCCCAGCTAATTGTTGTATTTTTTATAGAGACAGGGTTTTGCCATGTTGCCCAGGCTGGTTTCAATCTCCTGAGCTCAGGAGATTCACCCTTTTTGGCCTCCCAAAGTGCTGGGATTACAGGTGTGAGCCACCTCACCCGGCTGTATTAGTCACTTTAAAGAGCAGAAAGCTCTATATAGTTAAAGGAACATTGACTGAGCACTTGTTGTGGGACAGAACCATGCATGAATACAAAACATGACATGGAGTAGGGAGAGCTGCTTGGCCAGTCACCAGTTAAGTGCCGTGGGCTGCATAAAGCAATGAAGAACCAGAGGCAGCACCTCAGGAGAGGATGGGGTAGGGGGTTGATTCTCTTATGTGAGGAGAGGCAAATCATAGGAGGCTATGCTGATGCAGGGTTTTGGATCTGAGTTTTAGATTTTTGATTTTTGAATTTCTGTAAGAGTCTAAATTCTTGCCATTGCTCCTGTCCCTGAGGCTCAAAACCTCAGCATTTTCCTCCATCACATTTCCTATCACAAATAGGACCTGTTGGTTCTGTCCTCTTTTCAAGATCTCTTATATTTGACTCTTCATTTCCATTCCCACTACTATCACCCTGGCTCAGGTCATCACCTACTGCTTGGATTACTGCAATTGTCTCACCGGCTGCAGTCTTTCCTTTCTCTACCAGTGTCTCCCAAAAGGATATTGCTGCAACTTGGGCTGGGCTAGTTCTTTGTTTTCCAGAACTCTTGCACATGGCAGGGTGTCTCACATCCATGACCTCTGTCCTGCACGAACATCAGTAGTGTCTCCACAGTCACTGGGACAAACAAAAATGCCAAACACAATTCCAAAGTCCCTGGGGAATGATAGTTCCCTGAGTCTGCACACACCACTGTATTGGTATTTCCAAAGTACAGCATCCATACTCACTTCTCCCCATTTAAAAATCTTCAGTGGATTTCCACGGACAGTAAGAGAAAGTCTAAAATCTTAAACTGTCCATTAACCTCCCTGTTTTACTTCTCATTTCGGCTTTACTCAGATCTTGTGTTCAAGTCAGGCTGGACTCCATGCTAATTCTCAAATACTCTCCGTACCTCTTTCCTGTAGGCCAGACCCTGCATTTAAATGGCTTTTTCCTTCATTTCTCTGGCTCAACATTCCATAAGCCATCTCAGATGTAATTGGAATGTTAATTGCATCATGAAAACATTTCAATTATGCCCTGTCCCCCAGATAGAAGTGATCTTTCCTTATTCTGAACTCTTGTGTCCTTTGTACCCCATGCCGTGGTAACTGCAGAAGGTGCCAGTCATGTCGTTTTCACCGCTGTGTTTCCCACCTCGCTTTCCTCAGGGCTTGCCATAAGGTAGCACTCAATCAATATTTCTTGAAACGAATTGAATCGGAGGCGTAATAAATCCTGCCATGCTGCTTTTGTTGGTAATAACTGACTTCTCACCTGCTATAAAATTTTCTGAAAAATGTCATGATAGGTTATAAATGTTATAGTTCTGGAGCAGAGTTTTAACACCAAATCCACTTACTGAAAGACACATTTGTTCTTTCACTTTACATCATTAAATTCAGTTTTGTAGATAACTTCATACATTTTTAACAATGCCTCACACGTTTGATCAGTTTTTCCTGCAAATCTAAAACAAGCTGAGAAGAAGAAATGAGCTACTGAGGCATGTGGGTTGGAGATGAAGACATGGACACACATTTCTAATGTGTCCTAGAAGCATGTATTTGAAATTAAGTGCTATTTCCTTTAATGTTTGCCAATACTACTGCAAAAATATTGTCTGTTCATTTTGGTGCCTCCAGAGGTTTCATATGGGCGCCTGCCTTTACGATGTAGGCTATGCTTCTGGATTTCTCTATGGCCCTCCCCTTGGTTTTCACCTGGTCTGGGTGGCTCCTGGTTTTGCACAGGCACATGACCTGGGCTTTTCATTTGGTCCTACCATGTGGTAGCTCTCGGTCCATTTCTGTCTTCCTGGCTTCTGAGAACTTGCCAGGGCTTTTGCTGAGTGGGTTGTGTTCATTCTGCTCTCGTGGCACTGACTGGGATGAGTTTCATGCTGATGTACCTCAGTTTTCTGAAGATGATACGTTCCTTGTGTACAGAAGCCTGTCTACTTTCTCTCGTAGTCCTTTACCACCCCTCCAATACCAACAGCCTCAATGACAGAGGTCCACAAATGTTGTATTGTGAAAGATCTAAGCCACCCTCCCACTCCATCTAGGCACTGGCATGTTTCCTCTGTCAATAATTTGTGAAGCTGATGTGTGTGATGGTTAGAGTTTGGACAGATTTTTTTTTTCTGCCTCTGTATGAGGGCATATGTAAACATACACAAGAGAAATATGCAAACTATATAATGTAAAATTGAATAGATTTTAAAAATATCTTTGTGACAAATCTAAATGTTATCATTGTAGTAGGACTAATATGACCTTTCAATGTTAACATGAAAATGGGTTTATAAAAGCAGCAATCTATAGAAATCATAATTGATCTCCTAGGTTAATCAGCATTCTTTTTGCCAGAGAGAGGCACTTAATATATAGTACAGACTAAGTATAGTGATTTATAATTTCCAACCTCTGAATTGGAAAGGTACTGAGGATAGTGTTCGTTTTTCAGTTAGTTAGCATTTTGGGTAGTTGGACAAAGACAACAGCCATTACAAGCTAGAGCATGATGGAATAAAATCCATTTATTGGGAAAATAATTTTGGCAGCATAAGTATAATTAAGTTAAATCTGTTATTTTTTGTGATCTTTTAAAAGTCTAACAGTTCCATTTTAAAAGGAAAACCTCCAACTTGAATTATTTAGCTGTATGTATTTATGGAAATAATTTTTACAAAATAACACCCAGTACTTGTTTATAAAGAAGTTGCCTGCTTGATGATCAGTGATGTTGACAGAAACTGGAAACATGAAAACTAAAGACTTATTTTTTTCCAAGCACAACTTGTGCTTTTAAACAGACTTGGGGGATTTGACAGGCAAACAACATTTAATTAAACATTTGGTTAAAAATGTTTTGGCCGATTTCTTTAGTAATTACCTCAGATCAATATAACTAACACTTCTACTATGCTTACTATGAGACAAGCATAGTTCTAAGTGATTTATGTCTTTTAACTTATTCAATCCTCAAAAAAGCCCTAAGAGATAAGTACTATTTTTATTCCCACTTTATAGATGAGGAAACAGGCACGGAGAGGTTAAGCTGCTTGCCCGAAGTTACCAGATGCATGGCAAAATCAGCTTCAGACCAGGCCACTGGGCTCAGTGTTCTTGTCTTTATTTCCACCCTCGCATATGCCTCAGTAGCTCAAATCATAGCTCCACAGGATGATTTTCAGTTGAAGTTTGCTGGCTAAATGCTGATGTTACAAGACGTATCTAGCAAATTATTTAAAATTTATGGAACTTTGGTGGTGGGCATTTAACAAAAGTCTGAGAAAGCTGGTAAAGACAAACAAATACAACATAAATGCATACAGATTCCTGGATCTTACCCCAGACCTGCAGAATTAGAATCAGAGGGCAAGGGGCTAAATAAAGATAAGGAATGGGGAGATGGGGTTGGGGGGAGGACATCTAGTGCAATATATTTCTAAAGAACTCAGGGGATTCTGATGCATAGCTATCACTGGGAATCAGTGATAGAAGGTCTGCATCTTTTTCAAAGCCCTGATTGGCGGCTGCTTCTTCTTTGTCTTCTTTTTTTTTTGTTTGTTTGTTTCTTTGAGATGAAGTCACACTCTGTTGCCCAGGCTGGAATGCAGTGATGCAATCTCGGGTCACTGCAACCTCCATCTCCCAGTTTCAAGAAATTCTCCCCCCTCAGCCTCCCGAGTAGTTGGGATTACAGGCGCCCGCCATGATGCCTAGCTAATTTTTGTAGAGACAGGGGTTTGACCATGTTGGCCAGGCTGGTCCCAAACTCTTGACCTCAGGTGATCCGTCCGCATCAGCCTCTTAAAGTGCTGGGATTATAAGGCATGAGCCCCTGCGCCTAGCCCTGAATGGCTTCTTAAAAAGAGATGAGTTGGCAGATGTGTCTCAATTTGTTGGGGACGTATGTGGCAGCACAGAGCATCCAAGAGAAATGTACAGCCTTTGGTTATGGTTCATCATTATTTTTGGTTTTTGGGATGGAGTCTAACTTTTTTGCCTAGGCTGGGGTGCAGTGGCGCGATCTTGGGTCACTGCAACCTCCACCTCCCGGGTTCAAGTGATGCTCCTGCCTCAGCCTCCTGAGTAGCTGGGAGTACAGGCACCTGCCACCACGCCAAGCTAATTTTTGTATGTTTAGTAGAGACGGGGTTTCACCATGTTGGTCGGGCTGGTCTCGAACTCCTGATCTCAAGTGATCCACCCACCTCGGCCTCCCAAAGTGCTGGGATTACAGGTGTGAACCACCATGCGCGGCCAATTCATCATTTTTAATGGTAGGATTTTTGCCTTTATTCCAGTTTCTTCTTATTCCTTTATTATAAATTGGAACTCTTGTTGTCATGGGATTTATAAATATTAGCAACTGGGAAGAACAGCCTTTTCCTACCACCCTCTCTTGCCCATATCTGAGAATATGGTTATCACCAAGGCTGTTGAAGACTAAGAGTTTTAGCATTTATTTAGCACACTTGTGGTTACCGGTGCCATGGGTAACCCGTTTACGCCTGAGGTTGCAATTTTTTGAATTTTTACAATCAGACCTTGGCGATGACCTTCAGCAGTAGGATATAAATAACTCCCACATGCTTAATTACTCCCTGAGGAATGTGTTTAGTCTATGTTTTCAGAGATAACTGTTTATATCTTGATTATTTATGTTCATCTTAGCTTAGTAGATGAAATTCCAGAACTTAGAGCAAGAGTATGCATGTTCTTAGAAGACAAAGAAATCACATGAATGGGCATCAGAAACTCGCCCCAACACCTTGTTTGTAACTGTTTGGTCACTCTTGGGAAAATAAACATTACTGTTTTGCACAGTGAGGTGATTTCTGTAAAATTACCTGCATTTAGAATGGCCAAGGATTTATAGGATGGAAGTGAAATAAAAATGAGGAACCACATGCTGTCCATTTGTGCAGTAACAGGGGAGTAAATGCTCACAATTTTACTGATCCTTCTCTCCGTGCTACATATGGTGGACTCTTATGGGTACACAAGTTCAGCAGAGCAGGCTGTGTATGTGGGTCTCTGAGCTGTTCATTCATATATATTACCAAGGGTCTGCCACTGGTTGGAAAGCACTTATAAACTGTAATAAGAACTTAGAAAAGACAGAGAAAATAAGAGTCCAGCAGAGAAAATCTTTGTTATTCACTGGGAAGATAATTAATCCTCCCCCAAATAAATCAAAGATTATACAATCTCTTATTTTAATTTAGCCCTTTGGTTTATGGAAGAGAAAAAAATGTATAATAATCATCTTTATTTTGGATAAGATAGCATAATGGTTCATTTATTTAGAAATGAATACTTGAGAATGTGCCAAAAACTGAGATTTCCCCTTCTGATATTAACTTTTCCCCACCAATTACTATTAATTGTTCTGTGAATTAAAGTCACGTGAGCCCAGTGATATTTAGGATGTCAATCATGATGCACTTGAGAAATTATTTCAAAATGCCAACAGAGCAGACACGATGAGGAAAATCTGTCTTGAACTTTGAAGTTGTAAAGATGGGGTAGAACCCAATTTTTATATTTATAGATGGATAGAGGAATCTATCACAGGGGCTGGTTTTCATCTAGACTCACATTCTCCCAGTATCCACCCTCATGGGGCACTGCCTCTGGCTTCCAAACTGCTCATGAGGTTAAGGACCAATGCATCATCCCAAAGTCATATACCAGACACAGGTTGTTTATATAAAGTTGTTGAAAAATGTTTAAAAGCATTTAGTTTAAATCACCTATAAGTCATATGAAATGACTACTATGAAATTATTGCTAATATTAATTGCTAGATTGTTGTAAACTGGCAAACAGTTCTTAATCCTTTAGAGAAATTCAAAATTCAGAAGGTTTATGGATCTTTACACTTTGTTAAACTTAAATAGGAATAAATAGCACGAGTCAGAATAATCTTATCAGAAGCATTTATAAATATTAAACATTAATATGGAGCTGTCATGTCATTTTACAGAAAAATTAACTTAAAGGACTCCTTTCATTTTTATATGCACCTTCCAGGAAATGTGATTATTTATCCAATAATGTCAGTGTTCAGCTTAGTTGAACATGCATTAGAAATAAAATGAGCTAGCCGGGCGCAGTGGCTCACACCTGTAATCCCAGCACGTTGGGAGGCCAAGGCGGGCGGATCACCTGAGGTCAGGAATTCAAGACCAGCCTGGCCAATATGGCGAAACCCGGTCTCTACTAAAAATACAAAAATCAGCCAGGCGTGGTGGCATGCACCTGTACTCCCAGCTACTCAGGAGGCTGAGGCAGGAGAATCACTTGAACCTGGGAGATGGAGGTTGCAGTGAGCTGAGATCGCACCACTGCACTCCAGCCTGGGCAACAGAGAAAGACTCCGTCTCAAAAAAAAAAATTAGGAAATAAAATGAACTTTTGTCAGATTGCATAAAATTGTATGAAGTTCTCAGGGAAAAAAGTTGAAAAGTTCATGTGTTTCTTTTTCTCAATAGATTAGAAAAGCTTAGCATTTCAAATAAAAATTTGAAAGCTTAGAGTTTCAAATAAAAAATTGAAGTAGGTTCACAAAATAAAATTATTTTTGGTGTATCTTCGTTATAAGTTCTACTTTCTGAAGTCTGTTTAATCTTTTAAGATATGTTTAGAACAAAAATGAGTAGAAGAAAAAAATTTTTACTTCAGAAACTTCAGAAATTTTTACCATCTGTGTCTTTTTGAAGTTGCAATAGTAATTTAAAGGCAAACATATCTATTATGTGTTTCTTTTTTCACTCTGTTGAGGTTTAAGATCATTTGCCAGATGTTGCTTTGAAATGTTCTGTAGACCTGAGAATTTATTCTGTGTTCTAGGCACTGTGCAGAATTCCAAATTAATATTTAACAATACCTTAAGAACACATAATCTAAGTGAGGGCTTAAAACATGGACACAAATAACCATAATAAAAGTTAGGATGTGATTTAGATGTTGAAAGTGACTAATTGCCATTTCATATACATGCATAGCTATCATTTCTAAACGTCTGTAATCACAGTAAACAGCATTCGAATCATTCAATGCAAGATGAACACAGGATGCTGTAGGCACTATGTAGGATGGCCTATGCCTTTAGCTGAAGGAAAAAAACCTAGGTAGGATGTTATTTTATTTACATAGTAACTAAGCATTTGAATTTTGGCAAAATATCCAATTGACAATGTTTGTGTTTTTACAGGGCAGTAGAGGAGAATTAGGACCAGTGGGATCCCCAGGCCTACCAGGTAAACTGGTAAGTAGAAAAGTTTCGTTTATTTGCCTTCTACGAAACACAATGCATTTTTAAAAATAAGCAAGAGGAGAAAACAATTTACAATTGAATTACCTGTACTTGATTTCTCTTGTTATGTGAATATGAGAACAATGTAAAGGGGAAATTTCAAATTATGGGTAGGATACCCTCAGAGGGTATTTTAATCTGCGTGGTTTGTAGCATCCATTTTTAAACCTGGTGAAATGTGAAGTGCTGCATTTGGCCTCTGGTTGTTCTTGGAATGGCAGAAAACAGAGTGAATGGTGCCTTTTACTTCCTGTGCAGTGCTTGTTTACATAGCTAGAGGAGCAGCAGCGCCATTGCAGGCAGTGCGGGGGTGGCGGGGGCTTGACTGAAAAAGCCTACTGTTGCCAAGGAGTGCAAGGGGAACTGAGGACCTTAGGGTGGAGTGAAGGCTGGGAGAACATTGGCCCCGCCCTCTTCTCCTGAGAATATGAAAGAGAGGCAAACCCAAGAAGCAGAGTTCAACCAACCACAGCACGTTTATTTTAGACACAAGTCAACACACCCAAGGTTGTTTCTGCCTTCCGTGCTTTCAGTGTTGCAGTGACAGTAACTCCGGGGACTTTGTTTTTGCTTTCCAGGGTTCTCTGGGTAGCCCTGGCCTCCCTGGCTTGCCTGGGCCCCCTGGACTTCCTGGAATGAAAGGTGACAGGGTAAGAGCTCCAGCACTCCAGAAGGTTCTTTATTTGGAAGGGTGATTTCTACCATGTTGAGAAACAAAGCTTGCTTTTGGCCCTGTGGAGAATTTTCTAGAATTTATCATAAACAGCTATCAAGAAAGATATTTTAAATTACTCAGAGTTGAGATTAAGAAGCAAAAAGTCTATTAATATAATTTAACAGAAGGAAAAAAAGCTGAGAAAAGTAAAAATGTCCGTTGTAATCACACTTTCTACTTAGCCCTCAATTTACATTTCTACTAGTCAAATTTTATGAGGATGTGATCAGAGAATGCCCCAAGTTCCAGAGCCTCTTGGAAAATTGTGACCTAATGTGGAAACTTATGTTTTGGTCCTGATTCTTGTTGGGTGGTGAGGAGTGGGAACGTCCTCTCCCATCACATTATCCGTACTTGTGCTTATCCACCCACCCAATAAGGTTCACTTGAAATTATATAAACAGTTGAAAATACTGAAAAAGTATTATATTTTATTTATTACAGGGTGTAGTCGGTGAACCGGGTCCAAAGGGTGAACAGGTCAGTCTTATTATTTAATTGGTATAAAATGCAATGTTTGATATGCACCATTTCACAAGCAAGGGGGAATGGCTGGTTTATGGGGGTTAATAAAACCATGAAGGCTAACAGTTTTTCTCAATGTGTTCATAGTGAGTGAAACCTGGTGTTGAGTTTGGTCCGCAGCATTGTTTACTATTTTAACAAGCTGGAGCTAAAGATGGCTCTGCTCCAGGACTGCACACTGTCTTTCCTTTGAAGAGCGTGGCTCTGTCTCTGGTTCACGGAATTGGTTTATTCATATCCAATGGAGCCTTCCACAGCCACATTAGAATGTCTTAGGTTTTTCTTGATCAAGACCTCAGCAAATAAACTGTTTATATGAATTAGACTCAGTCCTTTCCCTGGGTTCCTTTTTCTACTGTAGATTCCCTATTTCAAGGGCCAATTATAAAATTGTTGAATATGGTCATTTATCCTTCATTCTAGCTGAAACTCAGCCTCACCTTCTGGCTTTCCTCTCCGCTATTTTCTGATTGGGACTAACCACTGACAGCTAGATTGGAAAGCCGCTGAGAGCATTTTGTATTTCTGCATGATTCTGGGAACACTGTGGGCACTTATGAATGCTTATCAATGTTTACTGGTTAAAATTGGGCAATGGGACTAAGAATTTTAAAATGTAACCTTTTATCTTAATTTTTAGGGTGCCTCTGGTGAAGAAGGTGAAGCAGGAGAAAGGGGGGAACTTGTAAGATTTTTTTTTTCTGGTTAATGATGAAGCTTTACCAATTTTGAACTGTTAGAAGTATATATATATACTTCTAACACAGTTCAAAATTGGTATATATATATATATATTCTTATTTTCTGGACACTGTTATCCTCACTGCCTTCTTTAAAGGTTATGATGTTTCTCCTATCAGCTAACAAAAGTCTCCCAAGATTGCAGCCAAGATCAAGTAAAGCAGAGAGGAAACATTGCCATATTGATAGATCTGGCTTTAAACTTTTGGAGAATAAAATTGTACTCTTACAGATGGTGAATCCTCTGTGGCTTTATGTCTAGACATTCAAGGTGATTCTTACATGACTATAGAAAGTCTATGAATAATAGTGCACTATCATGAAAACAATATTCAAGTTTTATTATAGTTAGAAAGCTGTGACTCACAAATCTGACCAAGGGTAATCTCTTTAGTCTAAAACCCTCCGAAAAAGTGACCTCCATCTCCAGAGGAGGCTGTTGCCTAATCTCCAGGAAAGGAATACAAATGAGAACAAGTTCTCTCCACTGCTGGAGCTGCTTGGTTTGCAGGCTCATCATTATGGTTTTGACACAAACTAATGTGACCTAATGTGGAAACTTATGTTTTGGTCCTTTGGGGTAGGGTAATAGATTTTTCAGAAAACAGTTTTAGAGAGCTTGTAGGGCAGGAAAAAAATCCTAGAAATGTTTTATTCATATTTTCAGGATTTAGAGCTAATATAAATATAACATCTAAATTAGTCAAAGCTTCCCAACTATTAAGTAAATTCATAAGAGGATTATTCCAGTTTCATTTTCTGTTAAAATCGTTCATTTTATAGGGTAACGTGATGTTTTAAATCATTGTTTTGTAGTGGAGGTAAGCTGATATGCCAACATGAGCTGAGTTTATAACTAGCATTAGTGGTAGGAAATTTTCAATGTTTATTTTTTAAAGCATAAAAACAGGCATATTTGGTTTAGTAGACTTTTGGGGATGACTTTTAAATATTGTTTGAATTACAAAAATGAAGTCATCAGGTCTAAATGTCTCTTGTGTTTTATAAGATAATGCTATTTTAATATCTTTTGCCTTCCACATTTTTAATTCTTGACACCTAGCATTTGAGATCTGGATGAAACCCTGGAAAGCTCTGATTCAACCCTTTTATTTAACAGATAAATTAGCCAAAGGCTGGGAGGCTACATAGCTTACAGAGGGTCACAGAGTTAAGTAGAACTGAGATTAGAATCCAAAATTGGAGTCTAATATTTTTTTGCAGTGCCGGAGTTAATCTGTTCATGGTTTTCCGTATTTTAGTAGCACAATAACTTTTAAAGTGTTTTCAGGAAATTATCAAATGTGAATACATTGTTCTAACATAAATTTCTTTTATTGATTTAGGGAGATATAGGATTACCTGGCCCAAAGGGATCTGTAAGTATGGTGAATAGTAATGGTATAAAAAAATTAAAAACATTAATAAAGCTGTAGAATATATAATATTCTGCTTTATGAAATCATTATGTAACATTCAATTCTTTTTTTTTTTGAGATGGAGTCTCACTCTGTCGCCCAGGCGTGAATGCAGTGGTGCAATCTTGGCTCACTGCAACCTCTGCCTCCTGGGTTCAAGCAATTCTCCTGCCTTAGCCTCCCAAGTAGCTGGGATTACAGGCATGCACCACCATGCCCGGCTAATTTTTGTATTTTTAGTAGAGATGGGGTTTCACCATGTTGGTCAGACTGGTCTCGAATTCCTTACCTCAGGTGATCTGCCCACCTCAGCCTCCCAAAGTGCTGGGTTTACAGGTGTGAGCCACCACACCCGGCCAACACTCAACTCTTAAAGGACTTACTTTCATGGAAATAAATGTCTAAATTTGTACTTTAGGCAATGGATTAATCCAATAGAAAAATACCTCACCACTGTGTAAATGGATTTACCTTTTGAACTAACCACTGGAAAGGAAGTGTTTTTTTTCTTTCATATTGTAAATGACTCAATGAGTGTTACATGGTAATACTCTAATGTCCTCTCCAAATGGGTCATTTTTAAAGAACTGACTTGTGTTTTTTGTTGTCAACAGTATAACTAAATTTCATTGGCAGTTATACCATTGAAAAATATTTCAGTAATTGTCTTAATCTCTGATGTGTTCTAGTTGGGGAAGTAAGATAGAGGAATAATGCATAAGAAAATATAATAGCAAATTATTAGAAGTAGAAAACGATCTTGTTCATTTTTGTCATTTTTATAGAAACTAAACTGGTGTCCTTAGAGATTAGATGTATTCAGAATTATAGAATCACTTAGTAGGAAACCTGAGATGACTTGCTAATTGGAAAGGAATTCACATCTAAAACAATTAGGAATTTAAGAAAGGTTGAGGAGAAAAGATGAAGCTCAGACCTCAATCTCAAATGCCACTACTGCCAGCTTCCATAAGTTTCCAAGTCCTTCCTGTTTCCGGAATCTCCTCAACCCTTCTCTGTCCCTGTCCAGCATATTATCCTCATGGCAGCCAATGTCATCTAGATTTTTTAAAAAAATAAAACCCACTGTGTATCCCTCCTCTGTTTAAAACTCTTTAAGAATAAAATCAGATTCTTAGCGAGGTAAACAAAGCCTTTGATGAAGTGTTCTTTGCTCCACGAACCTCATCTCCTACATACCTAGAACTTCATCCATTTGCAGTTTCTTTTACATGCTGTTTAACACCTTGTTCTGGTCTCCTCTTCCTCTTTCCTTGGAATAGCTACTTCCTACTTAAGCATTTCGATCTATCCTCAGCTTCACTTTCTCCAGGAGGACCCAGTCAGACTTGGTTACAATGCCTAGCCTTGGGCTCTTTGCAAACCGCAGAGATGAATATTATTACATCGTATTAACTTACCTGCCTCTAAACACTATGTCTCAAGTTTCAAGTAACATTTTTATGCCTAAGAATTTTTAACAGAAATGGTTGAGGATTGAGAAAAATTTAGAGTAAACCTTGATTGAGTTTGGTAATAGAAATCCTACTTCACTATCTAGAAATAGTAATGTTCAATAGAAAGAATTCAAGCTGTAACAAAAGAAAAGTTAATGAACCATGCAGTGACAAGAATAAGTTAATTGCATTCAAATTTGCATATAGTATTAGGAATTAGCTCTTGATTCATCTCCTTCCCCACAAGTGTCTTACCTGACACTGCCCAGGTAATATGAGTGAAATTGAAGTCTACTGTCCCACAATCAGGGGAAATTGTTACTAACACAAAGACTTACACTTTCTTCATTGATTTCAGCATAGACAAAGTTGTGAAGTAGGCGATGTCTGTAACCTGATTTCTGTTTCAGTATACCACTCCTCAGTTGAGGAATTTTTTCCCAGAGACCCAGGGTCCTGGCCATATTGGCCCTTAATCTCTTCATTAGGAAGTTCCCAGCTCTTACTGTAGCAGTATTTCAGTCATTATCAGCAGGATTATACACTCTGTCGTGGTCTCCTTTGTTTTCTGTCAGTTCTTCAGTATATTTCTGAGTTCATTTTGTCTTCTCTTCTGGGTTCTTTTAGAAGTTGTTGGCAGGGCAAGGTGGCTCATGCCTGTAATCCCAGCACTTTGGGAGGCCGAGGTGGGCAGATCATCCAAGGTCAGGAGTTTGAGACCAGCCTGACCAACATGGAGAAACCTCATCTTTACTAAAAATACAAAAAGTTAGCCAGGTGTCATGGCGCACGCCTGTAATCCTAGCTACTCTGGAGGCTGAGGCAGGAGAATCGCTTGAACCTGGGAGGTGGAGGTTGTGGTGAGCCGAGATCACGCCATTGCACTCCAGCCTGGGCAACAAGAGCAAAACTCCATCTCAAAAAAAAAAAAAAAGAAGTTGTTACAGTTTTGCACCCTAGGCACCTGACAATGTTGCAGCCTTCTATGTAGGATACCTTTTCCTTGTCCTGCTGACAGTCTTTCAGGAAGTCTTTAAACCATAATTTCTTCATAGAAGCAATTTTGGCAAGTTGACTTAGATGAATATCAATTTCTTTTGCATAAAGCGAAATTGGAAAAGCACATTTGCTGAGCTTTATTTGGATGTATCTAGTAAAAGCATTGCTTCATCGCCTTCTTCAGTTTAAAGTATTTGTTTGAAAGAGCCAGCTTTTTCTAGATAAATGATGCATATGAAAAAGAAGCAGGATTAAATTGCTTTATAAACATTCATATCTTGAACACTAGCATTCCCTTGCTGCCTCGTGTTCTTTTATCTTCTCATTCTTATTCTGAACAGCAGCAGTACATTGGAGCTATTCTGCCACAAATTTTACCAGAGGAATTTAACAAATTTTTAGTTTAACAAAAAGTGAATTAATTTGGTCTCTTTTTAAAACATTTATCTTAGATGATTCTTTTAAATGCTTTTAGTGGTCTGCTTTCAGCTAAAAAAAAATCTAACTTGTATTTGCTTTTATGCTAAGGAAACACATGGTTTACTTTTAACTTCTTCAATATTTAGATTTTTTAACTTCCTTCATACTTAAGTAAGTTGTAACTTTCTTTGGTCAAGTTTTTTTTTTTTTTTTTTTTTTTTTTTTTGAGATGGAGTCTCGCTCTGTCACCCAGGCTGGAGTGCAGTGGTGCGATCTCGGCTGGCTGCAAACTCTGCCTCCTGGGTTCATGGCTTTCTCCTGCCTCAGCCTCCTGAGTAGCTGGGACTACAGGCATCCACCACTACGCCGGCTAATTTTTGGTATTTTTAGTAGAGAAGGGGTTTCACCGTGTTAGCCAGGATGGTCTCGATCTCCTGACCTCGTGATCCGCCCACCTGGGCCTCCCAAAGTGCTGGGATTACAGGCGTGAGCCACCGCACCTGGCCTGGTCAAGTATTTTAAATGCAGCATTTTAAATGTGGTATTTTAAGTGCATTGATTTAGTTTAGTAATTCCTGGATATACCTGGCATCTTCACATTCTCTAAAAAAAAAAGTTGTAAGGGCTAAATAACTTATGTTCTTGGAAATATCTTTATTTTATGCTTGCTGCATTTGTGATATGCAAAGTAACATATTTTGTAGGAATGCAGGGGCTTTTATGTAGCCAGAAAATGTTAACAAGCTTATTGAAAACTAAGTTCCTCTTAGAGAGTGGCTTAAAGTATGAAGAATGTAGTTTTTAAAAAATGTAGTATTCCAATAAACGTTTTGCAAGAATAACTATCCCCGAAAGAAAGATTATTATTATTATTATTATAATTTTTGAGACGGAGTCTTACTATGTTGCCCAGGCTGGAGTACAGTGGCACGATCTCCGCTTACTGCAACCTCCACCTCCTGGGTTCAAGCGATTCTCCTGCCTCAGCTTCCCAAGTAGGTGGGACAACAGGCATGCACCACCATGCCTGGCTAATTTTTGTATTTTTAGTAGAGACAGGGTTTCACCATATTGGCCAGCCTGGTCTCAAACTCTTGACCTCATGATCCACCCACATGGGCCTCCTACAAGCGCTGGGATTATAGGTGTAAGCCACCACACCCAGCCAAAAGAAAGATATATTGAAAGTTAACTTGAACTAGATTTCTAAAAGATGGGTAAGTTGTGTAGCATTATGTGTCTTCACCTTGCAGTGAAGGTTTTGTAACCTCTGAAAGAACACCTGTTAGGATGCAGAGTGCAGGAAACCGCAAATTTCATATAAGTGTTTATATGAGTATGAAGCAGGCACATTCTTTATGCTTAGCCCTGGTTTGATAGTGTGCAATTGTGTTCCAGGCAGGTAATCCTGGGGAACCTGGCTTGAGAGGGCCTGAGGGAAGTCGGGGGCTTCCTGGAGTGGAAGGACCAAGAGGACCACCTGGACCCCGGGGTGTGCAGGGAGAACAGGGTGCCACCGGCCTGCCTGGTGTCCAGGGCCCTCCGGTGAGTGGTGGGCAGCTTCTGTGGTTTCCCTTTGGAGACTCCATCCCACAGCAGCAGGGCTGTTCTAGGCATCAGCTTCTCAACAAGTTCTCTTGTAAATCCAGCCACCTGGCTCCTTGCAGAGTCTGTCAGTTTACAACTTAACAATGTTCTCTTTATGGTTTCATGCATAAACTGCCTTTTTTTCTTTTCTGTCCCAGGGTAGA
Source organism: Homo sapiens (assembly GCF_000001405.40). Lineage (NCBI taxonomy): Eukaryota > Metazoa > Chordata > Mammalia > Primates > Hominidae > Homo > Homo sapiens. The sequence goes on along the minus strand of NC_000006.12, from coordinate 70,234,587 downwards.
GCACCGACAGATCAGCACATTAAGCAGGTTTGCATGAGAGTCATACAAGGTAAATAAATCACAATGGTTTGACTTTTTCCACCATCAACTCTTGTTTCTTAAGATTTTATTCTTGTAGATACACAAGGGTAAACAAGAGTGACTTTTTGTGTGCCTTAAAGATAGGACATTTAGGGTAATATTAATGCCAATTCTGTTTTTCCAACTATTGGCATCCACAATAGTATACAGCCCGTAGCCTCAATGTAAAATATTACTTTTCTGGTTATCCTGCCTTTTTTTTGTTTTGTTTTGTTTTTTTGCCATGGGGGCTAATTTATAACAAAGTGCACACACACACACACACACACACTTTTTTCCTTTGGAACACAAATTCTTAGTTGTCTCTCCCCTCCTTAAGACCCTACCACTTAGTGTGTACCTAGCACTGACCTAGGCTTTCTCTACATTTTGTGAGAAGTAAATGACAGACTCCATGCCCATAGGAAGCATAAGGACATTATCGCCATTCATGTACACATATGTAAAAACAATCAATAACCAGCATTTACCAAAATTATGACACATTTTCATACTTGTTAACCCTTATCAAAATTTACCTGTAGCTATGGCAATTGTTATTTGTTTCAGAATTGGTCTAGTTATAAAAACACACAGAAAATGAAGATGTGCAAAAGCACCCTATAGCTGAGGAGTTCTGTAACACTGAAGCCCATAGCTAGTTACAGTATTCTGGTGTAGCTAACTTTGTCATGAAGAGATACTCTTTTGTATGTTCACTAGACAGTCTAGTTTGTCTAGGAGACTTGAGAAGTTTTCCAGAACCAAATAGGAATGAAACATTCACTTCTATATTTGAAAAGCAATATAGGCCTCTTCATTGCAGACATTTTGTCCTGAAAGTCTATTTTAGTTTTAAACATATCTAAAAAATTATTATTCCATGCAAACTCTTACTTATATAAGCAAATTTAAAATACTCACATTTAAACAATTTAAAAATGTTGGGTAGAAATTTGTTTCCATTTCATATTCTCCTTTACCCTCTAAGTTTAAAAAATATTACATGAGAATATTTCCCTTAGAATGTTTTCATGGGGAGATTTTGTTGTAGGCCATGCCTTTAGTGGGTGATTCTGAATCTATTTAATGGTTCCTGAAAAAGCCCACACAGTTATTAATTTTTAAGACTAACTCTGACCATTCCCAAGAAACAAGTTATTTTTAATGTTTGTTGTCTATTTCAAGCGTGGAAAAAACTTCTGAGAAGGAGGGTTTATAAGAAGCTGTGACTCCTGGGGATATTTCAGTTTATATAATATCTTCAAACTAAGAATGTGAGGCGAGGTCTCAAATGGTGTCTGAATATTAATTCTGGACAATGTTCTTGGCTTTTAAAAACTGTCTGGACATCTGCTTCCACATATGTTAAGAAACTCATTTTTCTTCCCATCCTGGGTTTTCAGATACCCAGCAGGGATTCAGGTGACATCCTTCCAGAACATCGTTCACCCCAAAGCCTGTAGTTTAAGATTTTTGTGAATCCCACCCCCTGCTACCTCCCTCCCCGTGCCCTGACTCTGTCTCAGAACAACAGGACCAAATATATCCAGGGAGAGCTGCATCAAACAGCACCAGCGAAGCTTTCTGGCAGAAAGCCCACAGAGAAATTATCCAACTTTATTCATTTCTTACTACCAATTTTGAAGATCTGGTGACACATTTAGAAAAAAAGGCATTTGGAATACCTCTCTTTTCATTAGAATAACTTTTATGTTTCTGACACTTCTGGGTTGTTTTGTTTATTCTCTTTTAGAACATTTTGCTGAGATGGCTGCCAGTCTTAAGCGTCCAGACTCAGGTGCCACTGGGCTTCCTGGAAGGCCTGGCCCTCCTGGTCCCCCCGGCCCTCCTGGAGAGAATGGTTTCCCAGGCCAGATGGGAATTCGTGGCCTTCCGGGCATTAAGGGGCCCCCTGGTGCTCTTGGTTTGAGGGGACCTAAAGGTAAGTCATCTTGCCCATGTGGAACCAAAGAACACAACCTTTTTCAGATGTATAATCTGTATCAAGCTCGAGGAATTTATGTTTTACCAATTTCTGAATATCCAGTGAGATAAGATGTATTATTCTCTTTTCAATAGTGACGGTGAAGATTCAAAAACTGTTATATAATATTCCCTTGACCCTGCTCTACCACAACAGTAGACCAAATACTAGAATTAAAGTCCCGTGTCTTTTAGGACTGATCTTTTTCTATTATACTCTACCTCAATCATGGTTCAAAACAAAGATAATGGGATCTGGTAAACGATCATTCAGCTATTTTTTATTTATTTATTTATTTTTTGAGACCCTAAAGTCATTGTTGAGTTCCTCTAACATGGCAACCATCCTTAGGATATTTGTATTTGTTATTTAAACTAATAAAATTTGTTAACAGGATGTAAGAAAAATATGCATTAGAGCTGCCTCCCTCTTTTAAAACATGACATTGGATATTTAGTTTTGATGGATTTTTTTTTCAGCTCTGAAGTACAATCTAATTCCTTCTTTAGTATGTAAGATAGCTTGTTTCTTCCACTTTTATTTAAAGCAAGTTAAGCCCTTGCATCCAGGATTTTGCAGAAAAATGGGGCTATGAGTGTGTTAGGTACTCAGCAGGACTGGTGGAAGAACTGGCTGTCTCATTTGGAGTTTGCTAGTTGAGGGGAGTAAGTATATCAGCTTGGGGTGTATGTGCCCTGGATAATTTACAGAGAGGACTAAATAAAGTGAGTAGTTTCTATGTCATGATGAGTGACTGACAGCTTTCTGGAGAACTTCAGAAAGACGTGGCATCAGAAACAAGAGAGGGTTGTTTTTTTTTTTTTTAAGTACTGCGGTGCTCCAATTAGGGATAAATACTGTGGTATGAATGGTCAGATGGCAAGCAAGCTGCCTTTTTGGATCTATAAATGAACTGCTGATGCAGTTGGCTAACTAGACCTTCAGCTGGAACAATTTATTTAATTACATTTTTTTTTGGCGTGTTCAGAGCTTCATGTTAAAAAAATGGGGTCTAACTGAGACCTCTTATAAGGCTGGCATGAATTCAAAGCTTTGGGAGGCTAGACAAAATCAAATAGAGTACAGACTGAGGGTAGAGTTTTTCTTAAAGAGAACTGAACATTTTCTTTGAAAGAGTCACATACCTATTCATCTTTGTCCAGCTTTACTAGTTCAGGAGCTCATGCCTTAGGTGCTCTCTCTATGGTTAGTCTCAATTCACTCTGTAAATAATTTCTAAGAAACTCTACAGCCTTAGGTAGATTGTTGACTTCATTGGATCTGTTGTGCAAAAGCGGGTGGATCATGACGACCTGGCCTTTTCTGAGTTCACTTTAGGGAGTGGTTCTGAGAGAGCAGTCCCCGGAGCAGCGGAGTCACCAGGGACCTTGTTAGGAATGCAAATTCGCTGGTCCACACTGAGTCCACTGAATCAGAAACTCTGGGGTCGAGGTCTAGCTGTCTAGTTTAACAGGCCCTCCTGGTGGTTCTGCTGCACCTGGTGTGGAGCAATCGCCCATTTTCCTACTGAAAGGGAATGACTTATAGGGCCTATAGACATCACAGCCCTATTTTCTTTGGTTAACAGGAAGTCTCCTTGGGGCAGAGCTTAACTTTGTTTGAGCTAGTAACAGAACTCTTCTTTAAAAAATGAAAGCTAAGCTAGGACAGTCTAAAGCTGCCTTTGTCAGCCTTGCCTGCACACTGGAATTGCCTGAGGAGCTTAAAACCACTGATATCTGGATCCCATTCTCAGAGATTCTGATTTTATTGGCTTGGGCATTGGGATTTTAAAATATTCTCCAGGTGATTTTAATGTGCAGCCAGGGTTGAGAACCACTGGAAACAATGGTGAATAGTTTGGGGAAGCTTTAGCAACAGTGAATTGTGGCTAGGCTGGGTTGGGTTGGCTCTAGCAGATGAACCTCAGTTTGAAAGAAACAAAAGTAAATTTCTATATTTGGAACCTGGGAAATGGCTCTAGCACTAAGTTCGTTTGTCAAGTATAGCTTGATCATGTGAGGTATTTCCTCTTAATTTTTCTTCAGTATTCATGACATAATCTATAACATGAAGTGATACAATTCTTTTCCCTTTTCCAAAGGATTTTTTTTCTCCCTACCCTCCTCCATCCCTTTCTCGTTATCAGATTCCTTTAAAGCTGTATCTTCTCTTAGTTTAACTTCTGAGAATTTGGGGTGGAGGTAGGGAGCGGTAATTAAATTTTTAAAATCAATTAACACTGTCATACTTTTGGAAATGTATGATTTTAGGTAGCTGGATTTGATTCTTCTTGTCCCACCACATACATTAACAGGAGTATTTATTAGAAAACATATAGCTTTGTAATATCCAAGGGGTTACAGCTGAAATTTCCCTGAGCATAAACATTCCACCAATTTGAAACTTAAATTTTCAGTCAATTAGAGGAGAGATATATTTCAGTATTGCTTGCTGGCTTTTTTCCCCATCCCTGGTAAAGAAGGGATGGTATGAATCTTGCTCTACCATATGGTCACTTTGAGAGCCTTTTTCCAGAGAAACTGCTGCATAAATAACAAACAAGTTTTATTATGAATGCTTGAACAGTTCAGCCTATGTCTTAGTCACTGTTTTTCTCCTAGAAAATACTCTGAAGAACACAGTAGAACATTTTCAATAGGAACTAGTAGAAATATGCCTCAAATCATAGTCAAAGCTTAGGTTATATCTATAATTTTTCTGTTTTTCACTGACATGCTTTACACAATATTATACAAAATGTTAGGGCCCAGGCTTAAAACCTGAGAGATATCTAACTGGCCTTATATTCACTTTGCTTGGTATTACATTGGTCTTTTGTGTCATAAATATTAGTTTTAAATATTCACAGTTTGGATTAATTTTAAGTCCCTTTGAGTAAGGCTGTATATTTTTAGATATTTTAGTGTGAATCAAACAGACACTGCAATATGTAAATGAAGGTTTGAGAAAACACACATGTCATAATTATGACTAACACCTTTCTCAGTGATAATCTGTTTACATGGAGATAGAGCATCAATTATAGCTCATGAATAAATGAAATAAATAGCAACTATAGAGCAATGAGAATTTCCACTCGTTCATAATGAGCTGTTTTTCTGCTGAAGCTGTGTATTTTTCTTTATACCTTACCTAAAGCTTATTTTACAAGCTCTTTATGCATATTTTTTGACTGAGGAGGCTAACAAAGCTGGACCTTTAGTTCCCTAAGCTGGTTTTTGTACATCTCAAAATAAGACATGATCAGGGTTTGAAGTAATAGATTAACCTTGTCGATAGAACCAACCTGTATACATGGTTTGCTGTGGAGTAGCAGTTTGCAGAATAGGCTCTGTTTTGGAGCTCATCTTAAAACTTGTTTTTCTCTGACTGATAACCAAAAGACAGTATCACAACAAAGACACTGGTCTTAGTCCTCGAAGCAACATTAAAAGTTGGTGTGGCTTCATGCTAGAATGTACAAACAAGTTTAGCTTTTACTATCAGTGTAAAAGCCACACTTTAATTTATAATCTTCATCTCATATCTTCAGAAATGTGGCACATTTAGACAGTCTGTTCTCATTGCCAGCCTCCAGAATTATAGTGATATGACACTTAAATTACCAAGTTAACAAGAATGCTTATGCCATTAGTTTATAAGATGTTAATTGTCGTATCTTCCTAATATAGTAAGGCCATATTGATGATGAATGTTAAAAAAACTAGCTTATGTAAATATGAGTTCAACCTGAGTTCAATCCGTCATAGTATTTATATAAATTTAAATTGTTTTGAAATGTGATGAAATGTAGTTTATCATAAAAACATTCACATGAAGACATTCACAACTAAAATCAAAGTATGGTGACTAAATATTCACTTCAGAATTAGAGATCTTTGACTATCTGAGTGCAGATGGTTATACAGATATTTTTTCTGTTTTTGTTGTGTACATGACTTTGTTTTTAAAATTATAACAAATATGACTTAATATTGAATGAGGCTAAGCTGAAACAAATGTTTGGAAAAAAAATGGTATGTATAGAATTTATTGCAAGGTGCCATTGCATTTTCTAACAGCATAGTAGAATAATGATATACTACTGTACTACCGGAATAATGGGATAATGCCTTCAACAAAGAGCAGCAGACATCATTTAGGACCAGTTAACTAAGGAATTAATGCCTTTTGTTAATGAGGTCAAGTTGCTGGGTTTGGTATCTTCAGGGGCTGGGATAATTAATGCAACTTTGTTCTGTGGCTGCTAAATCCCCAATTTCAATCAACTGTCTTGTAAATGTCTTGCAAATCCACATGGTTGGTTGCAATCCAAAGTATGTTCCCTATAAACAATGAGTCAGTAGTGAAATGTAGACACTGTAACAACACACTTTATGTTTTTAAGATTGATTAATTTATATTTCATAATACTAAATTTATACAGTTCCAAAAATTAACAATGTATAAAAAAGATATTTAGTGAAGTTTCTCTCCTATCCCTGTCTCCCATCTGCCTAATTTCCTTTCTCCTTCCCACTAGGTAATCAATACTATTCTTTTCTTACATATCCTTACAAGCAATTCTATATAAGGATACATGAATATGTATTTTTTCTACATCCTTTTAAAAATGAATCATATTGTCCTTTAGCAAGTGTTCTGGAACTTGCCTTTTTCACTGAGCAGTATGCCATGGAGACCATTCCAAAGAGCTTCCTGGCTATTCTTCACAGCTGCATAGTGTTCTATTCTGTGGAAATTCTGTAATGTCTTTAACCTTTTAATGGACATAGATTGTTTCCAACCTTCTGCTATTATGGCAAGGCTGCAGTGAACAACATTGTACATATTTCATTTTTGTATTAAAAAGCAGCATACACTCCATCTTTATCTCTATGATAAATTCCTAGAAGTAGAACTGCTGGGTAAAAATTTTGATAGCTATTGTCAAATTAGCCTCCAATGGGATTGTACAAATTTATACTCTTATCAGCAATTCATAATAGTGCATATTCCACAGACTTGCTAGTATATCTTTAATTGAACTTTGGAATTTTTGCCGATCTTATAGGTTAAAATAGCATCCTTTTTTTTTTTTTTTTTTTTTTTTACAATTTGCATTTATTTTGTTATGAGAGTGAAGTCAGGGAATTTTTCATATATTTAAGAGCCATTTTTACTTCCTTTTAGTGGCCTGCCTGCTCATGTATTTTGGTCATTTTTTTGCTGTTGTGTTGTTGGCCTTTTTGTATTGATTTTAGGAACCCTTCATATTTTGAATCTTAATAAAAAGGCCAATCTGAGGTCATAATTCTCCCTTGTTTTCTTTTGATTCTTAACTTACAGTAAAATACTTGATCCATTTGTATTTTATCCTGGAATAGGGTGTGAGGTATAGATCTAACTTTTCTTTTCCAGTTGACTACCCACTTCTTCCAATACCATTTACTGAATTGTTCAACTTTTTCCCACTTTAAGACACCACCTTCATTATAAACCCAAATCCTGTATGTATTTGGGCCTACTTTTTGGGCTTTCTATTCTGTTTCACTGGTCTGAGTATTCAGGGAGCAACACCACACATTTTAGTTGATTTAATATCTGGTCAACTTAATTCCCTTCATGTTGCTTTTCTTTATGGAGTTTTTGTGGCTTACTCTGGCTTATGTGTTTTTCTATACAAACTTCAGGATCTTCTTTTCTGATAAAAAATGGGTTTGTATTTTTATTAAGATCATGATGAAAATTCAGCTTGGGGAGAACTGGCAATATTTTATGATGATATCATTTCTATTTAAGAATGATTTTCAAGTCTTCTGGTGTCCTTTAGAAATGTTAAACTTTTTGTCATGTTGGACTTGCCTATTTCTGATTAGTTTTATTCCTCGTTATTTAATATTTTAATTGTTATTATAAATGGTATCTTTTTTACTATGTCTTATTACTGGTTGTGTTAATATATATAAAATTTTAATTTCCATATATTAATTTTGTACCCTGCTAGTTGACTGAATGCCACTGTTTGTAATAGTTTTTGAGTTAACTTTCTAGAGTTTTAAGATATATATTCATATCTCCTGAAAATAGAGATAGTTTTAACTACTCAAACCAAAAGTTATATATTAGTGATAAAGTAGGCGTCTTTATATTGTTCTGATTGTAGTGGAACTAATTCTTGTGTTTCCCATTAAGCATAATGCTAGCTTTTGGGTTGAGATAGATATATTTTTCGTGTTTAGGAAGTGGCCATTGGTTCTTATTTTATTGAATGTTTTATCAAGAATGCATGTTCAATTTTGTCAAATGTCATTCCAGTATCTATGAATATAATAATTTGATTTTCCCCCCTTAGATCTATTAATAGATGAACTTGATTTTTGCCTTGCTACATACTCACTACAATCTAGTTTATGGCAATTTCATGACCTTTTGGTTTCTGAATTTTAGATTTGCTGAAAGTTTAAAGATGCGGAAGTTTATTTTTATAGATATGTAGAAAAATAACATTTCTTTAATGTAATGCAGGTGACTTGGGAGAAAAGGGGGAGCGTGGCCCTCCAGGAAGAGGTCCCAACGGTTTGCCTGGAGCTATAGGTCTCCCAGGTAAGTGTGTTGTATAGCTGAGAGGAGGAGGTAGCGAAATTGGTAGCAAGTACACAGCCTGAATTGAATAAAATTTTAAAATAATTGTTATTTGATCACTTAAGCATATTAATTATTCAGAATGGCTAGCATAGATTTTTCAAGACCAGCTTTAGTAAAGAATTAAATGATCTGTAAATCAAATCAGAAAATAGGTATCAGGACTTGAAATACTAATTTCCTTAAATAGATGCTTCAAGAAAAATAGTGTCAAGGTCCAGGCACAATGCACTTGTTATAAAATTCTGAATAAATTGGATCCTATCTATTTCTAAAGCAGGTGATAGTTTCCTGTTTTTTTTTTTAATCTAAAATGCCAGAGCAGTAGGAAGATTAGCCTGTTTTTAATCTCTTGCACAAGGAGTAACTGAAATTTTATTTTTAAAGCTCCCCTTTCAAACACCCAGACCCTCCAAAACCCCACATCCAAAAAGAAAGAAAGAAAGAAAATACAAAACTGAACATTCCTGCTCATAATCACTAAGAGCCACACATCACAGCTGTGTCAACTGAGGTGACAGGGTAGCCCTTGTGTGAAGGGCCCAGATTCTCTCACTGGGCCTTCTGTTCTCTTTATACACTGGCTACCCTGTCACCAGAGTCCAGGCTGGAACACACTTATCCCTTAGGAAATGACTTACAAGCCCAAGCACAGAGGCAACATAGCAGGGCCAAAAGCCAGTTCAGTTTAAGGGCATGAATGATGCGCAACTTTCCAGCAAACGCTCTCTTATTGTGGGGAGGCAGTGGCTTAGGAAGGCTCCCAAAGCCCTAGGGGTCTGTTGCTGAGGAGAGTTGAGATGATACTTGCTTCCACAATGGTTTGGGAAAACTTGGCTTAGGGAAGTTTAGGAAAAGAAATTACAATTTTCTAATTCTGCCAGAGGCTGATGTATTTAATCACAGCTATAATTGTAGCCAAAAACATCATTGCTTTCCAATTATCCATTTCATTGCTTCTGGGGATTGTGTTCTCATTAAAAAATTTTTTAAAAAAACATGAATGTTTGGAGATAACTCAAACACTGCCTTTCTAAAACTGATTCATGGGCTCATCAAAATGTTTTCACATATTGATAAATTTTTATAATTGGAAATGGAAGATTTATGATTAGTAATGAAAGGAAAATCTGGCTTAAATGGGATTTAGAGAAGATTTTAATATACGGTAAAGCTTGGATTCATTGATGGGTGTGTAGAGGAGAGGAAAAGGAAATAGAATTTACTAAAGGTGCCTGTCTCCATCACCAGTAGTAGGAATAGGAAGTTTTGAGGCTGACAACATACCATCATCACAATTTACTTAATTATCTATATATTTATGAGAAAGCCTAATAACTCCTTCTTCTCTCATTTTATTGACAAATCGCTTAACAGTTCTTGAACCAATGACTTGCACTATTGGCAACATTTTCCTTTATTGAAAATGTATTATGGTTTATAGGGATTCTCACTTTGAAAATAATCTGTTGGTAAGCCACAATTTAAATGTAAAGATGAGAAGATTGAGAAGATCAGCTCCATGTGTGCTGTGTCCCAGACTGTCAGAAGCACATTATCTCCCACCTGCAGTAAACCATTTTCAGGAGCCAAGTTGATGGGGGGCGCAAACGGGGCACACAGTCAGTCAGAGGGGCTTCCCCGACTTGCTTTTTAGAACATCAGACCATCCACGTGTAAGTAAATTGTGAGGCAGGACAAGATCATCATTTGCAGCCCTCCCTAGGATCGCTTACAAACAAAATTATTAATTTTAGCTGATCTTGGATTTAATCTTAAATCTGAATTGTTGAAACATTTTGTGGACCCCCTGATCCAGGGGACTCCTAATACCTGTCCTTTCTGTTTTCCTTTTCCTTTCTTCCTTTGGCCAGTCCTTGCCCCTGCTTTCCTGGGATCACCTCCAAAATCGTTGCCCTCCTCTGATCTCTCCCCTCCTCTCACTTTGCTCTCCCCATCAGCTCTGATTATCTCCCATCCTTCTCACCTCCCAGCTGACTCTTCTTTCTTGATTTCCTTGTCCTGGTTTCTATGTCTCAACCTCGGTAACCTTCCTTTTTTGGACTTTTGTTACCTTTTAATTGAGACGATATCTGACATTATTTAGTGACAAATCTGAGTTCCAGATTATTTTTCAGGAATATAGGCTAACTTTCAAAAGCACAGATGCCAGAGAAGAGGGGTCTGCTGGTGGATCGTTTTCTGCGCTTTGGCGCGGTGTCCTCGTGTAGTGCGCAGGTGAAAGCACCAGCTGAGGGCTTGGGTTTCGAGGTCGGCCCACATTCTCTTGTTGACACCGTGCATATGCTCAAGTCAGTCAAGTTCCTGACATGAGCTTTTTGGGTCATTCCTCCCTTAAAGCTAGTACCTGGAAGTGGGCTGTTTGAAGAGTGGCATCTACAATTCAGACATCCTAGGTTCACGTTTTGACTATGCCACTAACTAACTTTATGATATTGGGCATTTTACTTAATTTCTCTACACCTCAGTTTTCCCATTTATAAAACAGTGATAACAAGAACATCTCTCTGATAGGGTAATTCTGAGAAATAAAGAAACTCAATCCATGTAAATTGCTTAAGACAGTTCCTGGCTATAGTAGGCGCTCAAGAAATGTTGGTTGTTCATACTATTATTAATATATCAAGTCCACTTTTTGCTTTTTAAGGTGGATCAAGGAAAGCTGAGGGCAAAGTTGGGCCCCAGTTCAGCCCCTGCAGCTTTTTTCTCTTGCCGTTGATCAGCAGTAATATATTACTCTTCTCTAAATCAGCACCGCCCCTGATGCCCAGACCTTCCCTCCATGAAAGTCTACTTCAACTCCAAATCACAAATGCGAAGTACTGGGTAGCAGTACATCTTTTCACTGGTTAATTGTCCACTGAGGCTATACTGCTTTTTATTTCTTGGTAGAGCTTGAATGTGACTAGGAATGTGATTTCTGATCTCTCAAAAACATAATATTAATAGGACTTTAAGGCCTGATGAAACTTCAAAAGGATTCTGTGCAGTAATTTGTCTGGAACCGTCTAGATAAAAAAATTCTTTTCTTACCTAAAATAAAGAAACTGCAGAACAGCATAGTCTGCAACCTTCTTTGTTGTTCCTGTTGTTGGATTTGGGGCTCAAATCCTCCTGAATAAAAAAAAAAAAGATAGTTGGATCATTCTTTGTGCTAAGGCATTTAACATATTTTTAACGATGTAACTAATATCATCATTTTCTATCGGTTGTTAGAGTTCCTGTATTCTTTCTGGACAGTTTTAGTTCCCTGTCTCCCCTCTCCAATGCTGTATCTCTGTTTGTTCAGTGTTAAGTATTACATGCCCTGCAGGGACATAATGCTCATTGCTTGTTATGGAACACAGGTTATTATTATAACCTTTACATTGATGATCATTTTGGCTACAGTGCTTTGTTGTTTAAAAAGTACACATGCACAATCTAGTTTGTTTCTCACAGCCAGGAGTAGGCTGGGTGAATATTTAAGAAGTGCAGACATGGAGCCAGGCTGCCAGGGCTTATGCACTATTCTTTTACCTTGAAGTGCTTCAGTTTCCTCTTCAGTGAATGGGAATCACTATGCCTACCTTGTATTTAGAGCATATATGCACATGTTAATACATGTAAAGCTCTTGGAACAGTGCCTGGCATATGGCAAACAGACACTCTGACATTATTTAGTGAAATTTAACTGTTATTATTGTTGCTCCCTTTTTTTATAATATATTTGAGAAAATACAGACTCTTAAATTCATGTCCTGACAAAAGTCTGTCAGGTAATAACAAGACAGATATTCATGCTTCCTGAGTCTATGTTCCCAAAGTGGACAGAATGATTGGCTGGCTGTCTAATCATACGATTAGTTTTTCTTTGCAACCTAGACATGTGAATTGAGCATGTCCCATAATTGCTGAGTGTCTCGCTTCTTTCTCTGCCTCTCTTGCAGAGCTACGTGGATCACATTAGCAATCCCTGGAACTTTAGTCTCCCCCGCCTTCAGTTTTGTGCCACAGGTCAGCTAGTGTTATTGCTTGGTCGGTTGTCTCAAAGACTCTCTCTGCTGCCACCAAACTTGCCCATTGGGACTAGTTCCTCGTCACTCTGAGAATTTTAAAGGAACATATTTATTAATAATAAAGAGTCCTGACTTCCTCTTTGTGCACTCACTAGGGCAAAACATAAATTAAATGACAAATCATTTGAATGTGAACACTAGGAAGGTGACTTGTGAGCTAAGGTGCTTTTTGCCTCTTGGACATGGAAGTTGTAGCTGGCTTTGTGCTGGACTATGCTAGGTTATAAGAGTATTTGGTTTTCTTGTGCAAAGTCCACAGAAAGGTGAGCTTTGCTTGAGACTATTGAGTGGAAAAATACACACGCACACATTCAGTTCTGGGCTAAGTTTTTCAGTACCTAATTTTTCCATTTCCATTGCTGCAGCTGTTTTATTTGGTTGCTGGGCCTTACATAAACCAGTTTATAATTCCTTAAACATATACTGCTTTGTCAAATACCACAACATTAAGCTCAAGAAATATAAGAAACTCCTGGTACATACAAAAAGTCTACATAACCAGTGGATTAATTATGAAATACCCTATTTAATGTGAAAATTATTCACTTTTTTTGTTTTGACTGTATACACAGTCCCTTTTACGCCACAGCATGTATTAGGTGAGGGGCTGCCTCCAGAATGATCCAGCCGAGATGGGCTTCCATCAGTGTAACATGACTACCCTCTAGTGGTTTTATAGAGAATGACATAGCTATTCATTTGTTTAAAAAAAAAACGTTTAGCAATAATTTTAAATATTTTATTTTATTTTAATTGACATATAATAGTTATACATATTTATGGGATATGTAGTAATGTTTCAATAGAAATATTACATAATGACCAGATTAGGGTAATTAGTATATCCATCATCTCAAACATTTATCATTTCTTTGTATTGGGAATATTCAACATATTTATAGGTCCTTGACATTTCAGAAAACCATGTAATCATTAGGCAGTTAGTGTAAGTAATACACACATGAGGCAGGCAGAGCAGAATAACACTTTAGATGCATGTTTTCTCTTTCTGAAGAGTTACAAAGCAGTTGATAGATATTCATGAATGTAGCTGCTGGGCTAACCATTTATGCCCATTTTGTGAACCGTTATTATGAGTCAGCTTCACTTTTTGAGTGATGTGGACTGTGGACATAGTGTCACCCAACTGAGGCTCCCACATAGTTTAGAACATACATGAGAGCAAAGGCCCTGGGTCAGGGCTTTCCAGAGCCTGACAATCTGCTATGTTAAGGCTGTTTTTTTTTCTCTGGTATTTCTACAGGGCAAAACCTCAGAGAAATATCTTAGTTTCTTATGATCATTAGAGCTCTGCAAAAGTCAATACTGTGCTTTGTTTTTGTACCTCTGTCTACTTCCTGGTCAACTCAGGCCCAAGGAATTAAAAAAAATGACCACACACACACACACACACACACACACACCCTGCCACACCCCTCCACACCCTTCCACAGAGTTAAAAAAATCAATAGGTAGGAAAATACAGTTAGTGCAGTGGTTAAGGGTCCTCATTTCTGGCTATATGACTATGGACAATTATTTGACCTTCCTAACTCTCAGTTTATGCATGAGAAAAATGGGCTCAATAATGAGCATAGTGTATGCCCATGGAAAAGAGAAAGCATTCTCATTAAGCATTTGTGGTGATGATGATGATGATGATGATGATGATGACATCATCAAAAGCTCCAAAGGGTAAATTGCTGCATTTGCCAAAGGCAGAACTGGATGAGATGCATGCTTCATAAAATAAATCAAGGGTAGACAGGATGGCTTCATCGACTCTTCCTTCAGAGGATAAGCAGCAATTTGGAATAAACTCAGCAAGGTAAAAAAGAAAAAGAAAAACTTCTCCTGAAGTGTGTTGATGGGGAACCAAATGTGAAAATCTAAAAAGCTATCCTTCTGCTTTTTAATATTGTTAGTGTATTAGAGAATAAATTACTTAAAACTTAAGGTTTTTGGCTGGCTCTACAAATGTTGAAAAAAATTTGAATTAGTTGCTAACATTTAAACATTGGGAGATATTTATTTAAAGACTCAGCTTCCTGGCCTCTCTTGAAAATTATCAGAAGTTCTGGCAACACTGGCCTGTATTCCCCGATGACAGCTGTTAGCTGGAGAAGAGCTGCTGCCCGCATCCACTTTCCAGCTCACCACAGGCCTCACTCCTCCCTTTGGTCTCCCCAACACTTACGTGGAATATTAGTGGCCAAATTTCATTGCATTTGTACTTTACGTTTTCATCTGGTAAAAACAGTGGGGGAATTTCTTAATCCAGGCTTGTTTCTTTATAACATCAGGGATCAGCAAACTTTATTTGTGAAGGATCAGATTATTTGGCTATGGGCACCATATTGCAGCTATTTAACTCTGCCCTGGTACGCCAAAGCAGCCACAGACAATATGTAAACAAATGACCATGGTCGTGTTCTAATAAAACTACAAAAACAAGATTTAGCTCATGAGCTGAAGTTTGCCCACCCCTGATCTCAATGACCATCCCAGCCCCTGTGCTCATTTGGTTTTCTACCTCTTCTTTGGGCATTTCCTTCTCCTAAACTTGATTTGATTTTAAGGCACACCTGGTATGTCTCAGTGGGAACATTCCTAGTGATAAGGTGCATGAAAATCGGATTTAGATCTGGCTCATCTTTTAAACCTTAAAAAAATCAACTTCACCTTTAACTGCATCTGGTGTTAAGGATCTTAACAGGTGCTGCTAAGGGCATAGTTCTGCTACAGCTTTATCTATAGATGCTGTGGATTAGGGAGAAGCTTTCTCAGGGACCTCATCATTAAAAGAAAACACATAATGATCTGCTTCATACTTACTAGGTATAGTTGAATGAAAGTATATGGGATAAATTAGGGAAAATTACTTATATCTCTGCTTATCTATAGCTTTGAGATGGATAAATTCAAAGATAATTATTCTCCCTTAAAACTTATTAATATATTGCCCTATGACATTGCTTTGTGTGGATCGAAGTGTATGCACCAGAGGAAGAATGAGATGTTATGTAAAGCAGGATCTCTAACCTACCTTCCTTCTAAAAATATGTGAGATATATATGAATAAGACCATATTACTACAGTAAGACCAACAAAAGACATATAAAAAGACAACTGAAATAGAAAAAGAAAAGTAAAAACCACAGAGAAAGAAGGAGAGTAACCAAATATAAGCAAATATGTAGTTGAACATGTAGATTTGGCTTCCGGCTTTTTGGCTGAAAGACCAGGTTAAGATGGCTGAGATGGAATGAGGATCCCTATATTATTTTGGCATACACAATTTGTTTTACACTGACTTCTCATCACCACTTTTGCAATAATTGTGTGAAAGTGCTGCTAGTGCACTGGGGTAAACATTCAGCAGAAATTCCTCTTTGTTATGGGGTGCTGTGCCTCAGAGAGTGTGCCCCATTGAGGGCAACATACAACCCTTAAACACGACAAAAGGAAGACAAGCAAGAAATGTCCCCCAGAGAACCTGCTATTGCAAAGTTCATGTTGGGGTCAGCCCTTCATGAGAAAAATATGAAAATTTGTAGGGCACATGGCACAGCCTTCTAAAAGACATTAATCAATAATATCTTAATAATTGTAATAATAGCCCCTATTTATCAGGTGCTTCCAATTGTAGAATTATTATTATTATTATTTTTAAGACGAAGTCTTGTTCTATCGCCCAGGCTGGAGTGCAGTGGCGCGATCTCGGCTCACTGCAACCTCTGCCTCCCGGGTGCAAGTAATTCTCCTGCCTCAGCCTCCTGAGTAGCTAGGACTACAGGCATACACCACCATACCTGGCTAATTTTTTTGTATTTTTAGTAGAAATGAGGTTTCACCATTTTGGCCAGGCTGATCTCAAACTCCTGACCTCAGGTGATCTGCCCACCTTGGCTTCCCAAAGTGCTGGGATTACAGGCATGAGCCACTGCACCTGGCCTGAATTTAATTATTAGGAAGACATTATCCCATCTTGTAGATGAAGAAACTGAGAGATTAGTGACTTGCTAATGTCACATTTTTCATAAATGATAGGGCTAGAATGTAAAGCTATTTGTCTCCAAAACCTGTGTTTTTAACCGCTAAACTATACTTCTCCCTGCCCGGATGTTGCTCAACTCTTAGAAGTAAGGAATACTGCTACTTGCATTCAAAAGAAATATAATGTGAGCCACAAATGTGAGTTGCATGTATGATTTTAAATCAAGTAGCCACATGAAAAAGGTAAAAATAATCAAGTGACATTAATTTTAATAATATAGTTTACTTAACCCACTGTGTGCAAAAGATCATTTCATCATGTAATAGACACAAAAATTATTAATGAACTATTTTACATTTTTTCATATCAAGTCTTTAAAATCCAGGTGTGTTTGATCCTTAGTTCATCTCCATTTGGCCTCATCACATTTCAGCTCTCAATAGGCACCTGTGGCTGGAGGCTACCATGGTGCACGGTGCAGCTCTACTGATGGAAATGGGGGTTAGAGACACTGAGGTCTCTTTCTGCTTTTAATTTCCATGAAAACCCAAGTCCAAGGAAGGGATCTTATTATCATCATCATCATCATCATCACCAATCATCACCAGTCATCATCCATCGCTTCCAAAAGCGTTTGTTAAACCCCTTATCTGAGCGCTGCTGAGCCATGCCCTCTGCCAGTTTGCATCAATGAGGATTCTCCTGTTCACATGTGCAATCTTCTGTGTGTTTCAGGTGACCCAGGCCCTGCCAGCTATGGCAGAAATGGCCGAGACGGTGAGCGAGGCCCCCCAGGGGTGGCAGGAATTCCTGGAGTGCCTGGACCCCCGGGACCTCCTGGGCTTCCCGGTTTCTGTGAGCCAGCCTCCTGCACCATGCAGGCTGGTCAGCGAGCATTTAACAAAGGGCCTGACCCTTGAAAGGCTTACTGCTGCATGGCTGTCTGCATGAACCACGCCTGGTGAAGGAGCCTGGGTGAGAAACACCATCCAAAGCTGGGGCAAAGATGATTACCTTCAGCATGATTACAATGTATTACCTTCAGTATGATTACAGAAGTCCTACTTGACAATCACATATAGAAGAACGGTGCTATTCAGTAAGTTCTCTTTCCTTTCCCTTGGAGGGAAGACAGCAGAGTCATCAGTTAAAAAAAAAAAAAGAAAACCAAACACCTCCCTTGAATAAATTTATACTCCTGTTCCCAGGATCTTGAGCTTTAGTGTGCTATACCTATGTGTCTTATCGTGGGCCACTGTGCCAATAAACAAAAACAACTGTTTGGTTTACCTCAGTTGCAGTAGTTATTTTCATTTAGAAGTTGTTCTCAGATTATTGTTTCAGTTATATAGAGGATTACTAGACTAGTTATGAAGAAACCCCACTACATTCAATGGAATTGGTGCTTAAAATCTCATCGATGTGCTGTCTCTGGAGTGATAAGAAAGGGCTACATCTCCCGAAATGATTTCTTTACGTCATGTATTGGTTTCCTTCTTCACCTTGAACTTTTGTTGAACTGTATGTACTTTACCCCAAACCTGTTAATATTTTGAGCGCTTCTATGTGAAAGCAAAGAAATAATTTTAATACTCTGGCATTCATAAATTTTATTGATGAGATTATTTATTTTAAAGGTTTGAGGTAACATCTCTGGTTGTACCAAAGAAGAAATAAATATGGTTTCTTAATCTCTTGCATGTTTTCTTATAAATAATCATGTTCAATGAAAAGAAGTTACTGAGCTTATTTAGATACATTAAACATTACTTAACTACTGGTTCTATAGGTGTATGTTTATAATATTAGTGTTTTTTCTACATAAAGTAATTTAAAAAGCTGTTCCACAGAGGGTGTTACCCTGTGACAGATGCGTATGTGTGTGTGTGTGTGTGTGTGTGTGTTTTAGTGTGTATGGAGAGAGCTTCATGGACCTTTTCGAAATGTTAATTCCCTAGAAAGATGTGCAGCTGCATGCGCATCTATATTTTTGTATAGTATTTCAGAGATTTCGTGGACTTTTTTAAGTCTAGCCTTGCTTTATTTCTAGGTTAAGAACCACTGCCTTCATTCCAATGGCTTGTTAGCTCCCTCCTACTCAGAACTTTATTGTAAACATGATTTATGTTTCACCATTTCTTGTAAATTTTATAAATGCAGCTCAGCTAAAGCACTGTATTCTTAACAAGTATTTCCTGACCACTTAAGCACTTTATTATTATCTGTGTAATCATATTGGCTTGCTGTTTCATTAACATCTACTTAACTATCCAACAGACTTAATATATTCATTTTATATCACAGAGCCTGTGAGTAACCTGTGCTGGGGCATAAAACAATAGCTCAACATAGTATCTTTAGTTAGTTTATGGAACTAAATTCTGTCAAGTCAAAGGAGAGTGAGCCCTAATATAATTTTTTATATATATTTTTCTCGTGTGTACTTTTATACATTTTAAATTCTAGTCCTAGTTGTTTGGTTAAATCAATCATTATGTAATCTGTATTTGGATTTCTTTAAAACTGCTTACAGCATCTAGTTTTATGCTTCTAGCATGAATTTTGCTTAAGAAGATTCCAACTTTGCCATATAGATCAGTGCTATTTACATAGACTGAAAGAATGTTCTTTCCCTTTTTTCAAATATGACTTTTGAAAATAAAGGTCTCTGTTATAGCTCCCTAAAACAATCCTTAAAAAAATGGCAAACTTTTTCAGGAGCTGTGACACATAATTAAATAAAGGCATAGAAATTATCTTTTCACCAAAGTGCTTTTATTTTAACTAGAGTGACATAATCAAATACAATAAAAGAAAAATTAGATAATCAAACATGTTTCTAAGTTTTATAATATTCATAAGAAAATTAAAAAAAATAAAATTTCAAAGAACAGTTCACTCAACTGTTTTACAAACCTGGTTATGTAAAGGTTGTACAACAAGCTCCACAGATACAGTCAGCAACATTGGAAACAAGCACTTACAAATAGATTATGCAAAACTACCACATTCCAAATGGCAGGAAGAATTCGTTATAAATTTCAGTTAAGTGAAGTAGTTTACAGAAGCAGAAGACACTTGGCTTAGAAATTGCAAGGAAAAGAGCCCAGCAAATTCCCTCCATGAAAGAGAGTTGGTAAATGTTGAATCTGACCAAGCATGTCTCTCTAGCAAAATAGAAATCTCAAATCCTCTCTGAGATATTTTTGAAAGTTGGATAAAGTGGCAACTAGAGCACTCACTGGGAGAGGAGAGTGTAAATAAATAAAGTTGGTTTGAACCTGGCATGTTAATTAAGGGCAAATGATTCCTGATTTATTTCTAGCCGGTGCTTCTATGGCAGTATGATATGATTTTCAACCCTAATAGCTGACAGGTTGGTTAAGAACTGTGGAAATCACTTCCGAGACTGACTGAGCACATAAATTCCCTGGCATGGTTTTGGGTAATTGGCTTCTGCACAGCAGAAGAATATGAATGAGTAGTCATATCAGGATAGATGATCGATTTGATTATTTGGATACTTTACATTTCAAGCTGACTGAACCAATATCGCTATTCTTAAACATCATTAGTAAAATCTGATTTATTTGCCAACTGAAATAAGCTTAATATAAATTCCTGCTGTAGAAGATCACCTCTATTGTGTTTTTAAAATTTTTTGGTGATTATAGTGTTTCTGAGATACAGTCTCTGAGTTTAAAAGTAAACCAAGGCTGGGCATGGTGGCTCACGCCTGTAATCCCAACACTTTGAAAGGCCAAGGTGGGAGGATAGCTTGAGCCCAGGAGTTCGAGACCAGCCTGGGCAAGACGGTGAGTCTCCTGTCTCTGTAAAAATAAAAACAAATTTAAAAATTAGCCAGGCATGGTAGTGAGCACCTGTAGTCCCAGCTACTCGGGAAGCTGAGGTTGGAGGATTGCTTGAGACCAGGAGTTTGAAGCCATGGTGAGCTATGATCACACCACTGCACTCTAGCCTGGGCGACAGAACAAGACCCTGTCTCTAAAATAAACTAAGTAAACCAACATAGGTGGAAAACCAATAGAAATTCTGATTTCCAAATATCAAGAAAATTACTTAAAAATATTTGCTGGTAACCTGGCAAAAGGAGTGAAAACTCAGTATTAAGGAAAAAATACTAGCAAACTAGCAATCTTGCTGTTTATAGAGGGGTGACAAACATAAATGATTTTAAATATCTTTTTAAAAATAATACTTGTGTTCAATAAACATAGGTCAAGCCCTTTTGTGCAAAGTAAAATAAATACTTTTCAATTGTGTAGCCTTCTTTAGTGAGTTGTGATCCAGGACATGGCAGTATAAAGTACCTATGGCTCAAGAACTATTAAATCAAAATGGGCTGACTGTAGTAATGCCTGTCTGTAAATACACACGCTTAAGTGCTCTTTAAATGATCAACGAGAGGAAGTGTAACATATTTGATTGATCTGGCTATCAGGAAGAGGATGCTGCTAACTGAAAATTACTTTTAGTCTTAATAAATGGCAATTCATGCTAACTCTCTGCTTAACATGCCTTCACAAATTACTTTTGACTCCAAGTTATCAAAACATAGCTGGAGAGAGAACAAGGGAGGGAAACTGTCTCAAACAAATTACCTCTCTTTCTGAGATATATTTGAAATTCCATTTTGTCTCTTAAGTTGAAAATATGTGTGTGAAAAGACAACAACATTCTTTAGAGAGCACCTAGTTAATTTATCCAAAGGGGGCCTGAAGATAGGAATAGTTAAGAACTATGTAAGTTATTACCCGGTATAGGTAAACATATAAATCCTCTGGCACGTTTTGATGCAATTAATTTCTGTTAAGAAAACCTGCTATGTATTTAACTACTTATTGCCTATTACCTTATCACTCATGGTGTAAAAGCTTCTATGGATGAGAAAAGTTAATTGTGTTATTTCTTATCTCCCTCAGGGACCTCTATAGCAAAAAGTCTCAAATGATTTTAGTGAGATGATCACTCTGGGGGACAAAAGTCCCAAAGGACTGCCTGCTTTTGGGCTTTTGATTCTGCTTATAATTCTCATCTGAAATAATTAGACTAGGCTTTTTATGAACTGCCAGGGAGATGGGTGACAAACTTGATTATTTCAAGCTGAGCAATGATTCATGTGACAAAGAAAACTATAATGATGGTACAAACATGAACCCTGCAATAGACCAATTAACGTTCCTTGGACACCTGTGGGGCTCATGGTTAGCCAAGAGTGCTTCTGGAGCATCCCCATGGTTGACACCAAACAAAATGGACTGAAGTGTGGAGCTTCAGCCATGGCAAGTGATGAAGAGTAGATATGGCCTTAATAATTGCACCTTAGATTTCCCTGACATAGGGTCAGAACCTTTATTGCTGAGATAGGTGACAAGCTCATTATGCATAATGAACATGTAGGAATCAAGGCCTCAAAGCATTATGCCCATGTGGGATTTTGAATAAAACTAATGCCATTGCACTTAACATGAGTATATTCAATTAAATCGTAAAGAGTTTGATGAGGTAAGATAGAGAACAAACAAAATGGGGGAAAACACACCCTAAATGTTATTTAAAAATAAATAGTTGTAAAATACACCCAATACAACCTGAATTTAAAGACATTAATGTGCTGAAAAACATTTATCTCCAAAATGTACTTTGCATAACACAATACAATAAAAAGTTGTAAAATAGCCAGCATCTTTACTTACACCCAGAAGCTTAGTATGGTCACACAATACACACACTTCTGATAAACTTAAATCTTATTTACCCCCTCATTTAGTGAAGCCTCCCACTTTATTAGTATTCACTTTTGACAAATTCATGAAGCAAGTAGCTAACTCCTCCAGTTGTACCACATCACTCACTATTGGATCTGAACACGCAATTTTTTTTCCATTTAGATTTTCTTAGACTTAGCTTTGGTCTTATAAGCTTGTCTTATCTTTCAGACAAATTTTTGCTGTGCTGGGTCTACTTGTCCGAATAAGTTTTCTCTGTGTTCACTTGGTTCTTCATTCAATTTAACCAAATTGATCAGTTACTCTAGCATTATTTTGTTGAGTAAAACGTTTGGATTATAGCTCCAAGTATGCCACACAATAAAAATGATGACACTCATCTGTCCTATTGCCTGAGACTTTTAGTAGTTGAATAAATTTAAGATAATTAATGCTATCTTAACCAGCCAACTAATAAATGAACACAATTCAATGGACTAAGTCACTTTGAATTACATAGGCATACAAGATACAAATTCAATTATCTTCTGCATCTCCTCCTCTTCAAAGCCTGCATATAATCTTTGTGAGCAGAGATGGTACAAAAGGGGGATGGTACAAAAATGTGTCAACACTCAAGTATTAAGAAATAACGCTGGGAAACTGCGACAGTAAACACTTGTGTGTCTTCAGAAGGTGGATACAGACAAGTATGAAAAATAATTTAAGAACAAGAGCAATGGACAAATCTGCAAAGCTTTTTTGAGTATTCATTAAAACAACGTCAGCAAAACACTTAACAGAAATTCTCAATCCCAGTGTATTATTAGTGTTATGAAAATAAAAACGGTACTTAAAAAAAACAGTGTTTCTAATTGTACTTTTGTAAATAGTGATGTATTCTAGAAAAATATAAACGTTATACAAATATAACTGTAAAATTTTAAGTACACTGAGCAACATAGAGTTTAGACATTGTGTAGTTTTATAAATTGTCTGCTTCTTGTGATAAGCTAAATCTTTTTTCTTGTCTGTTGAGAGTATCTGTCCTGTCTAAAAAGTAGGATAATTATTTAGCTGTCTTCATATTGATCACTAAAATATGAGAGTGGTGTATAAACAGTTATGACTAGTTAATCTGCATGTTAACTAAGTGTATAAGTACATATATATCCACCAAAGAAATAAAATCAAAACAGTCAACAAACCAAAGGGTACTGTGCCTGTTTCATAAAGATGCTTAAAATTAGGAAAAACATAAATTAACAAAACAAATTAACAAAAATTATCTACAAAAGTTAAAAAAAAGTGCAAAGGCAAGAGTCTGATTTAGTTGTCCACTAAACTGTTCGTAGCCTTGTATTTCTGTTAGTTTGCTCAGTTCTTCTGAACAAATTGTTTTAAACACCATCTTGTGGACAAATGGAGGTATATCACAGGTTCCCAACAGATGAGACAGACTGCAGAAAGGCTAAATCTTACCTAACTCATAAAACAGATTCATAAAAATTACTTTATAAGCCAAATATCAAATGATAATTTTCACAGACAACGTATTTTAATATAATTGCTTAAGTTCTTTAAGTGACTAAAATTTTAAAGTTTAAACAATACCATGAAATAGGGAAATAAACTTATGGGGTTACTTTGCTCACAAAGTGAAAAGTTTAAAAGGTTAAAACTTGCTGTGTTTGTGTTACGGTTAGAAGTAATGGTTACTGCCTTCAGTTGGAAAGAACAATGAACAAATCCATGAATTATTCTTCTGTTTTTCTTTGGATTCCAAAGGCCATAAATATGAATTGAAGTCATACTTTAATCTTTGCATAGAAAGACTTCTATCTGAAAGTGTTTTGAACTTGGTATAAAATGTAAGATTGGAACTCAAACATACTTGTATATGGAAATCACAGTTTTAATATTAATCGTCGTCATGGCCCATAATTATTTTGTATTTAAACATGTATGTTGTTTTCTGGAGTGCAAACAAGAGTTATTCATGAAATTGAATAATTCTTCTCCCCTGCTTTGAACATCATTAACATCTATGTGGAAATAAACACATGTTTTGGAATGGAATAAAATGGTGCAAGGGATTTGGCAACCATCAAGTCATTTAGAGGAAAACTTCCCACCCTACTTTGGGGCCCAAATTATTTAGTTTCTTTTTATTAAAGGAATTGGGCAACTGCCGAATCTCAACTTCATTTTGTGTTAAATTAGGTGGACCCAGCATTTCTTGCTGCCCTTTGTTGCATATCATGTGTACAGAGCTGAGGCAGGAAAAAGTATCTGAAGGTAAATAATAGAGTAGGGTGAGAAAGGCTTGTACCATGTGGATACAGCCTTGTTTCTCTAGTTACGTCAAATTTAGTCATATTTCCCAGTTACAAAAAATGAGTTTGTGTCATTGTGACAAGTCCACTTTGTAATATGCATCACACAATATTATATTTCCCCATCCCATCAAATTACCTGAATAAATCCAAATCCTTGAAATAGGAATTAACCAGTCAAGCCTTAATGGTATTTAGAAAGATTTCTAAATATACAATTCATAAGAAAGAATGCATGACATATTTTGTAGAATAAAAATGAACAGAGTTAATAAAACAAGAAAATGAATTGTCTTTTTATGTCTATGACAAGAACAACTCAAAAACCAAAAAACAAAAAAAGTTGATTACCATCAGCAAAAAAGTCCATGAAAACATTAAAATGATAAAATAAATATTTTTAAATTAGCAAACAGGCAAAAAGATAAACAACCTATTAATATGAAAAAATAATCTTTGAAAACATATAAAATATTTAGCTTTATGACAAATTCAAGTAAATTAATATGAGTGGCAGATAAGTTGTAAGCGTTTAGAAAATTCAACAAATTAAAAGCTCAAGATATACACATAGCACCAAATTTTAGATCTATGTACACTTTTTCGGGATAAATTACCATTTTACTAAGAAAACACATACGTATGTCCCAATTGTGTAAGTTTAAAACACAGCACCATTGTAGGTATTGCACAAGAAAGAAAACGAAAAAAAAAAAATCAATGTCAAAATGCTTACAATAAATAAAATAACCTTGGAAAATAAATAAACTTGGAATTGAAATATACAGCATAATTCAATATGAAATACCTAAAATGTTATAGGTATGCACAGCCATTGTAGACAGTACCTGACCAGCAGTTCATTAATCTATAATGAAAACCGGTTCAAATCACGGATGCATTGGAACAAACCCTGCCTTAAATTAGGCACATTCCTCAGACACAACTCTGTTCACAGCTTTTTCCAATGTCAGTGGGCTAGCCTTTCTAAACTCATTTTTCAGTAAACAGACAAAAGCAATCATCCTGTTTTAGCCAAATTGAAATCTGCACTGCTCCTTGAAGAGCTGTGAGTCCTGATTGCTGTGGCTGGCAGGCTCTTGCAGCATGTTCTCACATCTGTGGGACCCACCATCTAGATTTCTGCAACATCCTCATGCCCAGTGTTCTAGAGAATCAGTGCCTGCCAATCAACAGTTCCTCAATGAATGTACAGCTAACCAACAGAAAGACTGTTTAGGCATTTGATGATCACTGTATTTTTGTTTCTTTTCAGAGGACATGGTTTTAGAGTGGGTGTGAACTCTTTGGTCTGAGCACTAGTTGCATATCCAGTCCTGTGGTTTTCCTTTGTTGAGCTGTACCTCTTGCTGCAGCTTCTGGAGAAATACAATTCTCCTTAAGAGCTTTTGGGCTTCACCTTCTTAACATGCATTTGCTGACACTACACATTCATCTTCTAGGACAAGTGAGTCCATTCTATACGTATCCCATCCTTTGTTTTGATGGTGGCTTCTTGTCTTAAAGTCTGAGGGTGATGAGGTCATAAGGATAATGGATACAAGGGCCCAAAGATCTTGCTAGGCCACTGAAGCTTTAAGAGTACCAAAGACAGCTTGGTGGCTTCACCACCAAGCACCTTGTAGGGAAAACAGCTTTCTGTTTACCAAATGAGAGACTGAGTGAGGGGACCACAGAATATTAGGCTTTTTTTGCAGAACTCATACAAAACTGGAATTTGATACTCCCTTTTCATGCAGTACTTATTCATGCCAGTGGTGATTGCTTTGAATTGAGCTCATTATACAGAATTAACAAAATCATTTCAGTAGTTGGCTATGCTGGGTGTTTGGGCTCCCTGATAAAACAGTTTCCTGCATTTTTTTTTTGAAAACATAAATTGTAAAATGAAGTTCTTATTGCCTATTTTTCTGCATAAGTAGGATAGATGTAGATGGTATAAAAATTCTTAAGTTATAAAAAGTAGTCAAAAAACATTCAACAGGAGCAATGCACTATATCAAAAAAGTTGACGAGATGTTTAGCAATGATAGTAAATTTAAACACCAAGGAAAAGATAAGTCTGAAACTTTAAAATTCAGAAATCAAAGGCCAACCACATGTTGATGAGTCTACAAAATGGATATCATCATCAGTCTACTAAGTCACAAGATGCAATTTCCTTTTGAAGAAGAACTAACGATAAGATTTACTTGCATATTTCATATAAAACTCTGAGTAAAAATCATAGCAATTGTAAAGCAAAACATATGGAATGAATTTGGGAAAAATCAAAAAATGCTGATTTGCAATTGCTATAGGAATAGGATTCAAACGGTTGCTTTTAATGCCTGGCTTACTCCCAAAAAAAAAAAAAAAAAAAAAAAGCAACCCACAGATGATGAGGGTTTGACGGTATTAAGAGAGCTCCAGTGGCAAGGAAATGTTACCAGGAACCAAGTCTTCTTCAGGTGTGTTCAATTCCCACCTGTGCGCTGATGGGCATGAGACACAGGATAGAGGCAATCTTCTGGGTTACATCTTCCACTGGGTCCTGGGGGGCCCTGTGGGCCTGGGGCACCTGGTGAGCCTGGCAAACCCAGAGCTAACGACATAAAAAAAAAATTACAATGCAGATCACATATGGCCCTTCCTCTCTCCCACCCTCTAGCCAACATGGATCACTCGACTTGACATATAAGGACCCTAGGGGAGAAGCATGGTTCTAATTTGTAAAGGCTTGCTTGTGTTGTGAAGACAATATCCCACTTACCTGAAGTCCCAGGAAGACCTGGACTCCCTGGCAGCCCAATTCCAGGTTCACCTCTTTCTCCCTTCTGTCCTCTGTAGCCTAAGTGAGAAATATATAAAAAAGAGACACACAAAAAGGGTTCTATGGCAACACAGCACAGAGAAGAACCATTTTCTGAGTCTGTGATAATTATGTGATACATTTGCTTAAAATAAATAGTATATTAGCTAACTGTTTTGCATTAACCACATATTAAACTTACATATCAAACAGATTGGGTATAATAGGGCAATGAGGATCTTAAAAAACATGCAATTACTATAAAAAGTTCCAACTAGTCAAACTTTTTTTTTTTTTTTTTTTTTGAGACAGAGTCCTGCTCTGTCACTCAGGCTGGAGTGCAGTGGCACTATTATCTTGGCTCACTGCAACCTCCACCTCCTGTGTTCAAGTGATCCTCCTGCCTCAGCCTCCTGAGTAGCTGGAATTACAAGCACTCAACCACCACTCCTGGCTATTTTTTTTGTATTTTTAGTGGAGGCAGGGTTTTGCCATGTTGGCCAGGCTAGTCTCGAACTCCTGACCTCAGGTGATCTGCCCGCCTTGGCATCCCAAAATGCTGGGATTACAAGCATGAGCCACCATGCCCAGCCCCAACTAGTTATACTCTTGATAGCGAGATTTTGGCTCTGAAAATGACACCTAAATAAATCAATCTTGCAAATAGCTATGACAAGCTGTGTGAGCCCTCTTCAGTAGGAATTCTGATTGAAGGCAAGGTATAGGCTAAATGAAAGAAGTATATGGAAAGAGTCTTGCTTAAAATGAGAACAAGATAATATAATAGGAATACGGATCTTATTCCAAGAATTAAAGGAAATGAAAGGAACAAATAATTCAAGATTCTAATAAATGATAGCAAGAGCATGAGTATATGTGGGTTAACTCATCTAAAAAGTCAGGTCTGTGTTCAAATGATCAACTATAAACATTATATCTTCTCTAAGTAACGTTTAAACATCCACCCCATGTTTGAACATGGCAGTGTATAACTCCAAAGGAGCTTCAGCAAAGCTAGGAAACAAGAGAGGAGACTGACAGTCTCCCAAATGTACTTCATCAACTTAAGATATTTTAACCAAAATGAATTAGGTCTAAGATCTGTCTATATTTTAAAACAAAATTATTCTTACTATCTAATATGCTTGCTATTGGCTGAGCTACAAGAGTACAGAGAAATTTGTGTCTCTGGAAGTCATTATCCCTGCTTATAAAAAGCATAAAGCATTTTTATCTGCATTTTATATATTGGCACCCATGTAATACTTTGTTTGAATAAAAGGTTCCATGCTGTAAGAGTTTCACAGTGATGGCAAATAGAGTTTTTATTTCCAACTTTTTCATACTTAAACAGCCCCTTAAAGATCACTCCTTGTCCTAAATGGACAGAGCAGCCATGCAGACTCATGTGGACACACAGCAAAGATATCAGTAGGAGAGCATCTCAGTAGGAAACAGTAGGCTGTGATTTAGTTGTGCCTTTTCATAAAGGTGTGCTGTTACAGTAGAACATGGCAGGAGGAGAAAATGTAATGCTCCCTATGAACAGTATGTATGATCAATTATTTCCCATTATTGTTGAGAATTAGATAGCAGTTTTTAGATAGCAGGGGTTATCATTTTCACTTTGACTAGGTCATACAATGTACACATTATTATCTGAACAACATTGGCAATGTAATCACCACACAGGTATTTATTTGCTTTTTATGTAAGACCTGATCATAAATGTGAAACTAGTGGAAAAAAGAATATATGTTAAAAATATTTTGAAGTATATAGTAGAAATACACCCACCAGCAGGAAACCTTCACATATTTATATTTGAAAATTGTGTTAAAGATATTCAGTACAATCCTAGACCCTAGAGAGAACAGTGGCTTTGACATGTGACATAATAACCATAGTTGATCTATATTGAAATTTAAAATGTTTCCAGGATTTCTTTGATATAGGTGACTTTCATTTAACGTATGTGAACAGCAGGAAAAAAATGTATATACTTAGGGTCATTTGAAACCACCCTCCCAAATCCATTACTTAAACATTTCTGGAGTAAAATAATATTTATTTCCTGAGGTATATTTGATAGTTTAACTCAGGTCCCACTATTACAGAAAAGTTATAAAGTTGATCCTCAGCTATCTCGGTAAGTACTTAAGATTACAGGCTAAAAATATGAGGAAGAATAATAACTGAAGATACATGAACTTTTGATTAATAAGAGGATTAACAAGAGTGTAACGCAATTCCAAATGAAGAATATATTGGCTAAAACTTAGCGATTTCATTTAAGTTCAGCTCTCAGATTTGCAATATAATGCAGAAATATATTATTCTGCATGCATTTCGGTTCATGTGGTATTACAAATTAAGAAACTGTGATTCGTGTATTTGCATAAGGTAACATTTACCCTTCTCCTGTCAAATGTAACAATTTCCATGTACAAATTTCTCAGTTCATTAGGTTAATAATTACCTGTTATTAATAGATAAAGCGACTGAATTGCACAAGTACTTTCTACTCTTGAATTTCCTATTAAGGTCCCAAGCTCATTCATTATGAAGGCTGCCATAAAGCCGTAGGGTTTTTTTTCTTTTTTATCATTACTTCATAACAAAACTCCTTGTAGGAATGCTAACAAGGTCAATAACAGCTTTCCCCATTTATAGAATTAAGCTTTTCACCTCTTCAGCGTGGACCTGTCTTTAAATTTGGAAGAGGCTGGTCTATCTGCAAAGAGACATGTATTTCCATATACGATAAGTCTACAGGATGGGCAAGGCACAGTGGCTCACACCTGCAATCCCAGGACTTTGGGAGGCCAAGATGGGTGGATCACCTGAGGTCAGGAGTTCAAGACCAGCCTGGCCAACATGGTGAAACCCTATCTCTACTAAAAATACAAAAATTAGCTGGGCATGGTGGTGGGCACCTGTAATCCCAGCTACTTGGGAGGCTGAGGCAGGAGAATTGCTTGAACCCAGGAGGCGGAGGTTGCAGTGAGCCAAGATTATGGCCATTGCACTCCAGCCTAGGCAACAAGAGTGAAAATCCGGCTCAAAAAAAAAAAATTCTACAGGATGACAGCTTGATAAAACTGCAGCTCATGTAGGAAAACAAATAAAACACCAGCAGTGTCCTAATTGAAAGCATCTAGAGGTACTAGTCATTGATGAAACCTGGTGCTTGGTGTAGTTTTTCAGGTGGTAGACTGTGTTTATTTCCAGTAGGAAGATTTCAGTTTTGACTCCAGAGATTTACTTCTAAAGTTGTAAATCTGTGCGCCTGTATACATACCGGAAAAAGGCCAGTAAATGGATGCTATTGGCATTTTAGGAGGGATAGTTGTTTACGGTGGGCATGGTGGGGGTGGGGTTAGGGGTTGCCTCGTGCCTTACAAGTTGTTTAGCCTCCCTGGTTCTACTCCACCAATTGATAGCAGTGCCCTTCAGTCATTTTGACACACACACACATGTCCTCCCATATCCAAATGCCCCTAATGCTACTAAATTTGAAAGGTCAAATCTATACATCACAAGTGCTTCCTACAAACAGTATGTATGATCAATTACTTTAAAAGTGCACAAGTAAGAACAACTATTCCCACTACTGTCCTTTTGGAACTGATGCAGGGTGCATGCGATGGATGTAGCTGTTTTTTCCTACTGACCCCACATGTGAGTTTCCTTCTGAAATGAGTAGGGCTTTAGGTGTGGTATCTATTCCTCGGGTGGAATAGGTGATGGAGAATCAGCTGTGTTTGAGAAGAAGTTTAAATGAAGTGTTTTCTCATAAAACTCACTCGAAAGAATAACGTCTGTTAGGAAAATTTGCCTCTCCTGTTTATATAGGGGAACTCAGCTGAATCATGCTTCTTGGGGTTTCTTTTATTCTGATGTGGCACATTTTAGCTCATACCCGGGAGAACCAGCCATGAGGCCCTGTGCTGCAAGCCCCAGGTGGGAATGGACACCAAGGAAAGTTCTCTCAAGGCACAGCAGGAAGCCAATACTCAGAACCCCATGGGACGGCTAAAATCTAAAAGCTGTCTGGAAATGTTTTCAATTTAAAAAAGACATCGACAATCACCCCTTTGGAAACATTAGAAAAACTGCAAATGAAGTGATGCAACTCAGAATCCAAAAGGTCTTTCTTTTCACTTTAAGAAGGTCAGGGTGCTGAAGGCGGATCCTCAAGCTTTCATGATCAGAATCTTGGTAGGAGCGGCTCTTCCTTTTTTCAATATGAATTGTGTACCTCTCACAGTCTGACGTCGATTTTCTCACTGCTTTCTATACGTCTCCGGCTTCTCAGAATAAGCACAGGAAACCTTATGAAACCCCTTTATACTTTTGTCCTTTCCTAAAGATAATAAAGGACTCATTCCATAGTGCACATTTCAAACCAACCATTTAATTTTAATTTTACATTTCAGATTAATTTAGTTAAGCAATATTTAAGATGATATATATCGTCAAATTGTCCTAAGTGGAACAAAGTTTTTTGCCAATATAAGCAACTTTTGGTTTTAAAAACTTTAGAAAACATAAGAAAAATTATTTAAAGTTCAAAAGTTACCATCCACAAGCTCTATTAGCAGAAAGGTTCTAAAATTTCTTAAAAATGTATTTCAGAACCAAATGGATTTCTTTCCTGACAAACACTGAAAACAAAACAAAACAAAACAAAATGTCTCATCTAGAAATTTCAGAGGAGCCACCATCAGACAGGATGAATGAGTGGCAGAACACACTGTGTCACATTCAGAAGCCATCTTTTCTTCCCAACCTATGTTGCATTTCTGACTTCAACCCTTTCTTAAACTCAGTCATGCTGTGTCATTAAGAGGACTAATTCAGACAACAGCATCCGAGGTTTGCGTGGTCACTGGTGATTTTAAATGCATTTTTTTCTTTCCTTTTTGGAAAAAAACACTTAAATTGAGCAGAGCAAAGCTTATAAGTTACATGTATAACTTCATCTTCTGAGCATGTCACACCTATTTATGTACTAGAGAAAAACACTTCAATTTCCTGTGCACTTCTCTAGAGGCACCAAAAATTAAACAGCAGCCTCTCATTTTCTTTCTTTTCAGTGAGATTTCTCTGTGCCTTTAGGCAGGATTATCAGTACAGCATGCCTACTGTACTGATATTCCTTAAAAACAAATATTTTTAAGAAACACATATTCCTTAAAAATGAATTCTATGTTTTGCAATTTTTATTTATTTTTTGCTAAATTTTAGGCAAATTTAACAAATACTGAAAAGAAAGTATTATGTAAAGGTTAAGGAGACATATACTAAGTTGTAGTCAAGATATGTCTGTTGTCAGAAACCCAATGGGGAGACAAAAGTTTTGACAATTTTAGTAAACCTTGGTTCACAAAAAAACTGGAAATCATGTGGGGATATCTTCCAAGTTTAAGAATTGCATCCAGAAGCCCTATCAGGAGTAGAAGTAGTCTATAATATCTTTGAGGCACAAGAGCAGATGAAATCCATAGAAATCCTTTGCAAAAGGAAGGGCAAGTGGAGTGGTGAACAGAAGGCTTGTTTCCAAAAGCTTCACTGACACTGTGGGTTTAGAATTGCCTCTGACTGACAGCCTTCCAAATGGGCCTTCGCAGCACCTGTGAGGTGTCTGAAGCCAGGTGTTTGAGTGGAACAGGAGACCCCAGTTCCAGAGCTGTTTTCCTTGATCATCTCAATTTTCCATTGTTCTTGTCTTCTCAAACCACCACTGTTTGAAGGATCTATCCAAAGTTTTCTTCCTATTGGTGTTAACGCTGCTTATTCTTCACGTGGCTTGAGGCATTACACATTTTCAGATAAGCTTTTGAGATCTGCATGCCAGTCTCATATACTCTGACTTCAGAATAGACCCAACCAGCGAAAGATAATAATTAGCCCCCTCTACACAATAGTGTATACATAGAGGGCTACTTCTCATCCTATACTTTTCTCTTTCCTTCATCAATCTGCCAAACTTCACTATAATCTAAAGATAATGGTGGAATATATGTATCGTTTAAAAAAAACTAGAGAGATTTTAACTGTTCCTGTTTTATATTGTGCTAATTAAACGCAAAGACTTGGCAATCATGGTCATAGGTTATAAGGTTATATTAAGATATATATACTAACAGGCACTGCTATTGGGAACTGAACAGATGTTGCTCTTTCAGAAGAGGAAGGGCACATCAGTCACCTTGGGACACTTCAGAAAATGAGGCTCAATATTACAGAATAGCAGTAGGAAGGAAACTGGTGACAGAAAAACACTTCTTTGCATATATATTATTTTGGACTGCATTCTTATTTAATTTTAGTGTTAATTTCCACTTTTCTTTCTTTATACAAGTTGCTTTTGATTATTTCAAGGAAGGAACCTGAGATCCTCCATGGTTAACAATAAGAAGCAGTTTTCCTGGTCTTATCTTTCATGATATATATTCACTGAATTTAATATTTCCCTTTCAGAGTTGTTGACTCTTCTAAGCCTGGGCCTATTTGGCCACTTTGCTGGATTGCTAATCATATTTCTAGCAAATGGCCTTGTCAGATTAATTTAGTTAAGCTATACTTAAGATTATGTCTCTCGTCAAGTTGTCATAAGTGGAACAAAATTCTTTGCCAATATAAGTTGGGTTTTAAGAACTTTAGAAATCATGTGAAAAATTCTTTAACATTCAAGTTACCATCCACAAGCTGTATTCAAAGCAGAAAGATTCTAAAATTTCTTAAAAATATATTTTAGAACCAAATAACTATTTGTCGTTGAGTCACCTAAAACTCTTTCTCCAGTTTATTTAAGACACTCAGATGATGGAGACTTGCTTAACTTACACCAAAAGGGGAAGCCTAAAAAATTCTAAGATTCCTAGATAATAATGATATATAAGCACACATTATTGCTGTTATTGTTATAATAAATATTATTTTTACAATACATTTAGAATACCAGGTAACTCTCATTTGGTTTTAAATTTGAAGTAGTAATAGTTAAACATCTACTTCTAGAATGTCAAATATTATAAAGAGATTACATATGAAACCATTTTATATATTGCATATATTTATATATGTAATGTATAAATAAAGGACATACATACATACTTTTTTCCTTAACTGTGACTAACATGTTATAAATACAGAGAGTTAAAAATCAATAAGCCAATATTACACTTGAAGACTTACCTTGGGGTCCAGGGTCTCCTGGTGGCCCAGGCAACCCATCCTTCCCTGGTGGCCCAGGTCTCCCATAAGCTTGGGCAGCCAACATTGCTGCTGGCAGCTTGAGCTGGGATAGGAATACAGCCATCCTCTCTTCATGTATAGAAGAAAAAATAATATATCATAGAACAGAAATATTTTATGTCAAAAAATTTCAAAATACATGAAATCAAACAAACAAAAAGATTTAGTTTTTAATTTAAGCACATCTAATTTACCAACTGGTCTGACTGCTGAGTTTTTTGATTAGACAAATAATATCGATTGCAAAGTTGTTTGTGTATAGATGCAGACCAGCTGTGTCACTCAGAAAGTCTGAGAATTTTCAGTGCTTCTGAGATGTAACAATCTAGTGGACAGAACACTAGCATGGAATCTAACCTCTGGTAATGGCATGTGGAGAGAGTTTAGGTTCACATTAAAAAATGATTTCATAATAACTTTAAGGCACTTTCCAGGAATGTTGTGAACGTATGTGTGGTGATTTAAAATATATTCATGAATTCTTTGACACTGTCTTCCAAAGTTGGAGTTTAATTCTCCTAGTTTTGAATGGGGGCTAGACTTTTCATTTCTAGTGAAAAGAAAAAGGCTGAATTAACAGTGGGCAACTAGAGAGATGAGGTCATAAAAGACATCGTGGCTTCCTAGTTGCTTTCTCTCTTAGATCACTCATTGGAGGAAGGCAGTTGACATGGAGTGAGGTCACCCAAGAAGTCCTGTGGAGAGGCCCATGTGGGGAAGAACTGATGCTACCTGCCAGTGGCCACGCACATGAACTTGGAAGCAGATCATCCAGCCCTAGTCAAGCCTTCAAATGACTGCAGCTCTGAATGACATCCTGACTGCAACTTCATTAGAGATCCTGAGCCAGATCCATACAATTAAGCAACACTTCAAGTCCCTGACCCATAAAAAATGTGAGATAATAAACATTTATAATGTGAAATGTAAGATAAATGTTTTAAGCCACTAAAGTTTGGAGGTATTTTCTTATGCAGCAACAGATAACTAAAAAAAGCATATCGAATATTTTACTACTATATGAAATTAATTTTGGTAAAATCATTAACTCATTCCAAGGCCATTATAAATACAATCTATCACTGGAGTCTTTCTTAAAATTGCTTGGTTTGTTTATATTTAGTATACCTCACATTTAAAAAATCTAATATATGAACAACTAGATTTCAAACAGAAAACCTGAGGAGGCTCTATCCTTGCCATGACAAGAAGTTAATCGCATTGTTTTTTCTTTTTCTTTTTGCATAACTTCTTCAAAAATCTCTTAGTAATTTAAATGGTTTTATTTTAAAATAATTTACACACAATTTTTCAAAGACACTTTTGTGTAGTAAGAAATAAATATTCAATTTAAAAACTTTAGTCTGGGTTTGGTGCAGACAAATCTTCCAGAAAAGTTTTTTTTACTGAGGAAATTAGTATTTATTTTGTAAGTAAAGACCAAATGACAGACAACAACGCAGTAGAAACGATAGCCGTCAGTTAGAAAACACAAAGCCCAAATGATATAGGTCTTGTAAAGAGTTACTTCCATGTTCTCCAGTCTTTTCATTCAGTTTAGTTGATTTAGTTGAATTGCAAAGGCATACTTAAACAGATATGTATCTTTTATTTTATGTAAATTTTTAAATAAAGAGTAAATTACTTCTGAGGAAAATCTGTTTTCCCATGAGTTTTCAATTAAAACAATCATTTAAAAACAATGTAGGCCCATACTGGTTAAGAAAGAAAAACAATTGTTTTTTCATATAGAATTATTAAGAGAAAAGCCCCAATAGCTATAGAGCATTAGCTGACATTATCCGAAAAGTAATCACCTACATTCACATTCTCATGTCACAAAGCATGCAGAATGGAAATATACCACAACCCGCACAGGACTAGAATCTCTGGCTGCAGACTGAAGGATGAATGGGAGGCCAACAGGGATCTAATGGATGCTGGTCCCAAGGAGTGATATGAAATCACCTGCCCTCGAGTATCACTACCTCACTATCTACCTGGGATGTGTGGTTGATATTACTATATCTTATTCTAGTAATTAATAGATAAAACAAATAGGTAATTAATATATAGTTTTAGTTTTACAAATCATCATACTGAATGTACATATAATATCTTTATTACATCAAATTATGAACTTGGGGCATTACAATAAATATGAAATTCAATAATCACAGTTTGAATATTTGCTGTTCTGCACCTCAAAGAAGAGATGTGTTTCAGTACAATTTTTCTTTCTTTTTTCTTTTTTGAGATAGAGTCTCACTCTGTCACCCAGGCTGGAGTGCAGTGGCGTGATCTCAGCTCACTGCAACCTCCGTCTCCCGGGTTCACGCCATTCTCCTGCCTCAGCCTCCCGAGTAGCTGGGACTACAGGCGCCCACCACCATGCCCGGCTAATTTTTTTTTGTATCTTTAGTAGAGACAGGGTTTCACCGTGTCAGCCAGAATGGTCTCGATCTCCTGACCTCGTGATCCACCCACCTCAGCCTCTCAAAGTGCTGGGATTACAGGCGTGAGCCACTGAGACCGGTCACAATTTTTCTTAATTTGAAACATGTCTGTTTAAATACCTTCAATGTCGAAACACAAATATTCACAGTACTAATTTTTCCTCTTTAATATATGAATTGAGTTTAGAAGTACTTTGGTGGTTTTTAATATTTTTAGCAAAACAGATAATTATTTTCACTACTTCTAGCTGTAAATTATCTGGCTTTGAAATACACTCAGAAACAGTCATTTAGCATAAGGGTAATTACCTCTTCTGAACCCTACCCTAATGCTCTATAATTTACAATAATATGTTTCAGAGCATCCAGATGAATTGTAAAGGCCTTTATTCTTAATTGCTTTTCCTCTGTTTTCAGGGATCTTCAGTCAATTAAAATGTTTTTGGCTATGCTTTCTAATGAGGCAGGAATTGAAGAGTTCCGATATAAGCATGCATAAACCAAACACACATTTTCCATCTGCCAAGGCAAAGCCACAGCAGTCACTCTAACAAATGAGACCAAGGCTTGGCTTCCTTGGAGAATGGGCTCCTTAATATAATACAGACATTAATATTAATATGATGATAAACTACGTATTTTAGAGAAGGAAGGAACACACACATGTCATCTGGCCCATGTCTATCTTCTATTTCACAGACAAAATTTGTAAATATTTCAAAGACAGAAATTCTTCTCCTCCTAATGCCCATGGAAATGTCTAATTATCCATTTTCTTGGTATAACTTCAATTTATTTTATTTTGCTACCCCATTATGGAAACAGAGAGCAGTTAATGAGTATTTCCCTTGGGAAATCAGTCATATTGTTACATATTAGCATTCAGGTTAAATAACTTTTACTCATAGGCTTCACAATCTATTTTGTAAATCTCCTTTTGGTTCCATTATTTCAGGGCTTTTCCATAAATGTCTCCTAAATGTGGAAACCAAAATTAAATATAGTTCTCTCCTAAAGGGCAAAAATATCAGAAGAGTAATTTCCTGTGATATTTTAATAATTATATTCTAGTTTCATTTTTCACTGTTAATTCAACAGCATCATTTGGTGGATTCATATTTATTTTGTGGTTCATTATGACCCAAAGGTGGTTACTACTTCACTTGTCTCTGTCTCAATCATTTGCCACCTTAATGAGTATGTTGCTTTGAACTATCATGGGTAAAGATGGCGGATTAAACACATGGATCTGCTTTAACTACCTCCTGAATCCTAGCAAAACAATCCTCCTAAAGGCCTAAACAGACAAGAATGGGGGAGCATATGAAAGGAGACAATAGCAGCACAATTTTGGAAGTTAAGAACCAGACGGTTGAGTGATACATTACTTAACAAATGCAAGAAAACTAAACTCTTAGACTAGAAGTAGAGGAATAACTTGACCTAAACTACAAAATCCTCAGAAGGCTCAGAATTGGCAGTACAAGTTACCTCTGGAAGTGGGGGTGAAAGAGGGGAACTAAAATAAGGAGCACTGATTGAAAGCCTGTTTTAGTAGTTGTTGAAATTCCTTTCTCTATACAGCTAGGCAGGTGCCTCTCCCCATCCCTAGCAAAAGACTGAGGGTTTATTATTATCTTAAAAGGGTAAGTAGTCTGCCTCTGCATGGAGGAGCCCAGACTCCATTGAGACTCAGGCTTCCAAACTGAAAATCTGAAGTAGCTAAGCTCACAGCCAGGCAGGAAATGGAATGTCTCCACTGGAGAATCTGACCAGACTGAGAGTAAAGACTTAAAGACACTGAAATTAAGGGTCCCTCACTTAAAAAGCCCATCTGGACTACCCTAAGTGAAACTCGAGGTTGGCAAGCCCCACTGTTCGCTCACAACTTTCAATCGGTTTTTAAAACCCTGCTCTTATGTATGCAGACAGCCAAGGATTACTGGACACTGAGGAAATCCTACAAACTGAACAACAGAGTTGCAACCAAAAAAACAGAAAGAAGCAAATTGGAAGAAACAGAGACTATGTGGTGGAAAATATATTTTTTAACTCTTTATATATATATATATATATATATATATCATCAATGATGTATATTTATCAGATGAAGTGTATATAACAAGTACATATATACATACATAAAAATTAATATCTTAGTTGTAGAGAGGTAAGAAAAGATGTTACAACTTTGGGATAAGAAAATAGGATCATACATATTTACACACATTCATATATATATGCATATATATATATGAAATATATGTATGAAATGCATATCGAGAAAACATAGGTAAGGGGATTTTCTGAACACTGGAAATCTGGAGGCAGAAACATTGTTCGGGAATACTTAGCCCAAATCTTTCTTTTCTCCCACAGCTGGAGGTGTGGGCTTATTGGTCCCATGTTTGACTCAAGAACTTAGAGAGCCAGATGTTAGTACACATTTCTGCAAAGGTTGGTAAATTCTTCCTGCATGTTGATGTAAATTCCCAAGCATAATAGGACAGTGTAATAGCAAGAATTAAACTTCTCAGATCTGGCAAGAGCCTCATTTGTGTGGGCAGCATCACTGGCAGCTGGGAAGCCCTTCTAAAGCCAAATGCTAAGCTGAGACACATGGATGGCATCTGTCCTTGTCCTGTGTGGTCACTTTACTAGCAAAAGGACTTGACTTGTTGGACAATCAAATTGGGAATTTAATTGAACTTCAGAGAGGATATATATTTGTGCATAGTGATCAATCTGGAACCTAGACTTGGGATTGGTGAAAAGACACCTCTTTCCACCACAGTTAGGTTTGGGAAGGGGCACCAGGATGTTGAAGGGAGGTTAGGTGGCCTGGAAAATAGATCAAGGTTTGAGATTTGTAGGGTATTGTATCACCAGGTGGGTCACCTGGGAAGCCCCAAAGGGGTTAAAAAGCCACAAGAGGAGAGCCCAAAGTTTGGGTCATCCTGGTCTAGGGTTTCACTAGAGGGTGTAATCTGGACACTTGGGATGATAAAGTTGGAGAGCAGGATCTTCCAAGGACTCCTTCGAGTCCCTGCTGACAGTCTGCGACTTGCCGCTCGGAGACAATGGCTCTCGAGGCTGCAGATGTGCAGGGATGCGTGCAGCAGAGATAGCATTAGCTGTTATTGACACTGTCTCTTGTGAAACCACTAAGAAAAAGAGAAGGAGACGGGTGCTACTTAACTGTAGCAGTTAGCTGTCTGTACTACTTAACTGTAACTGTTTTAACATGTGAAAATTAATCTTTGCTTTTAGAGAAAAAACTTTCCGAAAATGGTAATTGTGACCTTGGAGCTTTATGATTTGTGAAAATGGAGTTTTCTTTTTTCTTTTTTGTAAATGGTGTTCAGAAGCCATGGAAAAAGTGATTTCTAAGTGGAAAATTAAATGGAGTGAATTGAAATGATCTTGGGACAAATTAACTTAAATGCTAAATAACTAAATTCTGGGTTTCAGGCACAGTTTTGTTTGGGAGAAGACAGTTTTGCTGGACTAGTGTCAAGAGAGACAAAAGGAAAGGGCTATCACACATGGAGTCTTAGAGTTTAGAAGTCTCAGAAAATAGTTTCCTTATGGGTCGCTTTAAAATATTGTCTTAAGGCTAAGACACCTGTGGTTTCTGAGGGAGTACTGGCTCTGGTGGGGGTCCAGCCACTCACCTGGACCTGGCCAGGCTGGAAGAGACAGAGACGCAGTAAGAGAGATGGGTGTGAAGCCAGAGACCTGGGGAGGACTCTGCACCTGTCAGCTTCCAGGCAGGTGGGCTGTGACAGAGGAAGGAGGGGCAGGAACTCAGAGAGGAAGGATCCAGACCCAGAGGAGGAGCTTCTCAGAAAGCAGAAGTCTGGTGAGCCTGCCCCAACACAGATGGAGAGTGGCCCAACTCCCCTGACCTGCCTCCTCTGAAGACTGATAGCCCTTCATGAGAGTAGCCACAGAATGGCCTGGGAGTGGGCAGGACGGAGCCTTCCCCAGGAGGGAGTAGAAGTGTCTCTTTTGCTGAATGCACAGGGCAGGCTGCCAGGGGCCACACCTTCATCCAGTGTCTGATGGACTTGTAAAACGAACACCTTCTATATCTCAACATGTCACTTTTTTTTTTTTCTGAAAATGCTTGGTTATATTTTCTGACATTCTTAATCAGCTTCCAAAAAGATGGGTTAATTACTGACTATTAAATATATGATTTTATCTAAAGCCTCTTAAGAGACTGAAGTTCAGTATTAAAGCTCTCTTAGATAAAAGATAAATAAAGACACTACAGCCCATAGGGATTAAGAGTTAAAGGAAAACTTTAGATTGCAATTCAAAAATACACATACGCTGGCATTTCTCTTTTCATGGTTGAGGTCAACTAAATGCATGGATACTATCTGAGATTCTAGATGTCCTGTCCCCAGGACTAGCATGTCCGGGCTACCTATGCAGTCACATAGGGCCCCATGTTTAGTTTACGGCTTTACTATTGCTGTCTTAAAATTCTTAATCATTTTTTAACAAGTGTGCCAGCATTTTCACTGTGCACTGAACACCGCAAATTATGTAGCCATGGGTATATTCTTCAGTATTCCCCTGAAGAGCTTGAGATGTCTTTTTTCAAACAGTTGCCTTTTTTTCAAACTTCCTGACGGGGAAATGAGTGTTTGGAAAGCAAAGTTTAGAGTCTAGTCCACAATGTTTGATTCAAGGGTCAAAAAAAACAAAGAAAGAAAGAGAGAGAGAGAAATAAAGAAAGAAAGAAGAAGAAAGAATGAAAGAGAATGAAAGAAAAGACCTCAAAATTTAAGGGCAACATTAAAATTACTGGTAGCTCAACAAAAGAGTGGACAAATGTATTAGTAAACTGTCATATCAGAGCAAGATAAAGATACTTAGTGAAGATCAAGGTAAATTAAAATCAACAGCATAAATTCACGACCTTTAAAAAAACATTTTTTGCCAACATGGTGAAACCCCGTCTCTACTAAAAATACAAAAATTAGCTGGGTTTGGTGGTGGGTGCCTGTAATCCCAGCTACTCTGGAGGCTGAGGCAGGAGAATCGCTTGAACCCAGGAGGCAGAGGTTGCTGTGGGCTGAGATCGCGTCATTGCACTCCAGCCTGGGTGACAGATGAGACTCCTCAGAAACCAACCAACCAACCAAACAACAACAACAAAAAACCCCATTTTTTTCTGTTTTGTCATTAAAGTAGCTACAAGTCCCAGTGTTACTCTACTGTATTTCTAGTTCTCATATAAAGTAAGATAATGTGCATCCAAGCACCAAGATTTCAGTCTCTACTGCTAATTATTATTTAAAATAATCAAGACTCCTTGGAGAAGACCTGAGTCCGTGTTTGAAGCAATGGAGTCAAGATCGACTTGGGGCATCTTATAATCTTATTCCTTAAAAAAATTCAACAATCTATTTTTGGCTTATGGATGCTAAGCAAAGGAAGTAGGAACCATGAGAACCAACATGGATTCATTTGTTAAATCTTACAGTTCAGAAGAGTAATCTTGATTTTAGCAAACCATTTGTCAAAATCATGTGATACTGTCAATTCCTTGCAAATAGACAAAGAAATGTAGGGTGAGTTTTAGGACAATGAAATGGATTCAGAGCTCACTAAACAATAGATTAGAAGATGATTTACAAGTGGACAGAAAGAATCCCATGGCATTTGGAAAGACCTAATCCTTGACTCTTGGCTTTTTTAGTCAACATTTCTATCAACAGCTAGAATGATGACATGCTTATGAAATTTAGCATGACACAAAGTTATAGGGTCAGCCAACCTGCTCTTCAAGAGACAACATTTCAAAAGACATCTTCAGGTTGGAACAAGATATGAACACAAATGATTTGAAATTAATAAGAGGAAACATAAGATCACACACTTAGATTCAAAAAATAAACACACAGTCCATAATGAGAAACACCTCATTTAAAAATATTTTTATAAGGAAGATCCAGGGCTGTTAGTTAACTGAAAACTCGTAATGAATCAACAGAATAATATGGATGCTTTTTTCCAAAAAGCAATACATCTTAGGATGAATTA
Source organism: Homo sapiens (assembly GCF_000001405.40). NCBI lineage: Eukaryota > Metazoa > Chordata > Mammalia > Primates > Hominidae > Homo > Homo sapiens. Next base: position 70,191,160 of record NC_000006.12, on the reverse strand, counting down.
TTGAAGTATCTAGAGCAGGGGTCAGAACTTTCTCTGCAAGGGCCAGATAGAAAATATTTAAGCCTTTATGTACCATATTGTCACAATTGCTCAGTCCTGTTGCTGTAGTGGGATAACAGCCAGAGAAAAGAGGCGAAGGAATGTGCATACTTTATTTATGGAAACAAATTCAAATTTCAGATAATTTTCACATATCATGAAATATCTTTTGATTTTTAAAAACCGTTTAAAAATATAACTCGCTCCCACTGCTCCCTACCAAAAAGCAAAAACCATTCTCAGTTTGTAGGCTGTACAAAGCAGGTGGCAATAGCTTTGGCTAGGGGGTACAGTTTGCTGACTTTGGTCTAAATAAAAAGACACTACTCTGCATTGGTCAAAATATTCCTTGGTAAATGAGAGTCATTTATAAATTAAACATTTCCCAGGGGTGATAATAGTGGAGGAGCTAGACACATTTACTCCATAAAAGAGAAAACTAAGGAGGAGTATGAGGGATATTGAAAAATACTCAAAGGGCTGTCATGTGAGTACAAGCAGGTACTTTACCTGTGTTGTTTTACAGACCAGGTATAATGAAAGGAAGTTCCAGGGAGGCAAAAGTTAACTTTGTATAAAGAAGAATTTTCATCAAAGAGCTGTCCCATCATAAAATGGGCTGCCCCTTAAGGTTTTTGTGGCATGGCCATCTTTCGAGAATGTTGCTGGAGGGATTCCCCATAGTAGGTGGGAGGTGGGAATCAGTGAAAAATTCGAAAATGTTATTAAGAAAATCTAACCTTCAAAAATCCTTAGGACCTCTTGATTAATATACTTCTTTATTTCTTCAAATGAAACTGCATCAGCCTGAAGAAGGAAAAAAAAAGGTTGTTAAAATAGAGCATAGCACAAATGAATAAAGAATAGAAATATTGGGTTGGCTTGCCTATTTGAAACTTCTGTAGGGATGCATTTATCAAGAAAAATGCTTTTGGCAATTGATTATATTGGGCAATAAATATCTGTTGCTTTGACCAAATTCTGGGAAGAAGTTGAAGTGTGTAATTGCTTTAAAAGCTATGGGCTGGGATCATAACCAGTGGTATCAACAGGTTTCCCATTAAATGGAGACACATGGCTTTATACAGTTAGGGAAGACATTCCTATGACTTCATTTTATAAGGTTAAATAATCTAAAAAGTATAAACATGATGTTAGTAGCCTAATCACAATTTAACTTTTAACCAATCCCTGGATGGCAAAGTCAATATCTAATTGATATAATGTATTTTCAAAGGAAGACAACCTGGAACAGAACTCCAAGTATGCTGGATTATTTTAAAAAATGTTGTATTCATGGGATAAAAGCAAGTTTTACCCATTTCATCATAAAGTTTATTCTGTAATTTACACATTGCAAGTATATAGGTATTAAGTAATTTTCTTTTCTTAATTGGGATCTGGTAAAAGGAAGCAGGCAAATAATGTCAGCTGAATTTTCCACCTGTTGACAAGTAAATCCACATGCATTTGACAAAGAATTTAACATTTATAACAGTAATGTTTTATTATAGTGCCTTGATATTTTTAAAGGAGCTATTATTTTTTTCTTGATGGTTAGAATTTCAAAGTATTTTACTACTCTTTATAGTTGGTGATTATTATCCAGGGGTATATGTGTGGCATTAAAGACAATATGATGAAGATTGGCGGTTGTGACAAAGGCAATAAGCCCCACTCTGAGATATAAACATGAACAAAGACCATAACAGAAGATGGTCAGATGAGAGAGTTGGAAGCTCTACGGAAAATCACCATGCAATGTGAATTTAAGAATGAAGCAGAGCCTACTTAGATAGTGAGCCTTAATTTATTATAAACATTCTTGGGTAGGTTCCTCATCGCTCTTCACTGAAAATTCCTCTATCCTGTCTGTGTGTAGATATGTGATAATAGTATTGTTGTGGGGTTTCCTAACATAATGGTGCTAGTTCATTTGTAACAACAAACTGACTTAGAATGACAAAAAATAAAAATAAAAAAAATCCAATATGATGGGCTTATAAAGTGATGATTCCGGTAGGACAGAATAATTCCAAGAATGCTCTATTTCATTAATGAACTTTAATTAATGCAACTAATACCAATTACTGACACAACCCCAAGAGTGAAGTTACACAGGCTTTATTCAAGTAGAGTTTCAGGACAGTGGGCAGAAATATAGAAGTATGAAAATTGCATGAATGCTCAGTTTTGCTTTATATCTGGTATTGGTTGATTATCTGAGGAGAATGTGTCTTTAACTGCCCTACTTCACTTCAAGACCCTCCTTTCTTCCTAACATGGATATTTTCAGATTAAATTTCTCTGCAGAATAGCCACTCACCACTCCTCTTGAGGATTAATAAAGATATGGGCTTCCTTTACTAAACACTCTTGGCCTAAGTGGTTTCTACTTCAAGGCACTACTCATGGCAGATTTGTTGTTCTGATATTCAACAAAATAGAGTATGAAATGGACATGTTTCATAGCAATATGAAACAGGCATATGTGGTTTCTGTGTAGTGTAAGGAGACATTAGAGACAGTACCTGTATGTTAAAAGCGTGGGTTTGAAGCCATCCAGACCTGGGTCTGACCCACTTAATAAATCTGTGACCTTGGGCAAGTTAATGCTCATTTTATGCGTTTATAAAACTGGGCTGAAAAGGACACCAATCCTTCCAGAATGATTGTGAAGATCAAATGAGGTAATGTATAGTAAGTGCTTAGTAGAGGATCTGGCACATAACTTTAAATGACAGCTATTATTGCCCTCACGGGGACCAGTTTAGGTTTGTTTTATTTATTTGAAAGGCAGTATCATTGCTTTCATTGTAAAAGGGATACATGGTCGGTACAAGCCAGGAGCCCTAAAGCGTCTTAGCACTACTTACCGGAATGCCAGGGATGCCTGGAGAGCCTGGAGGGCCTTGGTGGCCAGGGGATCCCATGGAGCCCTTGTTTCCTGGTGGACCCATAGGACCGATGGCCCCCTTCATGCCTGTAAGGCCTGGTTTTCCCCGTTCACCTTGTGAGCCTCTGTCTCCTGGAATCCCCTGATCACCCTGTTAAGGAAAAAATAATAACAAAGAATAATCTCTTCTAGCATCAGCTGTAGTTGAGAGCAAAAGTTCTGGATTCATACTGGCACTTATTAGCTGTTGGGCCTTGTATAAATAACTTAAACTCTCTGTGTCCTAGCCTCCTCTCCTACAAAGTGGGCATATTAATAGTATCCATTAGATAGGGCGATTTTCAGAACTAAATGAATTAACCCAAGTAAAGTGCTCAGAGCAATGCCTGGCACCTTGGCAGTACTTAATACATAAAAGATAGAGAGAATGTTAGGTGTGCTTGGTTGCCCATCTAGGATGATGGCAGTTTTGAGTCAATACCAGCTGTCACTTGAGGTCTGGGTCTCCTTTGCAATGATAAAGGAAGATTGCCAAGAGGATCTCATTACTGAGACTTTTCACTTAAAAAAACTTTAGGACATTCAAAATCTCTCCTAAATCATGTGCTCTCCCCACCCCTGGCTTTCCCCTGGATCTCATTACTGAGACTTTTCACTTAAAAAAACTTTAGGACATTCAAAATCTCTCCTAAATCATGTGCTCTCCCCACCCCTGGCTTTCCCCTGGATCTCATTACTGAGACTTTTCACTTAAAAAAACTTTAGGACATTCAAAATCTCTCCTAAATCATGTGCTCTCCCCACCCCTGGCTTTCCCCTGTTTGTTTGTGCTTTATTAGACTCTTCAGGTTTGTTTTCTGTATTTGTGCTTTACACGTGTATGCATGTGTGTGTGCACGTTGAGTGTGATCACTGTGCCCTAAATATATACCCACGGGATGGTGAGAAGGGAGAACCATTGAAAAGATCAAAGCAGGTGACTGGGGGGAGGATGTCACTGACATCATTTACTCAATAGTATAAATGAACTATGGAAGAATCAGTTGGGCCAGGCGCGGTGGCTCACGCCTGTAATCACAGCACTTTGGGAGGCCGAGGTGGGCAGATCACCTGAGGTCAGGAGTTCGAGACCAGCCTGACCAACATGGAGAAACCCTGTCTCTACTAAAAATACAAAAAAATTAGCCAGGCGTGGTGGCACATGCCTGTAATCCCAGCTACTCAGGAGGCTGAGGCAGGAGAATCGCTTGAACCCGGGAGGCGGAGGTTGCGGTGAGTTGAGATCACACCATTGCACTCTAGCCTGGGCAACAAGAGAGAAACTCTGTCTCAAAACAAAACAAAACAAAAAAACAAGAATCAGTTGAATAAGATGTCATAATTAATTAGTAAAATATTATATTAGATGTGCCTAAATGTGATATGAAGTTTGCTTGATGCTGTTTTTTATCCTGGAATGTGTCTACTACTGTATGTGTTTGTGCAAGAGAGAATGAGAGAGAGAGAGAGAGAGAGATCATGGCAGTTGCTTCAGTCATAAATTTTCAAATATTCAGTTGCATAACTCCAGGAAGTGATCCTCACACCAAATATGACGGAATGATGCTTGAAGTGGTCCTGTATCTCATTATATTATTCTTTTAACTATGACTACTCTGCAGAAGGGCAAACTCAATTTCTCTTGACTTAAAAATTAACAGAAATAAATGAACAGTTACAGAGATTTGTGTGATCATAGAATCAGATATGGAAATAAGCCATGTAGAAAGAAATAAAAGCACTTAGGCCTGGTATCAATGCTACTGTCTTAGTTATAAAAATATATCTGCATACAGGTCTGTCACTCCAGCTCACATTTGGAGAAATTTCTGAGATGACAAGAAAAAATATTAGCACACTTTGATCAATGATTAATACTCTGATCATGTGCAAGATAAATGCAATCTTTAACATATTAAAATTATTTTATAAGTTAGGTACAAAGATGTTCATTGTAGTGATGTTTATTATTATGACAACTAGAAGGAATCCAAATGTCCAGCGGACTAGGTAAGTGAAATAAGGTATGGTCAAATAGTAGAATAAC